>NC_000019.10:40271177-40574207 GCF_000001405.40 Homo sapiens | reverse complement strand
TTGGGTCCCTGCCCTGGCCGCGGCCTGGGCTACCCACCCAGGTAGCCAAAGGAATCTTTTTTTGTTTTGTTTTGTTTTGTTTTGTTTTGTTTGTTTGTTTTGTTTTGAGATGGAGTCTCGCTCTGTCGCTCAGGCTGGAGTGCAGTGGCGCAATCTCAGCTCACTGCAAGCTCCACCTCCCGGGTTCAAGCCATTCTTCTGCCTCAGCCTCCCAAGTAGCTGGGACTACAGGCGCCCGCCACCATGCCCAGCTAATTTTTTTGTATTTTTAGTAGAGACGGGGTTTCACCGTGTCAGCCAGGATGGTCTCGATCTCCTGACCTTGTGATCTGCCCGCCTCGGCCTCCCAAAATGCTGGGATTACAGGCGTGAGCCACCATGCCCGGCCTGTTTATTTTGTTTTTGAGATGGAGTTTTGCTCTTGTTACCCAGGCTGGAGTGCAATGGCGCTGTCTCAGCTCACTGCAACCTCTGCCTTCCGGGTTCAAGCAATCCTCCTGCCTCAGCCTCCCGAGTAGCTGGGATTACAGGCATGCACCATAAGAGATGGGGTTTCTCCATGTTGGTCAGGCTGGCCTCAAACTCCTGACCTCAGGTGATCCACCCGCCTCGGCCTCCCGAAGTGCTGGGATTACAGGCGTAAGCCACTGCGCCCAGCCAGGAATCTTTTTTACACATCACTGTAATCCCCCCTAGCTCTCCAGTGCCCTTAGGTAAAAAATCCAATCTCCTCCAAATGGCCCATCCTGTCCTGAGACACCTATCTCCTGGGAACCTTTCTGGGACCTTCTTCCATGAACTCTGCCCTCCAGCAGTTAACCCTTTGCAATACTGCACCTCTGGTCCTCTGCACTTGCAGTTCCCTCTACCTAGATCACCCACCCCCTCTTGTTTTTGAGACAGAATCTCACTCTGTCACCCAGCCTGGAGTGCCATAGTACAATCACAGCTCATTGTAGCCTTGACCTCCCTGGTTCAGGTGATCCTTCCACTCGGCCTCCTGAGTAGCTGGGACCACAGGCATGTGCCACCACTCCCGGCTAATTTATTATTATTATTACCCATAGAGATGGGATCTTTCCGTGTTGCCCAGGCTGATCTTGAAGTCCTGGGCTCAAGCAGTCTCCTGCCTTGGCCTCCCAAAGTGCTGGGATTACAGGCCTGAGCCATGGTGCCCAACCTGAATCACTCCTTTTTTTAGACCCCCACTGTCCCTCTGAATCACCCTTTTTATTTTTATTTTATTTTCGAAGGAAGTCTCGCTGTTGTCCCCCAGGCTTGAGTGCAATGGCTCCATCTCAGCTCACTGCAACCTCCGCCTTCCAGGTTCAAACGATTCTCCTGCCTCTGCCTCCCAAGTAGCTGGGATTAAGGCACCTGCCACCATGCCCAGTTAATTTTTGTATTTTTTAGTAGAGACGGGGTTTCACCATGTTGGCCAGGCTGGTCTCAAACTCCTGACCTCAGGTGATCTGCCCGTCTTGGCCTCCCAAAGTACTGGGATTACAAGCGTGAGCCACCGCGCCTGGCCAAATCACCCCTTTTTAAAGCGAACTCCCTCCATTCCAGTCTCACCTGAGTGACCACGGCAAAGATGTTGGACTTTGTCATCAGGATCTGCAGGCAGCCCTCCCTGAAGCCCTTCCCACTCCCCACTGGGTTAGGAACCTCCTTTGGGCTCTCAGTGCCTGTGGGCTTTCCCATTACAGCCCTGATAACTCTGGCCTGTGAGTGTCCCTTCTCACAGCCCCATCACTCTGGGTCAGGAGCCAGACAGCCAGGTCATTACTGAGGTCCACACAGAGGGAGGAAAGGACCAGATCTCACCTCATCTTTTGCCTGGAGCAAAAACTCACTGCCATCCTGGGTCCTGCAGGAAGGGACACAGGACTTCAGAGATCTGGGGAAGGGGCCCAGCCCACCTGCCCACCAAGTGTCCCCCAGGGAAGCCAGGGTCCCACTGGGAGTTGAAGCTGAGCCTTGGATCCCTCCCTCCTGCCCATTGGGGGGCTCACTGGAGCTTGAAGACATGCTTCTTTTTCTTGTAGTCACTAGCCACCTCGCTGGTGGCCTTGTGCAGGCTGAGCAGCGGTTCCCCACCGTGTGTGCTCCCGGATGCCGGGCCCTTGGAGTCCTTGTAGAAGCCCAGTTCCCCCTTACTAAGCACACAGTACAGGCTCACCCACGACCTGGAGCGACAAGATGGGGCTCAAGGCAGAGCCGCAGCACTCTGCCTAATAACTCTTCATTAACATCCTCAAGGTCTGAATATGTCTGAGCCTTCCTACCTCTGGACCTTTGCGCCCTAGTTGCGCCCTAGTTGGACCTAAAATGCTCTTCCTTAAGGCTGTTGCTGCCCTGAGGGGAGCATTTAAGTCTCTCAGTATCAAGCCTTTGCCCAGGCTGAGATTTCCCTTCCTTATCCCCTCCCATACTGAATTTCCTGAAGGTAAGTCTTAAGCTGTCTCCTCCATAAGCCTTTGCTCCACTCAATCCTCCCCACTCATGGAGCTTTCTCAAGGAAAGTCTATTGGTCTACTGTCTGGAATAAAGAATTCCTGTCTCTCCAGTCATCCAAAGCCTCGATCCTGGAGGAATCCCTCCCAAAGCAAAACATACTAGGTGCCCTTGTTTATTCCTACCTTGGCATTAGGTACGAGGAAGAAAGACCACCTACAGATTCCACTAGCAAAATCTGAATCTGTCCTGCCCACTTCATATCTTGGGACTCACTCCATTACTGGCCGGTGATACCCCTTTTTGGCTCCACTTGTCCCCAGATTCTGCCTCTCAGTTGGACAAAAAGAGGGTGGACAAGCAGGAGCTGGACTCCCCAAGAGCAGGCACATCATGGCTAGACCCTCATTTGGAAACCTGTAAGAGATGACTCCCCCTTCCCAACCCCTACCCTCATTAGTTTGGGCTCTGCCCGTTTTCGGACCCTCCCCCAATTTGAAACTTCAAGGGTAGACCCACCCCACTCATTGGTTGAGTGACCTCTCCAAGCTCCACGACAAGCCATTGAAACCTTCTCAACTAGATGCCTCCCTCTTTGCTATTTAGCTGATCAACTCCTGGGTTGGTTGCTAAGAGGTTAGGTTCCAATTTACTCACTTTCAGAACATTTTCCTTCTGTTCCCACCTAAGCTCTACCCATCATCCATTAGATGCACTAACCTTAGGTCCTGCCCCTTCCTGTTCATTGGTTGGAATCATCAAAGTTGAGCCCCACCCCTCATCTGGCCCCACCTACTACCCCCACGGGTTGGAGGGCCTGACGTTAAACCACACCCCCTCCTGCTCATTGGTTGGCTTTCTTGATTTAAGCCACCACCACCCCCCAGCTCTGGCCCCACCTACTACCGCCACCTGCTGGAGGGCCTGAAGTTGAGCCACACCCCCTCCTCAGTCCCACCGCTCCACGCAATGGTCACCCTGAGCCTGAGACCCGCCTTCCAAAGCCCCGCCCACACGCTCACCGGTTGGACGACTTGCGGTTAGCGTCGAGCTCGCGCTTGCGCAGTAGGAAGCCCTCGTGCTGCACTGTGTGAGTGGGCGGTGGCGGAGGCGCGGGGGCGGAGCCGCCCTGGGCCGGGGCGGAGCGCGAGCGCCGGCTTCCCCCGCCCTCACCACCCTCTCTGGGCCGCGGCCGCCGTCGCGGCTTGGGCCGGTCCCGCGCCCGGGGCCGGTCCGGCCGAGGTGTCCGCTCGGGCAGCTCAAGCCCGTTGGGCAGGCGACCTGGGGGAAGCTCGCGTGGCTGAGGCAGCGACGGCTGTGTGAAGGGAGGGGGAAGAGGGGTGCTGTCCATGGAGAGGGTGTGGGGGTCATCTGTTTGGGGGAGTCATGGGTCTGGGGTCCCATCTGTCTACAGGGCCATTTGTCTCGGAGGCGAGTATGGGAGGACCTCAGGGTTGGAGGCCCAATTCTTAGGGCCCCATGGGTCTTGGGAGTGAGTCTGTTAGGACTCATTGGTTTGGAATCTCTCTCGGTGGTGGAAAGAGGCAGCCAGATCTCTGGAGGTGGGGGTGCAAGCAGGGCGTGTCCCCACTGTCTGCAGGAGAAACCTGGGGCTTCCTTCTGTGTGTGTGTGTATGAGGCTATGAAGAAATTTGGGACCCCACTGAGCTGAAGAAATACGGAGTCCAGGACAGATGTGGGAAGAGTCTGTGTGTGTGTGTCTGTGTGTGTATCTGTGTCTGTGTGTCTGTGTGTGTGTGTCTGTGTGTGTGTGTCTGTGTGTGTGTGTGTGTGTGTGTGTGTGTGTGTGTGTGGAGGGGCAGTAGGGGTCTCTTAGGTAGGTGCCCCGTCTTTCTAAGGGGGACATTTTCAGATTCTGGGGACCCTGAGAGTCCATGCTGTCTCTGCAGGGTCCAGGTAGGGAATGGGTCCTGCCAGGGCTAGGCACTGGCTGTTTCTGAGATCCTGCCTCCTGCTCTGAAAAAGGGGTCCTCCTATCCCCACCCATCCGAGGCTCAACTTACCCCAGCAGGCAGCCCTGGGCCTGCCTCTTTCTCCTGCAGCTGTTCCACAATGTCAGCCAGGGTGGCCTTCCTGGGGGATGGGGGACAGAAAGACCCAGTGAAACCAGGGTTCCTTCTCCCATGGACCTGTCTGGCTGGGCAGAGGAGCCTCCACTTCTTAGCTGGAAGTGCCAGGCCCCTGCCCACTTCTGCAGCTGTTTCTCTCAGATGCTCGCCTTAGGTACCACAGGTGTTTGGGACGTGTCTGCTGAATGGAAGACCAAACCTCTCGCCCCTTTGAATTTTTTTTTTTTTTTTTTTGAGACGGAGTCTTTCTCTGTTGCCCAGGCTGGAGTGTAGTGGTGCATGATCTCGGCTCACTGCAACCTCTGCCTCCTGTGTTGAAGCGATTCCCCTGCCTCAGCCTCCCAAGTAGCTGGTACTACAGGCGTGCGCCACCATGCCGGCTAATTTTTGCATTTTTAGTAGAGACAGGGTTTTGCTATATTGGCCAGGTTGGTCTCGAACTTCTGACCTCAAGTGATCTGCCCGCCTCAACCTCCCAAAGTGCTGAGATTACAGGCGTGAGCCACCGCGCCCAGATGCCCCTTTGAATTTTAAGCAGCACAAAGAACAACTTGCAAACGTTGCCTTTCTCCACCCACCCCTGACTCTCCAGTCCCCCAATCGCCCCCATTCCAGCCCAGATAATTCTCGGTCATCATTGATGACAAGCCTGTTTTTCCCAATGGACTGTGAGTCTCTAAAGTCAGGGATGGGACTGGTTCAGTCACCGCTCGACTCAGCACATGCCAGGCAGAGTGGGCACTCAGCAAATGTTCATGAAATGTGCAATTTAAAAAGAATCAAGAAGTCATTGTCTCCTGACCAAAGGCCTCTTTCTGGAGACACACTCAGCTGACTGGACAGATCTGCACAACACACACTGGCCAACTCTGGATTCTGAAAGTCCTGGTTCGTTTAAGCTGAGTGACTTGCCCTTTTTGTGCCTCAGTTGCCCTAGTCATACAATGGAGAAGACAACAGCCCCCACTTCATAAGGCTGCTGAGAGAATTGTGATAAAGGGTCTCCTCTCCAATCAAGGAGGTGAGGGTTCCACCATTAGCCCAGTGGGCAAACTGAGGCACAGAGAGGACAAAATCCCTGCCTCGGGGCACCCGGGAGACTTGATGCAGGAGTCACAACCCAGGGGCCGAGAACCTACGTCTGGAGAAAGGCAGTCTGCCTTTTCTTTCAACAGGAAGGGCTCCCCTTTCTGTGTAACAATGGGCACATCGATTATCTTGCAGCTTCAGTTTACACCTCTGCAAAATGGGTACCGCGGCGATATCTCCTTCTTTGGGAAGTTCTGAGCCCTGAAGCCCTTTCACTGGGCCTGAGGGGTTCTAGGAGCTCTCCGCTTTCCCCTCCCCTCACTTTCTGGTCATAAGGCGGGCACCTCACCCCTTGACCAGGTCTCCTCTGATGGGCATCTCCTGTTCGCTGGACTCCTGCCGCTCCAAGCGCCGCTCACGCCGCTCGCGCCGCCGCTCCATCTGCTCATAGCGGCCCAGGGTAAGGCTGTGTGCCGCCTCGTGCTCCGCTGACTCCTGCCGCTCCGGCCGCCGCCTCCGCGCAGCCTCCTCGGATTGATCGACTGACTCTTGCCGCTCAGGCCGCCGCCTCCTGGGCAGCTCCTCCGCGCGATCAGCTGACTCCTGGCGCTCCGGTCGTGGCCGCACCTGCTCCGCCGCCGCGGGGGTCGCGGGGGTCTCCGCCGCGTCCTCTGGTGCGGCCGGCAGGGCCGCGGGCTCCACCCTCCCCGGGATCTCCGGCAGCCGGTCAATGCGCGGCTGGAGGCGCTCGGGCTTGAGCTCCTGGCGCACATACCCCACCCGAGTCCGCACCTCGGCCGAGAGCGTGTCCGAGGCTCGGCGGGCCAGGGGCTCCAAGCCCCTTTCATAGCCCCCTGGCCGCAGCAGGGGCGCCGCCTTGGCCGCCAGTTCCGTGGGGTCCCCAAAGAACTTGCGCCCCAGCAGTGGGGTAGGCGGCTGCTTGCTCTGTTCCGCTTTGATTTTCTCGATCTGAGGATGGAGGGACCAGGGTTAGGTTGGAGGCGTGGGGCCGGGGCGGGGTAAGGGGGAGGTCCGGGGAGGCGGCCTGGGTTTTTCTGCCTCATCACTCAATTGACCAGTTCCTTGAAAAAGCAAGGTGTCCAGGCCTGTGCGATGCTTTGCTCTCTGCCAAGAACTTAAAGCCTATTCTCTCCGGCAAACACCTATTGCTCTTTTAAGAATTGGCTAAATCACTTTTTTAAAAATTGGGTAAATCAATTGCTCTGCGTGCCTTTCTGACTCCCATTTCTCCTTCCTTAATGTCCCCCCACCCAGGACTTTAAGACTTTATTTATTTATTTATTTATTTATTTATTTATTTATTTATTTATTTTTGAGACAGTCTTGCTCTGTCGCCCAGGCTGGAGTGCAAGCAGCAAGATCATAGCTCATTGCAGCCTTGACCTCCAGTGCTCAAGTGATCCTCGAGTCTCAGTCACCCCTCTGAGTAGCTGGGACTACAGGCACGTGCCATCACGCCTGGCTGTTTTTTCTTTGTTTGCTTTTGGTTTTGGTAGAGACGGCTTCTCAGTATGTTGCCAAGGCTGGTCTTGAACTCCTGGGTTCAAGTGATCCTCCCGCCTAGGCTTCCAAAGAGAGTACAGGTGTGAGCCACCCCACCCAGCCTTTAAGCGGTTTTTTTTTGTTGTTTTTTTTTTATTGTTGTTGTTGTTTTGAGATGGAGTCTTGTTCTGTTACCCAGGCAGTGGCACGATCTTGGCTCACTGCAACCTCTGCCTCCCAAGTTCAAGTGATTATCCTGCCTCAGCCTCCCGAGTAGCTGGGATTACAGGCGTGCACCACCACGCCCAGCTAATTTTTGCATTTTTAGTAGAGATGGGGTTTCACCACGTTGGCCAGGCTGGTCTCAAACTCCTGGCCTCAAGTGATCCACCCATCTTGGTCTCCCAAAATGCTGGGACTACAGGCATGAGCCGTCACACCTGGCCTAATCCTTTTTATTACTACATTCTCTTCACCTAATTATTCAAGTCTCAGAATAGAATCCCCCAGGCCAGTTCCCCCTCCCACTCCCCCATCCCAGGCACTATCCCTCTGCTTGTTCTTCCCCTATCACATCCCTGACATTCTGGGCTGTCACTGGTGACAGGTCTGTCCCTCTGCTCCACTGGGAGCCTAGCAAGAGTCTGTCTTGGCACTCACACAACACAGGACCAAGCACCATGTCTCGGTGTGTCTGTCTCATATAGAGCCATGGGTGTGGGGGTCTTGGTGGGGGTGGGGGTAATGGGGCAGTATCTGGGGAGCTGACCGTGGTCAGGCGCCGCAGAGAGCTGAACCTCTCTTCCCAGGCTGCAGCCGCTTTGCGGAAGGCCTCATGTCGCCGGATAAGCTGCTCCACCTCATCCACGCTGCTGCCCAGCTCCCGGCTCTGCAGGAGCGGCTCCTGGGCTGTCAGCCAGGCATCAGCCACCACCGCCTCCTGGGCAAACTGGTGCACCTCCAGCACTGAGGAGGGGCATGCAGGGTAAGGATTCTGGGGCATCTGGGGCCCTTCCTGGGGGCAATGGCTGTTCCCCTGGCCTTCCACACCCCTCCGGCTTTCCATACCCGAGCCCTGACCATCCTGGGCTCTGCAGGAATGGCAGAGGCTGGGGCTATTTCAGTGGGCATCATTCCTCCTTTCTGACTCCCATTCCTCCTTCCTTAATGTCCCCCCACCCAGGACTTTAAGACTTTTTTTTCAAGGGTGGGTATTCAATGGCAAGGCAGCCCCCTTGTCCACCCTTCCAGGCCCTTATGTTTGCTTCTGGAGACCCATGGGTAGGGTGCAAAGCATGCTCCTGTCACCCTCTGGGCCTTGGCTGGACAGGCTGGAGCATGTCCCTGTGCCCTTGAACCACGTGTGCCTGGGCCCCCACTCACTCTGCTGCAGCCACTCCCAATGGCGGTCCCACTTTTCCGACACCTCCTCCTTCCTGGTTCCCAGCTTGTCCAGCTGTGCCTGGATCTGGGAGTGGCAGGTGGGTGGGAGGGAAGTCAGGGTGTGGAATGGCTTCCACCCCAATGTGCCCGGGTGGCAGAGGGGGACCCCCTCCCTGCTCCCCACCTCATCAGCCATGGCACTTTTGTTGAGCAGCAGAGATCGCCCCAGCTCCTGGCAGGTGGTCAGCTCAGGCACCCGCGCCTCCAGCTCAGTCTTCAGGCCCTGGTGGTAGTTCATGAGCACCTCCACTGATGACACGTCCCTGCAGTGGGTGGCAGGCAGGGATCTGAGCCACAGGGAGCCTCCTCAGCCTGCCCCATACATGTGGCTCCTGGTGACCCCAAATCCTTGAGGCTGACATCCCATACCACCTCAAGACACTTACTTTCTTTTCTTTTCTTTTCTTTTCTTTTTTTTTTTGAGATAAAGTCTCACCCTATGGCCCAGGCTGGAGTGCAGTGGGGCGATCTCGGCTCACTGCAAACTCCACCTCCCGAGTTCAGGCGATTCTCCTGCCTCAGCCTCCTGAGTAGCTGGGATTACAGGCACCTGCCACCACGCCCAGATAATTTTTATATTTTTAGTAGAGATGGGGTTTCTCCATGTTGGCCAGGCTGGTCTTGAACTCCTGACCTCAGGTGATCCTCCCATCTCAGTCTCCCAAAGTGCTGGGATTACAGGCGTTGAGTCACCAAACCAGACTGAGACACCTACTTTCGATGACCAAATTCTGAGGGTCCATGGTTCACTAATTCAATGATTCAAATTTTCCAAGTTTCTAAAATTTCACACTTTGGTGATTCTAACCTTCTAGGATTTCAAGATCCAAATTTTCCTTTTTTTTTTTTTTAATAGGGTCTTGCTCTGTTGCCCAGACTGGAGTGCAGTGGCAAGATTGCAGCTCACTTCAGTCTCAACCTCCTGGGCTCATGCAATCCTCCTGCCTCAGCCTCCTGAGTAGCGGGGACCACAGGTGCACACCATCACACCCAACTAATTTTTCATTTTCTGTAGAGACAGGGTCTTGCTATGTTGCCCAGGCTGGTCTCAAACCCCTGGGCTCAAGCAATCCACCTGCCTCAGCCTCCCAAAGTTCAAGGCTATGGGCATAAGCCACCACACCCAGCCAAGATCCAAATTTTCAAACTTTTTCTAGCTATGCTTCTGAAGGTTCCACTAGCCAATGATTTTAACGTTCCAAGTCTGTGCTCTCCAAGGCAGTAGCCACTAGACATGTGAGCACTTGAAATGTGGCCAGTCTGAATTTTGGTGTAAAGTGTAAAATGCACACCAGATTTTGTGGAGTTAATGTAAAAAAGAATGTAAAATGTCTCATTAATAGTTTTTTGTTGTTGTTGTGCAGTGGTGCGATCTCCGCTCACTGCAACCTCCCCCTTCTAGGTAGGTTCAAGCGATTCCCCTGCCTCAGCTTCCTGAGTAGCTGGGATTACAGGCACCTGCCACCATGCCTGGCTAATTTTTTTGTATTTTTAGTAGAAACAGGGTTTCAACATGTTTGTCAGGCTGGTCTCAAACTCCTGACCTCAGTTGATCCGCCTGCCTAGGCCTCCCAAAGTGCAGGGATTACAGGCGTGAGCCACCGCACCCAGCCTTTGTTTGTTTGTTTGTTTGTTTTTGAGACAGAGATTTGCTCTTCTTGCCCAGGCTGGAGTGCAATGGCGTGATCTTGGCTCACTGCAGCCTCCACCTTCTGGGTTCAAGCAATTCTCCTGCCTCAGCCTCCCGAGTAGCTGGGATTACAGGTGCCCGCCACCAAGCCTGGCTAATTTTTTGTTCTGTATTTTCAGTAGAGATGGATTTTTGGCATGTTGGCCAGGCTGGTCTCGAACTTCTGGCCTCAGGTGATCCGCCTGCCTTAGCCTCCCAATCTCAGCCGAGATTACAGGCATGAGCCACTGCGCCTGGCCTCATTAATAGTTTTGTTTCTTTGTTTTGGTTGTTGTTGTTTTTGAGATGGAGTCTCCTTCTGTCACCTAGGCTGGACTGCAGTGGTGCGATCTCCGCTTGGCTGAGATTGGGAGGCTGAGGCGGGCGGATCACCTGAGGCCAGAAGTTCGAAACTGCCTGGCCTCATTAATAGTTTTAATATTGACTACCTGTTGAAGTGATAATACTTTGGGTATGTCAGGTTAAATAAAAATGTATTACTAAAATTAAGTTTCATTTGCTTTGCTTTGTTAGTATGGCCACAAGAAGATTTTAAAGTATATATGTGGCTCGCATTTGTGGCTCGTGTTATATAACTATTGGACAGCACCATTCTAAGCCATCTTATGTCCAAAACAAATTCCAAGTTTCTGAAGGTTCCATCAGTTGGCAATCATAGCTTCATGCTATGGTTTGAATCTACCACCTGGGCTTAAGTGATCATCCTGGCTTAGCCTCCAGGGTAGCTGGGACTACAGGCATGCACCACAATGCCCAGCTAATTAAAAAAAAAAAATTTTTTTTTAAGACAGAATCTCGCTCTGTCACCCAGGCTGGAGTGAAATGGCATAATCATGGCTCACTGCAGCCTGACCCTCCTGGACTCAAGTGATCCTCCTCCCTCAGACTCCCAAGTAGCTGGGACAACAGGCATGCACACCACCATGCTTGACTAATTTTTTTCTTTTTTGTAGAGATGGGGTCTCACTATGTTGCGTAGGGTAGTCTCAAACTCCTGGCCTCAAGTGATCCTCTTGCCTTGGCCTCCCAGTGTTGGGATTACAGGCGTGAGCCACCTCTTTTGGCTAGATTGGCCAAATGTTGATGGTTGTTCAAGCCAAGTGTTCACGATACACATGTGGGTTACCTTTACTTCCCTGTATATTTAATTTTTTTTTTTTTGAGATGGAATTTCGCTCTTGTTGCCCAGGCTGGAGTGCAATGGCACAATCTTGGCTCACCGCAACCTCCGCCTCCTGGGTTCAAGCAATTCTCCTGCCTCAGCCTCCCAAGTAGCTGGGATTACAGGCATGTGCCACCACACCCGGCTAAGTTTGTATTTTTAGTAGAGATGAGGTTTCTCTATGTTGGTCAGGCTGCTCTCGAACTCCCGACCTCAAGTGATCCACCCACCTCAGCCTCCCAAAATGCTGGGATTACAGGTGTGAGCCACTGTGCCCAGCCTTTTTTTTTTTTTTTTTTTTTTTGACACAGAGTCTCGCTCTGTTGCCCAGGCTGGAGTGCAGTGGTACGATCTCAGCACACTGCAACCTCCACCTTCCAGGTTCAAGCAATTCTCCTGCCTCAGCCTCCCCAGTAGCTGGGACTACAGGCACATGCCACAACACCCAGCTAATTTTTGTATTTTTAGTAGAGGCGGGGTTTCGCCACATTGGCCAAGCTGGTCTCAAAGTCCTGTCCTCAAGTGATCCACCCGCCTTGGCCTCCCAAAGTGCTGGGATGACAGGTATAAGCCACCATGCCCGGCCTATTTTTCTCAAATGTACACATCACATCACTCCACTCTGCTCTAAACTCTCGCATGGCTCCCACGTTCCTCATAGAGAAGGCATGCTCCTCACCATGTGTGGTTTCCAGGGCCCCAGTGCCCCTCTGTACTCACTTCCTCTCACCCTACACTCCCTCACTCCCTCCCTCCATCTGGCCACAGTGATCTCTAGCTTTTCCTCACACATGCCTAACTACAGCCCACTTCTGGGCCCTTGCACTTGTGGGTCCCTCCACCTAGAAAACTCTTCCCTCAAAACTTTACCTGACTCACCCATCACTTCATTCAGGTCTCCAGTCAAACGCACATCCTCAGAGAGACTTTGCCAGCTATCATTCCCTTCCTATGTATGTATATATACCCACGCTATATTTCATTTTTTTTTCTTTTCTTTTTTTTTTTTTTGAGACGGAGTTTTGCTCTTGTCACCCAGGCTGGAGTGCAGTGGCACGATCTTGGCTCACTGTGACCTCCACCTCCCGGGTTCAAGCGATTCTCCTGCCTCAGCCTCCCAAGTAGCTGGGATTACAGGTGTCCACCACTATGCCTGGCTAATTTTTGTATTTTTAGTAGAGACGGAGTTTTGCCATGTTGGCTAGGCTGGTCTCAAACTCCTGAGCTCAGGTGATCTGCCTGCCTCAGCCTCCCAAAGTGCTGGGATTACAGGCGTGAGCCACTGTGCCCCATCCCCATGCTATATTTCAGAAAGTAATAAGTGCTATGAGAATGCAATCTGTCTCAGGGCAAGTGCTTGGCCTTGCTCACCACATGGCACACCATATGCATTTAATACATATTTGCTGAGTAAATGAATGCAGGCTGCAGGATCTGCATTCCCAGAAGCAATGCCAGGTGTCCCTGATTCCCTAGGTCCTTTTCTTCCTAGCCACACCATGAAACTAAATTTCCAGCCTAGGTCAGGCACGGTGGCTTATGCCTGTAATCCCAGCACTTTGGAAGGCTGAGGCAGGTGGACCACTTGAGGCCAGGAGTTTGAGACCAGAGTGGCCAACACGGTGAAACCCTTTCTCTACTAAAAATACAAAATTAGCCAGACGTGGTGGTGGGCGCCTGTAGTCCCAGCTACTTGGGAGGCTGAGGCAGGAGAATCGCTTGAACCTGGGAGACGGAGGTTGCAGTGAGGTGATATTGTGCCACTGCACTCCAGCCTGGGCAACAGAGCAAGACTCCATCTCAAGAGAAAAAAAAATTTGCAGCCTCCCTGGCAGACAGGTTAGGCCACCGGGCTGGCAGTGTGTGGGTGCCGGCTTTATCCCTAAAACCTTCTGTGTGATCCTCCTGCTATCTTTTCCCATCTGCAGCGGGATGCAGAGGGTCCAGCATGTGACTCCCAGGGTGGCATGATGGAAGGACCCTGGCTCCCAATCACCAGGGGACAGGATTCTGCTGGACACTCACATCCAACCACTATGTGAGCAATAAGCCCATGCCCACTAATGAAGCCACTGAGATGCTGGAATTGTTAGAATTCTTCACCCACCCTCACAAATACAGTCCCACACCTCCCTTGCCCATCCTGTCTTTAGCCTGTTTCATGCTGTGACATCCCATGGAGAGGGTAATAATAGGCAACTGGGAAGGACAGCGGACAGAAGGATGCCCCATGACCGAAGTCCCCAATGACAGGCCTAAAAAAGGGGTCTGAATACACACGAAGCACCTAGAACAGTGCCTAGCACACAGAGGCGCCACACAGATATTGGCTGTTGTCATTCCATTGAGAAGGGGGCTGTCAATGGGCTGGGGGTGGCTGGGGTAGGCCACCAGGGGGAGGCAGGAAGCCCGAGGAGGGATGAGGGGCACCTGGGCTTGTCGGCTGCCCCAATCTGGCTGGCGATGCCATCCATCCAGGAGAGCAGGTCGCGGACTTGGCTGTGGAAGCGCAGGGCGTCGGCTGTGGAGCTGACATGCAGGCGGGCATCCTCACAGGCTGACAGCAGCTCTTTCCAACCCTGCAGCACCTCCTGCTCCCGGCTAGCGATGGCCTCGGCATGTTCACCCGCATACACCGTCCGCAGCTGGGCCGCCCCCTCCTGCAGCTGCCGTACCTGAAGGGCATGCCAGGTCGGGCGCCAGCCCTCCACGGGGCCCAGGCTGTGCCCTCCCTCCCACCATCTGCTCCAGCGCAGAACCTCAAGATATAAGGAGCCTCACACTGTGATCCCACAGCCAGGCTCCTGTCATATCTGCTGCCTGATTTCTCTTTGACTTACCCGCATTCTGACTTCTTTTAGATCTACTACCACATCTCTTTCAACCCACTGCCTGATTTCTTTTGGTCTGAGAGCTTTATTTCTATTGGGTCTGCCACCTGTGTTTTCAGGCAGGCCCACCCCTACCTTGGGTCTTTCAGGAAACCCCTTTCCACTTTGATGTCTTTTAGATGTGCTAATTTTTTTTTAACTCAGTTTATTTCAAACCCACTCCTTCATAGTAGCCCAGTTTCCTACACGACGGCTGTTCAATTGCCATTACTCCCCTGCCCAATTTCCATTCATTCTGCTGTATGAGCTCTGCTCACTCTATCTTTTGGGTTTTGGGTTTTTTGTTTGTTTTTCTGAGACAGGGTCTTGCTCTGTTGCCCAGGCTGCAGTGCAGTGGCACAAACACAATTCACTGCAGCCTTGACATCCCGGGCTCAAGTGATCCTCCTGCCTCAGCCTACTAATAGCTGAACTACAGGTGCATGCCACTGTATCAGGATATATACATATATGTTGTAATAGAGATGGAGTCTTACTATGTTGCCCAGGCTCATCTTGAACTCCTGGGCTCAAGCAATCCTCCCAGGTTGGCCTCCCAAAGTGCTGAGATTATAGGCATAAGCCACTGTGCTCAGCCTGCTGCTCACTCTGTTGGTTCAATCTCCTGATTTATTTTGGTGTGACCTCCCCATCTCTAACAGATCCACCACTTATTACTATGAATCTCTCAGCCTGATTTCTAAGTCATTTGTAGGATTTATAAAAAATAACTGGGCTGGGCGCGGTGGCTCATGCCTATAACCCCAGCACTTTGGGAGGCCAAGGCGGGCAGATCACTTGAGGTCAGGAGTTCAAGATCAGCCTGGCCAACATGGTGAAACCCCATCTCTACTAAAAATACAAAAATTAGCTGGGTGTGGTGGCTTGCACCTGTAGTCCCAGCTACTCGAGGCTGAAGTGGGAGAATTGCTTGAACCCGGGAAGCAGAGGTTGCAGTGAGCCGAGATTAGACCACTACACTCCAGCCTGGGTGACAAAGAGAGACTCTGCCTCATAATAATAATAATAATAATAATAATAATAATAATAATTGCCAGCTGGGCATAGTAGCTCATGCCTGTAATCCCAGCACTTTGGGAGGCCGAGACGGGTAGATCACCTGAGGTCAGGATTTCGAGGCCAGCCTGGCCAACATGGTGAAATCCCGTCTCTACTAAAAATATAAAAATTAGCCAGGTGTGGTGGCGCGTGCATGTAATCCCAGCTATTTGGAAGGCTGAGGCAGGAGAATCGCTTAAGCCTGGGAGGCAGAGGGTGCAGTGAGCTGAGATCGCGCCACTGCACTCCAGCCTGGGTGACAGAGTGAGACCCTGTCTCAAAAATAAACAAACAAACAAACAAAAATTGCCCAACTTCTACCTTCCATTAGAACTGCAACCCAATTTCCTGCTGCCTGAGTTGTATTGGGCCTGCAGCTTCATTTCCATCTGACTGCTCAGATCCACATCCGAATTCTGGCCAGAACCTCTGCCTAATTTCTAATATCTCTGTTGCCTTTTTCATTAAATTCGCCCCCATCAAATTAATTTCAGAAAAGTCATATGATTTCCATCAGAGACCTGTTATCTAAGTTCTTTTTTTTTTTTGAGATGGAGTCTCACTCTGTCGCCCAGGCTGGAGTGCAGTGGCGCGATCTCGGCTCACTGCAACCTCCGCCTCCCGGGTTCAAGCGATTCTCCTGCCTCAGTCTCCTGTGTAGCTGGGATTACAGGTGCCCGCCACCATTCCTGCTAATTTTTGTATTTTTAGTAGAGACGGGGTTTCATCATGTTGGTCAGACTGGTCTTGAACTCCTGACCTCATGATCTGCCCGCCTCGACCTCCCAAAGTGTTGGGATTACAGGCGTGAGCCACCGCACCTGGCCTTGTCTGTCGTCTAATTTCTATCTACACCACAGCCAAATTCCTCTCAGACTTCTCAAAATTCCCTTTAGACCCTTGATCTGGATTTAGGCAAAACTCACAGTTTTAGGAGAACCACTGCCCAATATCTATTGGAAGCTTTTTTTTTTTTTTTTTTTTTTGAGACAGAGTATCACTCTTGTCACATAGGCTGGAGTGCAATGGCGAGATCTGGGCTCACTGCAACCTCCTCCTCCCGGGTTCAAGTGATTCTCCTGCCTCAGCCTCCCAAGTAGCTGGGATTACAGGTGCCCGCCACCAGACCTGGCTAATTTTCGTATTTTTAGTAGAGATGGGGTTTCACCACGTTGACCAGGCTGGTCTTAAACTCCTGACCTCAGATGATCCGCCTGCGTTGGCCTCCCAAAGGGAGCCACCACGCCCAGCCAGAAGCTGTTTAATATCTGTGAGACCTTCTAAGGTACCACTTTTCCCTGCCAATACCTGATTTCTATATATCATTCCATCAGTCCATTTTCTATCTGCTCCATTATCTAATTTCTTCCTGTTCTGTAGTCCGCTTTCTGTCTGTGCCACTGCCTAATTTCGACCTGCTCCACAGCCTGATTTTTGCCCACTCTGCTGCCCACAGCTGTCCAGGCCCTCCCACCTGCCCTGATGGCCACCGGCGCCCCACCTGGGACACGAGGAGCTGCAGGTCATGCTCAAAGGCTCTCAGGGTCCGCTGCATGGAACTGGCACTGGGTCTCGGCTCAGGCGGGGTGGTCAGGCGGGGCAGCCGCCTCCGCTTCTCCTCAATCTGTCCCTGAAGCTCTCGGGCGTCACTGAAGAACTTATGAAGCTCCCGAGAGGCGGCCAGCAGCTGGGCCCGTGTGCCCATGAGCTCCAGCAGCTCAGCCCAGGCCTCGTTCAGTCCGTCCTTCCACTCGGCCATGGTGGCCGCTGCTGTATGGCCACACTCGATCAGCTCATCCACCATCTGGTTCACAGCTGCCAGCCGTTCCCGCCCTGCCATACCTGTCTCGCTGGCAAACTCTGAGAATTTCTCCTGCAGCACCTGCCATCAGGAAGTGGGGGGGGGGGTACAGCAAAGTGAGCAAAGGGGCAGCATACACCAGCCCCCTCCAGCCTACAATGTTTTTTTTTCTTTTTGATACAGAGTCTTGCTCTGTCGCCCAGGTTGGCGTGCAGTGGTTCAATAGCCACTTACAGCAACCTTCACCTCCCCAGTTCAAGCAATTCTCCTGCCTCAGCCTCCCAAACAGCTAGGACTACAGGCATGTGCCACCACACCCAGCTGATTTTTTTGTGTTTTTAGTAGAGACGGGGTTTCACTATGTTGGCCAGGCTGGTCTCATACTCCTGACCTCAAGTGATCCACCTGCCTTGGCCTCCCAAAGTGTTGGGATTACAGGCATGAGCCACCACACCTGGCAGAGGCTACCATTTTGTGGCAGGTAAGAGTAATGATAATCATCATCATCATCATCATCATAAAAAATAATATCTAACACTTACTGAACACCTGGCAAGAATAGTAACAAAACAGTAACAATAAAAATAACAATAAGTAACAATAAAATAATAAGCTGATAATAATAACCAACACTGTGTGAGGCAGCATGTGTGCCAAGCAGGGTCCTCAGTGCTTTACGTTATATTAACTCATTTGTCTCACAGCAGAGCCATGAGGCGGGTGCTGTTATTATCCTCATACTACAGATGAGGAAACTAAGGCCCAGAGAACCTTAGTGGTAGCTCCTGGTATCACTTATTACTAATGATGCTCACCGAGACATGCTCAAAGTCCTGGCCGAGCTCGGGTGAGCCAGCCACCACCTCCTTCTCGGCAATCCAGTGCTCAAGCTCGCTCACCTGGCGGCTGAGCTGGTACAGCCAGTACTGCTGTTCCAGAGCCACCCGGCGCTCCTCACCCAGCTCCTTGAGCGCCACGTACAGGCGGTCCACCTGAGACTGCCGCCGGCTGATCTGCTCGCTGAAGGGGGACATGGAGGGGCAGGGATGGACCCCTGAGACTTCTGGGGCAGAGCGTGACCCCCCTAAACCCCCTCCCCAGGACAGGGCTGTGTTTCCTTGGAATCTTCAGACACGGCTGTGTCCCCAGGTAGAGCTCTGTTTTCTTTTCTTTTTTCTTTTTTTTTGGAGACAGGGTCTTGCTCTGTTGCTCAGGCTGGAGTGCAGTGGTGTGATCACAACTCACTGCAGCCTCCACCTCCCATGCTCAAGCAATCCTCCCATTGCAGCCTCCCAAGTGGGACCACAGGCACGTGACTCTACACCTGGCTAACTTTTTGATTTCTTTGTAGAGATGAGGTCTCACTATGTTCCCTCTGTTCTCAAACTCCTGGGCTCAAACGATCCTCCTGCCTCAGCCTCCCAGTGTTGAGATTACAGGTGTGAGCCACTACACCTGGCCAGGACTCTGTTTTCTGCAAGTCTTGGGTTCAGAAAGCCCTGCATTTCAGCATGCAGGGAAAGCTCCGCTTCCCTAAATGGATAAGCTCACCTCTATCCAGCCTCACCCAGTTTCCTTTCTTTTTTTTTCTTTTCTTTTTTTTTTTTTTTTTTTGAGACGGAGTCTTGCTCTGTCACCAGGCTGGAGTGCAGTGGCGCGATCTCGGCTCACTGCAACCTCTGCCACCCAGGTTCAAGCCATTCTCCTGCCTCAGCCTCCCCAGTAGCTAGGACTACAGGCACGTGCCACCATGCCCAGCTAATTTTTTATTTTTAGTAGAGACAGGGTTTCACCATGTTGGCCAAGCTGGTCTCCAACTCCTGACCTCAAGTGATCCGCCCACCTCGGCAGCCTCACCCGGTTTCTATCTCAGTCTCACGCCCCTCCTATCCAGGAACCTCGGTGGGACTCTGGACTCCCAGGTTGGGTCCCCAGCCAATGCATCCCACCTCTAGCCCCAATCTCTGAGCCCACTTGGACAGAGGTCTCTCTCTGTACCTCCTTACAGATTCCATCCCTGGTCCAGGCCTGGAGCTCAGCATCCGCCTACACGAGGCAACATCACCCCACTGCACCAGGAGGTCTCCAGCCCCACCGCCATAGCCAATCTCAGCACAGGCTTTTCTGTCCTCCCAGACACTGAGTAGAAAGAGCCCCTTGCCTGTCCTGAGTAAATTCTTCTCTACCCCAGTCCTAGACATCGCCTACTCTTTTCTCCCCCGACAAGGTCCCCACTACTACACTCAAATCCAGGTGCTCCTGGCCCCACCCTCTCAACCATCCCTGAGCCGTGTCCCCCCATTCCGGCCCGCCCACTTGCCAAATTCGAGGGCTCCAGCACACAGCAAGGAGGACCTCTCCCACCCAACGTCCAATTCCAGCGCTGCGCCAACTCCCAACAGCGAAGCTTCAGGTCCTGCTGGACCATTCCTGTGAACTGGCCACGCGCCCGCCCACCTGTCCGGGTGCCCCATCTCCAGCAGCGCCCGGCACTGGCGCGACAGCTGCGCGATGCTTTCCTCGTAGTTCTCCACGCCTTGCTCCAGCTGCAGGTGTTTCTTGAGCAGCTGCAGGGTGCTCTGTTCGTCCTGGGGGCACAAAGCGCCCACGATGAGGCGGCAGCGGCGGCCCCCGGCTCCAGCGCCCCCAGGCCCTCCGCACCCCCAGCTCGGGCGCACCTTGCCCTTGTCCTCACTCATCATGAGCAGCTCCTGCTCGCCCAGCCACGCCTCCACCTCAGCCACGTCGAAGTAGTACTGCTCCACCTGGAAGGCGGCGTCCAGCACCTGCTGCCGTCGCTCGGCAGCCTCCCGCAGTCCGGCCCAGGCGCTCTGCAGCTGCTCCAGGCCCCGGCGCACTGCCTCTGCCTCCGGGCTGCGCAGCGACGCCAGCGCGCCCGCGCGCTCCAGCACCTCCTCCAGGCGCGGCCCATGCGCCTGGATCTCCCGCCGCAGGCCCTGGGGGCAGGAGGTAAGGGGATGTGGGTGGAGAGGGGGCGTTCCGAGGCCCTGCAAGACCACACGCTCCTCTGCTACTGGCACGGCCCACGGGGCAATTAACAAGCACCCCCAGCTCGCTAACCACGTGCCAAGACCATGTAAACATTTTGCTGATACTCCCTCACTCATCATAACCCTATGCTTGCTGCAGGTGGGAAAACAGGCACAGAGGGGCGAAGTACGGCGCCCAAGAACAAGCAGCCAGTAAGGAGTGACAGGATTTGAACACAGGAGGCTGGTTCCAGAGACTGTGCTCTGAGCCAAGCCGCTTGCCGACCCAAGATGGGCCCTAATACAGAAACCCTGCAGCTTAGCAGCCGAGGTATCATTTGTATACGGTAGAGTGCACAAATCTTAGGTATACAGTTGCACACATTTGTACAGACACATACAC
Organism: Homo sapiens; assembly: GCF_000001405.40. Lineage (NCBI taxonomy): Eukaryota > Metazoa > Chordata > Mammalia > Primates > Hominidae > Homo > Homo sapiens. Next base: position 40,553,710 of record NC_000019.10, on the reverse strand, counting down.
CGGTGTGCCCAGATCAGCGTGCGGAACACTTCCATCCCCCAGAAGGTTCCCTCAACCAGCTCTGTACTTGCAGAGTACCTTATTTAACGTTTTGTGTGCCTTAACCTTATTTACTTACAGAGTACCTTATTTAACTTTTTGTGAGTCTTTTTTAACTTTTTGTGTGCCTTAACGTTATTTAACTTTTTGTGTGACTCAACTGATAAAGATAATAACAGCCAGCAAGTCCTCTCCTTATTTTGCTTTTTTAGAGACAGGGTGTCACTCTATCACCCAGGATGGAATGCAGCAGCTTTAAACTCCTGGGCTCAAGTGATCCTCCTGCCTCAGCCTCCCAAGCGGCTGGGACTACAGGTGTGCACCACCATGCCCTGCTATTTTAAAAAATATTTTTGGAGAGACGAGGTCTTGCTATGTTACTCAGGCTGGTCTTGAAGTCCTGGCCTCAAGCGATCCTCCTACCTTGGCCTCCCAAAGTGCTAGGCTTATAAGCATGAGCCACTGTGCCCGGCCAGCCAACGATTCTTGAGTGTCTGCTACCCTGCTACCTGCCAGGTGCTTTGCTAAGTAAGAGCTTTACATAATATAGCCTCACACCTCCTCACTCCCAACCTATGGAGCCAGACAACATTACCATCTCCATTTTACAGATGAGAAGACTGAGGCACAGAGAGGGTGAGGAATTTGCTAAGGTCACACAGCTAGTATCAGGCTGAGATAATCTACCTTGCGGGGTTGTTATAAGGTGATAAACTATGGAGCACTTGGAACTGAGTCTGCATGCACCAAATGCATCATATTTGCAGCTATTTTTGGCTTAACAGCCCCTGTGTATCCAGCACTCTCACTGCACACACAGCTGAGCTCCCCCAATTTTAAGTACTAAGTGCACTTGATCAGTTTCCTCAACCATGACAACGATAAGCCAGTTCTGTCGCCCACACTGTTGACAGCCAAGAGTATTTTCATCAAGACAGGAAAACAAAATCTCAGCAAAACTCCAGTCTCTTAAATAACTCTACCTACTGCAGAATGATCAGGAAGCTTCCAAAATAATCTGTAGACCCACCTCCCCACCATCCTTCAGTGCCCTATTCTTCCAACATACATTGTTTGGTGAAATGAGGATAATGACAATATCTACCTCATAGGGTTATAGAGGGGATTAAATTAAATAATCAGCATAAACCCTAAGACAGTACTTAGCACACAGTAAATCTTTTTTTTTTTTTAATCTTTTTTTTTTTTTTTTTTTGAGACGGAGTCTCGCTCTTGACACTCAGGCTGTATTGCAATGGTGCAATCTTGGCTCACTGCAACCTCCGCCTCCTAGGTTCAAGCGATTCTCCTGCCCCAGCCTCCCGAGTAGCTGGGATTACAGGCGCCCGACACCTCGCCCGGCTAATTTTTTGTGTTTTTAGTAGAGACGCGGTTTCACCGTGTTAGCCAGGATGGTCTCGATCTCCTGACCTCGTGATCCACTCGCCTCGGCCTCCCAAAGTGCTGGGATTACAGGCGTGAGCCACCGCACCTGGCCTTAATTTTTTGCATTTTTAGTAGAGACAGGGTTTCACCATGTTGGTCAGGCTGGTCTCGAACTCCTGACCTCAGGTGATCCACCCACCTCAGCCTCCCAAAGTGCTGGGATTACAGGCATGAGCCACTGCACCCAGCCAGCACTTAGTAAATCTTTAATCGATGTTTTTTTTTTTTTTTTGAGACAGGGTCTCACTCTGTCACCCAGGCTGGAGTACAGTGGTGTGATCTTGGCTCACTGCAACCTCTGCCTCCTGGGTTCAAGCAATTCTCCTGCCTCAGCCTCCCAGGTAGCTGGGATTACAGGCACCTTCTACTATGCTCAGCTAATTTTTGTATTTCTGGTAGAGACGGGGTTTCCCCATGTTGCCCAGGCTGGTCTCAAACTCCTGGGCTCAAGTGATCATCCTGCCTTGGCCTCCCAGAGTGCTGGGATTACAGGCATGAGCCACCACACCTGGCACAATGCCTTATTATTATTATTCCTCTTTTATGTCTTGCTTTAGGCTTTGGTGAAATAGTTGCTTTGACCAAGGGGTTCCCTTCGTATGCAGTTTGAGAACCACTGCTCTAAACCAACTCTACTTTAGATGTGGAAACTGAGCCCCAGAGGAATGAACAGATTCAGAGATTTTTTAGGAGCTCAAAGGCCCCCTCCCCCACCTTGCTCAGGTTAGGGGGCAGTAGTATCCTCTTGCTGATTATCTCTGTCCTTTGTCCCTATGGGTGTTTTTGTTTGTTTGTTTTGGGGGACGTGTGTGTGTGTGTGTGTGTGAGAGAGAGAGAGAGATAGGGTCTCATTCTGTTGCACAGGGTGGAGTGCAGTGGGGTGTTCAAGGCTCACTGCAGCTTTGACCTCTGGACTCAAGGGACCCTCCCTCCCCAGCCTCCAGAGTAGCTGGGACTACAGGGGTACACCATCACACCAGGCTAACTCGATGTTTTGTGATTTTGTTTGTTGTTGTTTTACTTTTTCCTTGTCCAATAGCTATTCCCCTTCCTTCTAGTCTCAAGCCCCTGATTTTCCTTTGGGAAACCCCCTTTGCCTCCATCTCAGCCTTGGTAATTAAGCTAAGGCTGATTCCAGCAGCAGGTTCCAGGGGAGGGCGCTTAACCAGGCCAGCCCAAGGAGCAGTCCGAAACCCCATCCATCATGATTAGTTCAGGGATGGGCGTGGGATGCCATGGGCATGGTGAGCCAATGAGAGTTATTCCTGAGACTACTGCTGACATTATTGAGGTGGGAAATTCTCTTCAGTTTTGCTGGTGGGAGGTAAACCTGAATCCACTGGAGGCCTTTTATCACCAGGAGAGGAGGACTGGCCTAAGAAGAAAGCTCATGCAGAAAAACAAACAGGCCGGGCGCGGTGGCTCACACCTGTAATCTCAGCACTTTGGGAGGCTGAGGCGAGTGGATCACTTGAGGCCAGGAGTTCGAGCCCAGCCTGGCCAACCTGGTGAAACACCCCACCCCCCGCCGTCCATCTCTACTAAAAATACAAAAATTAGCCAGGTGTGGTGGTGCACACATGTAATCCCAGCTACTTGGATGGCTGAGGCAGGAGAATCGCTTGAACTCAGGAAGTGGAGGTTGCAGTGAGCAAAGATTGTGCCACTAAACTCCAGCCTGGGCAACAAAGCAAGGCTCCATCTCAAAAAAAAAAAAAAAATAGAGCCAAGAGTCATGAAAATATATGGAAGCACCTGGATACATCTGTATCTGCTGTCCACAGTCTTGTTAATTCCAAAAGCCAATACATTCATTGTTTTGGCTTTAACCACCTTCAGCTGTTTCTATCACATGTATCCAAATGTCCTAACTCGCTCCCTCACCTGGCTCTGCTCACCTGGTTCTTTTTGATGTGCTGCTGGACCGCCTGCAAACCGTTGCCTCGCTCTGTCTGCATGGCCAGTGGCAGCCGCTCCTGAACCCATGCCTGGAGAGGACACAGGAAGCAGGTCAAGGGGAGAATGCATCCAAGAACCCCTGCATCGCAACTAAACTTTAAACCTGCACGGCATCCCAGGCCCTTCCTTGCCTAAGAGCCCAGTTGAATATTCAGCCTCCTCCATTTTTTGTTTTTTTTTTTTCTTTGAGATGGGATCGAATCCCCAGGCTCAAATAATCCTCCTACCTCAGCCTCCCATGTAGCTGGGACAACAGGCACCACCACACCTGTCTCAGTCTCCTCTGTTGACATACTCTTTCTTGCTGTCTGCACTTAAGCCAGGCTCACACCGTTGGCCTTTGCACATACAGGTCTTGTTTCCTATCATATTCCTAACCACCCTGAATTGTCACTGTCTGGGGACAAGTCTGTTTTCCCCGTTGGACTCTGAACCCTCTGGGGCACAATGGGGTCTGCCTTGGCCACCCCTGTGGCCCCACTATCATCCAAACACAGGGCTGGGGCTAGAATGATCAACTGAGTGAACAAATGAATGAGCAAATCAGGAAATTGAGTGATGGAATGAGGAACAGAGGAGTGAATGAATGAATAGTTAAGTAAATAAATGAGTGGAGGAAAGAACAAACTATGGATGAGTGAATAAATAAATGAGTGACTTCATGAATAAATCAACGAATGATTCAAAGTGAGTAAATGAGTGTGAATGAATGAATGAGTGAACGGCTGAATGCGTCTTTCAGCGTATGAGTGGGAGGGTCTCAGCCGTCTCCATCTTCAGCCCCGCCCCATGCCCACCTTCTCCGCCCCACCGCCCCGCCCCGCCCCGCCCCAGGCCCCTGCGCTGGCCTCACCAGCTCGTCGTCCAGGTCGTGCGCCACCTGGTGCAACTCCTTGGAAGCCAGCAGCAAGCGGCGGCGCTCCTGCAACGGCTCGAGCAGGCGCACCAGGCGCTCGCCCACCGCGTTCTGCCGCTCACCCACCAGCTCCTTGCTCGCCGGCTCCAGCGGCAGCGCCGCCGTCTGCGCCTGCAGCTCTCCCACCTCGCGGTACCACTCCTCCACCTGCGACTCCATGGACTGTGGGGACAGAGGCAGGGTCAATGGGCCCCACCCGCCCTCCTGATCCTGCTGTGGCTCTCCAGTACCCTTATGGTGACAGCCAGACCCCTCACCGCGGCCCACCCTTCCACCCTCTCCTTGTTCAGTCCCCTCCAGGAGCGATGCGCTCCGCATGAACCTGCATCACACTAAGCTAGTCCCTGCCTCGGAGCCTTTGCCTTTGCTGTTTCCTCTGCCAGGCATGCTCTTCCTTGTCAATCAGATTTCAGCTGGAGTATTACCTTCTCAAAGAGGCTTACCTGACCCCGGAACTAAAGTGGTCCATTAATTCACTAATTCCCAGAACAACCTTCAAGATTGGTAGTCTCCCTGTTTTACAGAGGAGGAAACCAAGGCCAAGAGAAGTTAAAGAATTTGTCCAAAGAGTCAACTTTCCAAAATTATTACCATCAAATATAGTAATAATTTTTTGTTAACGCTTTTTTTTTTTTTGAGATGGAGTCTCGCTCTGTTGCCCAGGCTGGAGTGCAATGGCGTAATCTTGGCTCACTGCAACCTTCACCTCCTGGCTTCAAGTGATTCTCCCGCCTCAGCCTCCTGAGTAGCTGGGATTACAGGCACCTGCCATCATGCCCGGCTAATTTTTGTATTTTTGTAGAGATGGGGTTTCACCATATTGGCCAGGCTGGTCTTGAACTCCTGACCTCAGGATGAACAAATCAGCCTGGGTGCTGTGTCATCCAGGCTGGAGTGCAGTGGGCAACCTCAGCTCACTGCAACCTCCACCTCCCAGGTTCAAGTGATTCTTGTGCCTTGACCTCCCAAGTAGCTGGGACTACAGGCACCTGACACCATGCCTTGCTAATTTTTTTTGTATTTTTAGTAGAGATGGGGTTTCACCATGTTGGTCAGGCTGGTCTCAAACTCATAACCTCAAGTGATCTGCCCATCTTGGCCTCCCAAAGTGCTGGGATTACCGGATAAAAAAATTTGATAGTAAGAAATTATCAAAAATAAATACAAAGCTATAGTAATTTGGATGGCTGCTGTGTCTTAGGAATAGACAGAAAGTGCAAAAGCAGACCCAAATACACAGGAAAATTCATGTGTTTCATAGGTGCCAATTCAAATCCCCAAGGGAAAGATGGATTATTTAATGAATGGTCATGGGCCAATGGCTAACCAATTTAGCTGGATCCTTTCCTTGCTGTTTGTACTGAAAACAATTCCAGATGGATTAAAGACCTAAACAGAGTAAGTAAATCCATAAGGCACTAAAAGAAAACCTGGGCAAATGCTTTTATAATGTTGGGATGGAGAAAAATCTTTCCAAGCATAAAAAACATAAAGGGAAAGATTTATAATTTGATCACATAAAAATACTTCTGCATCAGCCAACAGACATATGAAAAAATGCTCACCATCACTGGTCATCAGATAAATGCAAATCAAAACCACAATGAGATATCATCTCACACCAGTTAGAATAGCGATCATTAAAAAGTCAGGAAACAACAGATGCTGGAGAGGATGTGGAGAAACAGGAACACTTTTACACTGTTGGTGGGAATGTAAACTGGTTCAACCATTGGGGAAGACAGTGTGGCGATTCCTCAAGGATCTAGAACTAGAAATACCATTTGACCCAGTGATCCCATTACTGGGTATATACCCAAAGGATTATAAATCATGCTACTATAAAGACACATGCACACGTATGTTTATTGTGGCACTATTCACATTAGCAAAGACTTGCAACCAACCCAAATGTCCATCAATGATAGACTGGATTAAGAAAATGTGGCACATATACACCATGGAATACTATGCAGCCATAAAGAAGGATGAGTTCATGTCCTTTGTAGGGACATGGGTGAAGCTGGAAACCATCATTCTGAGCAAACTATCGCAAGGACAGAAAACCAAACACCACACGTTCTCACTCATAGGTGGGAGCTGAACAATGAGAACACTTGGACACAGGGCAGGGAACATCACACACCGGGGCCTGTCATGGGGTGGGGGGAGGGGGGAGGGATATCATTAAGAGAAATACCTAATGTAAATGACGAGTTAATGGGTGCAGCACACCAACATGGCACATGAATTCCTATGTAACAAACCTGCACATTGTGCACATGTACCCTAGAATTTAAAGTATAATTAAAAAAATAATTAAAAAATACTTCTGCATCAACCAAAATTTCATAGAGTTAGAAGGCAAATGACAAACTGTAAAAATTGATATGTATCAGTGCAAGGAACTAGTTTAACAATCAAAGAATTTCCCTCCATCCTGCTTCGTCTTCACAGTGCTTACCACCATCAGACAACTCTCTTGATTTGTGTGTGTGTGTTTTGTTTTTTGATAGGGTCTTGCTCTGTCATCCAGGTTGGCATGCAGTAGTAAGATAATAACTCTCTGCAGCCTTGAACTCCTGGGCTCAAGGGATCCTCTTGCCTCAGCCTCCCAAGTAGCTAGGACTACAAGCACACACCACCATGCCCAGCTCATTTTTGAAATTTGTCATAAAGATGGGGTCTTGCTATGTTGCCCAGGCTGGTCTTGAACTCCTGGACTCAAACTATTCTCACGTTGGCCTTCCAAAGTGCTGGGATTACAGGTGTGAGCCACTGCACTCAGGTACTTTTGTATTTTTATTGGTCCCTTGCTTCCAGAATGTGACCCACATGATGGGAGGGGCTGTGTCACACTCACTGCTATATTCTTGAAAGCCTAGAACAATTTTTGGTACACAATAGGCCTCCAGTTATGATTTGTTCAATGCATACATGAATGACATCAGCAAAAAAAAAGGACTGCCCAAAAAGAGAAATGGGCATCAGATGTGAACAGGCAACAGACAAAACAAGCATATGAAAAGATGCTCAGTCTTATTAATAAGCTGGAAAATAGAAATTAAAACAAGACTTCCTTTTCTTTTTTCTTTTCTTTCTTTCTTTCTTTTTTTTTTTTTTTTGAGATGGAGTTTCGCTCTTTTTGCCCAGGCTGGAGTGCAATGGCATGATCTCGGCTCACTGCAACCTCTGCCTCCTCAGTTCAAGTGATTCTCCTGCCTCCGCCTCCCGAGTAGCTGGGATCACAGGCACACATCACCACGCCCGGTTAATTTTGATTTTTTTTTTTTTTTTTTTTGAGGCAGAGTCTCGCTCTTTCGCCCAGGCTGGAGTGCAATGGTGCTATCTTGGCTCACTGCAAGCTCCAAGCTCTGCCTCCTGGGTTCACGGCATTCTCCTGCCTCAGCCTCCCAAGTAGCTGGGACTACAGGTGCCCACCACCACGCCTGACTAATTTTTTTTGTATTTTTAGTAGAGATGGGGTTTCACCATGTTAGCCAGGATGGTCTCGATCTCCTGACCTTGTGATCTGCCTGCCTTGGCCTTCCAAAGTGCTGGGATTACAGGCGTGAGCCACCACGCCTGGCCAATTCTGAATTTTTAATAGAGATGGGGTTTCACCATGTTGGCCAGGCTAGTCTTGAACTCTTGACTACAGGTGATCCACCCACCTCGGCCTCCCAAAGTGCTGGGATTACAGGAGTGAGCCACTGCGCCTGGCCAAGGCATTCTTTTCTACACATTAGGTTGGCAAAAATGTAAAAGACTTATAGTATCTAATGCTGGCAAAGATGTTGGGAGATGGGCACACTCAGCCACTGTCAGTGGTGGCATAAATTGGTAGAGCCTTTTTAGAAGGCAATTTGGCAGGTCTTTGCATCAAAATGCAAAATATGCATCTGCTTGACCCAGCACTTGCATTTCTAGTAATATAACTAAAGAAATACTGTCATAGGCCAAGTGCAGTGGCTCACGCCTGTAATCCCAGCACTTTGGGAGGCCAAGGCAGGCAGATCACAAGGTCAGGAGTTTGAGACCAGCCTGGCCAACATGGTGAAACCCTGTCTCTACTAAAAATACAAAAATTAGCTAGGCGTGGTGATGCACGCCTGTAATCCCAGCTACTTGGGAGGCTGAGGCAGGAGAATTGCTTGAACTTGGGAGGTGGAGGTTGCAGTGAGCCGAGATCACGTCGCTGCAATTCAGCCTGGGTGACACAGCAAGACTCCATCCTGAAAAAAAAATTTTTAAATAATAATAATAAAAATTTTTTTAAGAAAAAAAAGAAATACTGGCACAGATGCACAAAGTTGTAGTATCACAGCAGAGTTTATAATGGGAAAAAACTGGAAGCAACCTCAATGCCCATCAAGAGAGAAATGGTTAAGTCAGGTGCAGCAGCTCATGCCTGTAATCCCAGCTACTTAGGAGGTTGAGGTGGGAGAAATGCTTGAGCCCAGGAGTTTGAGACCAGCCTGGGCAACACAGCTAGACCCCCTCTCTTAAAAAAAAATAAAAAATAAAAAAGAGTAAAATGGTTAAACAAATCCAGACCAGTATGGAAAAATAGCCAAGTGTTACTGTTAAGAAGAAAAAGCATGCTGGGTGCGGTGGCTCACGCCTGTAATCCTAGCACTCTGGGAGGCCAAGGCGCGTGGATCACCTGAAGTCAGGAGTTTGAGACCTGCCTGGCCAACATGGTGAAACCCCATCTCTACTAAAAACACAAAAAATTAGCCAGGCGTGATGGCAGACACCTGTAATCCCAGCTACTCGGGAGCCTGAGGCAGGAGAATCACTTGAACCCGGGAGGCAGAGGTTGCAGTGAGCCGAGATCATGCCACTGCACTCCAGCCCGGGCAACAAAAGCAAAACTCCATCTCAAAAAAAAAAAAAAAAAAAAAAAAGCCGGGCACAATGGCTCATGCCTGTAATCCCAGCACTTTGGAAGGCTGAGGCGGGCGGATCACGAGGTCAAGAGATAGACACCATGCTGGCCAACATGGTGAAACCCAGTCTCTACTAAAAATACAAAAAATTAGCCGGGCATTGTGGCAGGCGCCTGTTATCCCAGCTACTTGGGAGGCTGAGGCAGGAGAATTGCTTGAACCCGGGAGGCGGAGGTTGCAGTGAGCTGAGATCGCGCCATTGCGCTCCGGCTTTGGCAAAAAGAGCGAAACTCAGTCTCAACAACAAACAAACAAAAAAAAAAAAAAAAAAGAGGAAGAAGAAGAAGCAATTTAGAACCTACCTATGAATATAAATTTATAGTGGATTGCACATGCATAAAAATTCCCTGGAGTAAACAAGAAGTTCATAACAGATGGTACTTACTGGGGGAGGGGATGAGAACTTAATGAATGGGGAACAGGGATGAAGGCGATAATTTTCCCATGGGATTTCCCTAGAGGTTTTGATGTCTTCACCATGAAAATTTATTTATTCAAAAATTGAAATTAAACATGAAAAGCAAATAATATAAAAACATTAAACATCCATATAGGTACACTTGTAAATGCACAGAAAGAGGTCTAGATGGATGCACACCAAATAACTGAGGCTCTCTTTGGGATGTGGGATTGGGAGGCAGATAGGAGTGAGACTTTATGTTTTACTGAAGACTGCTCGGTTAGTAAAATTTTTTCCCAAAAGAATATATTCATATATTACCCTTGTAATTCTAAACAGATGGAGGAAAGCTAGAGAAGAAAACAAAATAACAATTAAAAAATTAAGTGGTAGCAGATTACCACAAATGACTGCAAAACAAAACCCCAAACTCAAGAACCAAGCCAAGACTTCTTGATTCAAAGTTCTGTAGTGCAGAGTTGTTGGTTTTGCCTGCCCAAAATCCATCCTCTCCTTCCAAATACATCAAAACTCACTCTCAGGTCCTGAGCTTCCTGAAGGGCAAATGAAACCTAGAGAGTCATGGGTAATCACATGACCCAAGTGGGGCCAAGCAGAACACTGAAAACACCCTGGTCATAAAGATTGGGTCAGATATGAGCACGTAACCTTAGATGGGCCAATGAAAACTCTTCCCACTTTTTCTTTTTTGGTAGAGGTGGGGTCTCGCTGTGTTGGCCAGGCGGGTCTCCAACTCCTGGCCTCAAGCAATCCTCCCATCTTGGCCTCCTAAAGTGTGGGATTACAGGTGTGAGCCACTGTGCCCGGCCACTCTCCCCATTTTCGCCAGGAAAATGTGTGTGCACAGAAGAGATGCTCTCTTTCCCATGGGCTTCCTAAGTTGGGAGGAGGTAGGCCGGGCATCCTGGGGTCATCCTGCCAACATCAGGGACTCCCTGACCATGAGGCCAACACAGAAGAAAGCGGTGCTCAGAAATGAAGACAAGGAGATTTGTGAAGACGTAATTTGAGTTACTGATCACTCCACCCCTCAGACCCCGAGCCAGCACCTTCATAAATTGAAGACATAATTTGTGAATTATGAAGACATAATTAGCTGAGATCGCGCCACTGCACTCCAGCCTGGGCAACAGAGTGAGACTCTGTCTCAAAAAACAAAAAAACAAAAACAAAAAAAAAAGGAAAGAAAGAAAGGATGGGGTCCCTTGCCTTGAGTCCCAATAAGGCAAGGACTGGGACTGTATAGTCCCTGAATGTGCACTCCTCTCCTAGGCCATGCTGAGCTGGATACAAAAACATGGGACAGAGAAGCAGAACAGGGGGGAGGAGGGTGTTTCCTTGGCCAGAGAAAGAGCTTTGCTTAGGGTGGGGGTGGGCCTGGAAAAAGTGTGGGGTCCCCAGGGACAGAGCCTGGCAGCTGCAAAGCCTCTAGTGCATTTTCTCATCTGGCAGGAGACCAGTCCCCCATCTCTCCAAGCAGGAGCCTGTGGCTGAGGCCGACCAGCTGGCCAGGTCCCTGAGGGCTGGGGAGCCAGGACTTGAGACTCCACCATCTGGCTTCTTGGCCAGGAAGCACAGCTTGGCAACAGGCCCCGAGAGAGGATTCTGGGTCACGTGGCCAGGACCTGGGAGGTGGGGTCCCAGAGAGCCTGCTGCAGCAGCGGGTGTGGTACGGGATGAGGGAGAGGACACAAGGAGGACATGAGGAACACGGGAAGGAGGCAGAGACAGAGAAGTCAAATAAAAAGAGACAGAGAGACTGGGGTGGTGGCTCATGCCTGTAATCCCAGAACTTTGGGAGGCCAAGGTAGGCAGATCACCTGAGGTCAGGAGTTCAAGACCAACCTGGCCAACATGGTGAAACCCCATCTCTACTAAAAATACAAAAATTAGCCGGGCGTGGTGGCTCACGCCTGTAATCACAACTACTTGGGAGGCTGAGGCAGGAGAATCGCTGGAATCCGGGAGGCGGAGGTTGCAGCGAGCTGAGACTGTGCCATTGCACTCCAGCCTGGGTGACAGAGTGAGATTCCGTCTCAAAAAGAAAAAATAAAAATAAAAAAATACAAAAATTAGCCAGGCATGGTGGCGGGTGCCTGTAATCCCAGCTACTGGGGAGGCTGGGGAATCGCTTGAACCTGGGAGGCGGAGATTGCAGTGAGCCAAGATCGCGCCACTGCACTCCAGCCTGGGTGACAGAGTAAGATTCTGTCTCAAAATAAATAAAGAGACAGAGAGAAGGGAGTGAGAGAGTAGGACAGAGAGGGACACAAAGGGAAGAGAGAGACACAGAGATGGCGACGGGAGGACAGGAGAGAGGCTGAGGGGGACAGATCGCTCACACACTGCACACCACTACACCCCTCAGACCCCGAGCCAGTACCTCCCTCAGCCCAGCCTGGCCCCAGTGCCCTAAGGGTGGATGGGACAGCCAGGAAACGTGCCAGGCTGGATGGCAGCCAACCCCTCTCCTGTGTATGCCCCAGGGGACAGCAGGGCCTTGGCAGGTCCCTTCCCCAGTAGCAGCTCCTGAGGGGCAGCTGGGCTCCGTCTGGGTGCCCTGGCCCACACAGTCACTTCCTGCCTCGGGCTCCCTCTGCTGGGAAAAGGGCCCAGGAGTCTCGTGCTGGAGCCTGCCTCTGGCACCCATCACTGTGTGACCCCAGGGCCACTCCCTTGTCTCCTCTGGGCTTCAGCCCCTCCCTTGAACAATGGGGACCCCCATCTCATGGTTTGCTGGGCTTGGTTGAGACTGAACCCCCTACAGGGAGGGAAGAGCTAACTCTGTACTCTGGCTAAAGCAGGAGGCCCCAACTCCTTCCTCTAAAACCTAAATAGTACAAAAGAAGGTCAAAGATGGTCAAGCTCGCCAGTAGCATTGGAAAAAAATACAAATACACACACTGCAGTGAGATACCACTTCCCAGCCATCGGACTGAGAAAGATCTAAAATGTCTGACAAAACCAAGTGTTGGCAAGGACGAGAGGAAACAGGAGCTCATGTGTACTGCTGGGGAGAGAGTGAGCAGCCACAGAAGGACCTGGGCAGGCAATTTGGCAAAAGCAAGTGAGCTAAAGATGGTTCTAACTTTTAACACTATATAAATATTTCATTTACCACCTCCAAATTACTTTTCTTTTTTTTTTTTTTTTTTTTTTTTTTGAGATGGGGGTCTCACTCTGTCGACCAGATTGGAGTGCAGTGACACGATCACAGCTCACTGCAGCTTCAACCTCCTGGGCTCAAGTGATCCTCCCACTTCAGCCTTCTGAGTAGCTGGGAACACAGGCATGTGAATCTCGCTATGTTGCCCAGGCTGGTCTGGAACACCTGGGCTCAAGCGATCCTCCTGCCTTGGCCTCACAAAGTGCTGGGATTACAGGCATGAGCCACTGTGCCCAATCATCCATGTTGCTTTTTTAAAATGTGTTTTGGGGCCAGGTGCAGTGGCTCACGCGAATAATCCCAGCACTTTGAGGGGCTAAGGCAGGAGGACTGTTTGAGCCCAGGAGTTTGTGACCAGCCTGGGTAACATAGTGAGACCCCATCTATCAAAAAATAAAAATAAATTAAAATTAAAAAGCAGCATGGAGAGGGGTAAATGCCCCAAATGGAATATGAACAAAAACAAATGAAGTAACCGTGTATCACATAAGTAACAACCAAAGGGAAGGTGAAACAACTAGCTTTTGAAAACAGTAGAGTGATGGTGATATGCTCTCAGTTTTATGACAGTTAAAATTAAAGACTGGCCAGGCACGGTGGTTCATGCCTATTATCCCAGCACTTTGGGAGGCCGAGGCGGGCGGATCACTTGAGGTCAGGAGTTTGGGACCAGCCTGGACAACATGGCGAAACCCCATCTCTACTAAAAATACAAAAATTAGCCGGGTATGGTGGCGGGTGCCTATAGTCCCAGCTACTCGGGAGGCTGAGGCAGGAGAATCACTTGAACCCAGGAGGCAGAGGGTTGCAGTGAGCCGAGATTGTGCCACTGCGCTCCAGCCTGGGTGACAAGAACAAAACTTGGTCTAAAAAAAAAAAAATTAAAGACCTGTGAATAAATACTGAATCTTAGATTTGTTGGGTCAGCAGTTCTGAAACCACTTAATGCATTATGTCTTTTCACCTTCACAATGTCCTTATGAGGTCAGAAATATCATTATGCCCATTTTACTGAAGAAGAAAATGAGGCACAGCCAGGCGCGGTGGCTCATGCCTGTAATCCCAGCACTTTGGGAGGCGGAGGTGGGTGGATCACTTGAGGTCAGGAGTTTGAGACCAGCCTGGCCAACATGGTGAAACCCCGTCTCTACTAAAAATACAAAAATTAGCCAGGCGTGGTGGCAGGTGCCTGTAATCCCAGCTACTCAGGAGGACGCTGAGGCAGGAGAATCACTTGAAGCCAGGAGGCGGAGGTTGCAGTGAGCCGAGGTCCTGCCACTGCACTCCAGCCTGGGCAACAGAGTGAGACTCCCTCTTAAAAAAAGAAAAAGAAACTGAAGCATGGAGAGAAAAGTAACCTCCTTGGGCTATCCAGGTGATAAGGCACAGAGCCAGGGCTTGACCCAGGCAGCCCAGCGCCAGCATCCATGCCCTTCACTGAGATGCTCTGCTGCTTCCCACACTCCTGCTATCCACCAGGGGGTGAGCATTGAGGTCCTTCCCATTGCAAGGAGAAGGCATCCAAGGCTCAGAGGGAGAGACGAAGGCAGCAAGTGGGAGAGCTGTGACTCAGAACCAGACCTGCTGGAGTCCCAAGTCTGTGCCTTCAGCCACTGCAAAACACTGCTGGGGAAGAATTAGTAATCACTGCAAGATAATTATGAATCCTAGCAATAGGCTGGGGCAGTGGCTCACGCCTGTGATCCCAGCACTTTGGGAGGCCGAGGTGGATGGATGCTTCAGCCCGGGATCTTGAGACCCATAGTCCAAGCTTCTTCACCCTGCCCTGTGCAGGACTGACCTGCATGGACCAGCCCTCCTGTCCTCTGGCTTCCATGTGGGTTGGCCTCAAACATGGCTTATACTTTTCAGTGCAAAATGAAAACACAAGGTCCCTTGTTCAAATATTTATTAAGAATTTTATCCAGGGGCAGTGCTTCACCCCTGTAATCCCAGCACTTTGGGAGACTAACGTAGGAGGATCACTTGAGGCCAGGAGTTTGAGACCAGCCTGGGCAACACAGTGAGGCCCCCGTCTCTATAAAATACTACAAAAATTATCTGGGCGTGGTGGCACACGCTTGTAGTCCCAGCTACTCAGGAGGCTGAGGTGACAGGTTCACTTGAGTCCAGGAGTTCAAGGCTGCAGTGAGCCATGATCACGCCATTGCACTTCAGCCTGGGTGACAGAGGTAGAAACTGCCTCAAAAACAAAAAAATTCAAGACATCAATAGTAGGGCATTAAACCAAGCATGGAGCCCTGTGTCACTGCACGGGCAAACACCCATGAAGCCAGCCCTGGCTGACAAAGGGAAGCCCAGAGGAAAGTGAGTCTGGGGTATTATCTCCCCAGCTCTTCCCTGCTATGGTGCCATGGTCTGGCTGCCGTTCTTTCTTTCTTTCTCTTTTTTTTTTTTTTTGAGACAGAGTCTCACTCTGTCACCCAGGCTGGAGTGCAGTGAGGTGCAATCTTGCCTCACTGCAACCTCCGCCTCTCAAGTTCAAGCGATTCTCATGCCCCAGCCTCCCGAGTAGCTGGGATTACAGGCATGTGCCACCACGTTCGGCTAATTTTTGTATTTTTAGTAGAGACGGGGTTTTGCCATGTTGCCCAGGTTGGTCTTGAATTCCTGATCTCAAGTGAACCACCCGCCTTGGCCTCCCAAAGTGCTGGGATTACAGGCGTGAGCCACTGCGTCTGGCCATGGCTGCCGTTCTTGACTAAGAGTGCCAGCTCCTGTCTGGCAACTCTCCCCTTCCAAGTTCCAATAACTTTTCCTTCTCTACCTTCTCTGGCTAGGGAGGAGCAAAAGCTCCCCTCCATGAGTCCCACAGCCCTATATGCTTCCTGCAGCTTCCCCGTTCTCCACTCACACCTTTGTCAAGAAACTCAAGTTTTCTGCAGGTGAGCCTGCTTCTGTTTCTGGCTGGGACCCTGACAGTCAGATGCCCCTTTCTTGCAGGCTTACCACATCCTGGGCACTGTGCTAAGTGGCTCCTTTCTGTGCACATCCCCACCTGGCCCTGGGAGACCTGCACTGATGATAGAGTCCTATTTAAGAGGGAGGACAGAGGCTCAGGGAGGGACTAAAGGTGGTATTGAATAGCCACTTGGTAGCCATGTGACCTCTGTGAGCCACAGATCCTTTCTGTGCTGTGGTTTTCTGCTGGGTGGGGATAATAACAGGACCTCCCTCATGGGGCTGTTGGGGAGGAGAGAGGAGTTAACAGTGCCCAGCACATTGTGTACATCAGCAGTTCTCAAACTGTGGCCAAGGAACCCCTGGGGGATCCCTGAGATCTTTTCAAGGCATCTGCAAGGTTACAACTATTTTTATAAAAATACTAAGATGTTATTTGCCTTCACCATTCTCATTCTCTCTCCAGCATGCAGCAGTGTTTTTCAGAGACCTGATGACCTGTGCTAGTGAAATGGATTGAATACAGACACGGATGGGAGAAGCTAGCTCTCTTCTATTCTAGACATGAAAGAGAACTACAGTCTGGATGCCATGGCTCATGCCTGTAATCCCAGCACTTTGGGAGGCCAAGGCAGGCCGATCACCTGAGGCCACGAGTTCGAGACCAGCCTGGGCAACATGCTGAAACCCCATCTCTACTAAAAATACAAAAATTAGCCAGGCTTGGTGGCACAGGCCTGTAATCCCAGCTACTCCAGAGACTGAGGCAGGAGAACTGCTTGAACCCAGGAGGCAGAGGCTGCAGTGAGCTGAGATCAAGCCACTGCACTCCAGCCTAGGTGGCAGAGCCAGACTCCGTTTTAGTTTTTTTTTTTAGTTCAATAAATAGAGATAAAGACTGGCCAACATAGTGAGATTCTGTTTCTTAAAAAAAAAATCAATCAGGCATGGTGGTGTGGGTCCGTAGTCCCAGCTACTTGCGGGACTGAGGGAGGAGCATCACTTGAGCCCCAGAGGTTGAGGCTGCAGTGAGCCGTGATTGCACCACTGCAGTCCAGCCTGCTAACAGAGCGAGATCCTGGCTCAAATAACTAAATAAAATAAAATAGAGACAGGCTGTTGCTCCGTTACCCAGGCTAGTCTCAAACTCCTAGGCTCAAGCAATCCTCCTGCCTCGGCCTCCCAAAGTGCTGGGATACAGGCATGAGCCATTATGCCTGGCCTCGATTTTCATTTTTAATACAGTGAATGTCAATAGGTCTAACCCACACAGACAAAGCTTTCTAAGGATCTCAATGCGGTTTAAGAGTGTAAGGGGGGTCCTGGAGACCCAGACATTTGAGAACTGCTATTCTATATTAAGTAGTGACCTCATTGGCCGGGCACAGTGGCTCACACCTGTAATCCTAGTACTTTGGGAGGCCAAGGCGGGTGAATCACCTGTGGTCAGGAGTTCGAGACCAGCCTGGCCAACATGGTGAAACCCCATCTCTACTAAAAATAAAAAAATTAGCTGGGTGTGGTGGCACATGCCTGTAATCCCAGCTACTCAGGAGGCTGAGGCAGGAGAACTGCTTGAACCTGGGAGGTAGAGGTTGCAGTGAGCAGACATTGCACCACCACACTCCAGCCTGGGTGACAGAGCAAGACTCCAACGAAGGAAGCAAGGAAGGAAGGAAGGAAGGGAGGGGAAAAGAAAAGAGAGGGGAAGGGGAGGGGAGCGGAGGGAAAAAGAACGAACTGACCCCATTGGCCATCACATTCAGATCTGTTTGTCTTTTTGTTCTTTTGCTTGTTCCCCCAACCAGAATGGGATCACCGTGAAGGCAGTAACTTTTCATCCATTTTGCCCACTGCTATATCCCAACACCCAGAAAAGTGCCGGGCACATAGTAGGTACCTAATTATTTTTTTTATTTTTTTATTTTTTGAGATGGAGTCTCGCTCTGTCTCCCAGGCTGGAGTGCAATGATGCAATCTCAGCTCACTGCAACCTCTGCCTCCCCGTTCAAGTGATTCTCCTGCCTCAGCCTCCTGAGTAGCTGGGATTACAGCCTCCTGAGTAGCTAGGATTACAGGCGTGCACCACCATGCCCAGCTAATTTTTTTGTGTGTGTTTTTAGTAGAGATGAGGTTTGACCACATTGGTCAGGCTGGTCTCGAACTGTTGACCTCGTGATCCGCCCGCCTCGGCCTCCCGAAGTGCTGGGGTTACAGGCGTGAGCCACCACACCCAGCTGGTACCTAATAATTATTTGCCACAGAGATGAATGAATACATACTAATCAGTGTCATTATGTATTTCTTACTAGCCTTTTTTTTTTTTTTTGCCATACACTATGCCAAGCACTATATAACTACATAGGAAATATATCAAAAAGGAGGAGTGAAGAGTCAAGGGCACTGGACTGAAATCCAGGCTTTGCTATTTGCTACTCTGGACAAGTAAGTTCACCTCTCACCTCCTGGAACCTCAGTTTCCCATCAGTCAGTCAGGCATTGTTCCTGACAGGTAAAAGCAGGAGTCACGTGGGCCAGATACCATGGCTCACACCTGTAATCCAAGCACTTTGGAAGGCTGAGGCGGGAGGGTTGCTTGAGCCCAAGAGTTTGAGACTACCCTAGGCAATATGGTGAGACCCTGTCTCTATAAAAAATTTAAAAAGATTATCCAGACGTGGTGGTATGCGCTTGTGGTCTCAGCTACTTGGAAGGCTGAAGTGGGAGAATCACTTGAGCCCAAGAGTTTGAGGCTGCAATGGACTGAGATCAAGCCACTGTACTCCAGCTTGGGCGACAGAGTGAGTAACTATCTTGAAGAAAAAAACAAACAACAACATCAACAACAGCAACAAAAAAAGAAAATCAAAGGCAGGAGCCATTACTCCCTGGGAGGTGAGAAGCAATGGCTACGTTCACCTCTGGTCATTCCACGTGAACTGCTGTGTACCAAGCATGGAGCTGCCAAGCTGGGAGCAGATACAAAGCAGACGCTGCGTCTGTTCTCTAAGAGTGCCCTGTTTCATAAAGGAGACACTGGTTAGCTGTGTGTCCTTGGGCCAGGTGCCTTACTTTCTGTGCCTCAGTTTCCCCATTGGTAAAACAGGATAATAACAGTACCAATCTCCAGAAGTGGCTGGGATGAGTTCAGTGAGTGCTTGGCCCAGAGACTGGTAGAGAAATGCTCAATGAATGTCATTGTTATTCCATGCAAAGCCATTCCCATACCCCTGAGCCTTGGTTTCTCCATCCAGGAAATGAGTGTCAGGGTCCTGTGAAACCTTTAGCATGCTAGTCATTTACCTACTGCTTTGTGGCTCTAGATCCTTCCTTTTCCCTTTGTACTCCATACCTTAGGGAGTGGTGGCTGCTTCCAACAGTTATTACTAGCTGGATTGCTTCAATATTCCCTTTCTCATCTTCTACAAGTTTGAAATAAATCCCTGTATTAAATCCCCTCCACTTGACATACCTTGAGTGGGGTTGGACCCTGACCTGGCCCCCATGTGGCATAGGGAGCCCTCATCTGGGCCAGGAAGACCATACCTGCAGCTTCTTGAGCTGACTGTTGACAGTGGCCAGGTCTCCTCCAGGGTCCACGTCTTGCAGCTGGCTCTCCATGTGAAGGAGCTTCTTGTCCAGCTCAGCAAAGCTCTGCACCAGCTGGTCTGCTTTGCTGGCCTCAAAGAGCTGCCGTGCCTTGGCCTGGGTGGTGCTCTCCAGCTCCGCCCAGCACTGGCGGATCTCGCCCAGCTTCTTCCGCACGGAGGCCGCCAGTTCGGGCTTCTCCTGCATCAGTTGCTGGCCCTCCTGCCCCAAGTGGGTGGATGGCAGGAGATGGAGAAGATAGATAGATGGTGGGGAGAATCAGAGAAGTGTGGGAGAGTGACAGGACACAGGGAAGGATGTGAAAAGAGAATCAGAGGCAGGGAGTGGGAGACACATAGGGAGAGAGAGACATGAGGGGTGGATGCAGAGATAGGCCCAGAAATGGAAGGAACCAAGGAAGAGAGACAAGAAGAGAGAGACAGACAGACAGAAGTGAGGGGAGGGAGACAGAAAGATACAGGGAGAGACAGATGGACACAGAGACATGGGAAGGAGTCAGGGAGAGACAAACAGTCACAGAGTGATCAACAGAGAGACAGGCACAGAAAATCAGAAACATGGGGAGAGGACCGTAAGAAAGACAAGGATAGAGGGATAGACAGACAGGAAAGAAAGATAGAGGGAGCCAGAGAGGCAGGGAGAGAATGAACTTCCATTAAACTCAAAGTCAAGAAGACTGCCTTCGCCATATGCCACCATTTATGAAACATCAATGACCATTTAAGGGTTTAAGGCCAACATGGGTGTCTCTGTGTGAGTCAGAAAAGTGTGTATATCCAGGGCTACAGGTCTAGGGGTTCAGCCAGAGGAGGGGGAAGTTCTGAGGGTTGAGGCTTAGAGCAAATATCTACCTCAGTCCCTCCAAGACTGAAGTCAAGGTTCTTAGTGGCCCAGAGCTACTTAGGTAACATTAAGTATTAAAAGTAACAAGACCACAGTAATTACAGCTCTTAGGTGCGTGGCCTTGTGTTAAGTACTTTATGTGCACAGAGCCCAGGAAGTAGCTATATTTATTATTTCCTTAATTTTATAGAACAGCAAACTGAGGCTCCAAGAGGTTAACACAATTACCTAAGGCCCCACAGCTGGTAACAGGCATAGACACAGTTAGAACCCAGGGCTCTAAGAATCCAAAGTTTACTTTAACCCTGGGCTTCCCAGGGTCTGTCCCAGCCCATCTCCCCAACCTTCCATCTTAAATGCCCCAAATGGTATGGAAGGAACCTGGTAGAGGAGGTTATATTAAGAAGTGAAATATTTAACAAACAGTAGGATACAGGCACCATTCAGAAGAGATGCTGGCCACTTTACAGATGAGCAAATTGAGGCTCAAAGATGTTACATGAATCACTCAAAGCCACATAGCTAGGAGCAGATCTGGAGCTGATTTGAGTCAGTCCAGAGGTGTAAGACCAGCAGGATGGCAGCAGCGGGTGCAGCAGGTGAGACGTGGGCTCCCTGGAGGCCTCCTGCACCTGGCACAGGCAGAGGGGCCATCAGCTTCCTCACCCGCTCGATCTTCTCCAGCCACTCCTTATTCTGAGCCAGCTCGGCCATGAATGCCTGGTGCCGGAGCCATCTCTTATGCAGCTTGTGGTTGTCCTCCCGCGTGCCATCCCGCGCCATCAGCATCTTCTCATGGATCCAGCCATCCAGCTGTGCAGAACAGGGCAGGAGGGCTCAGCTGGTCCCCTCAACCTGCCACAGCCCCCCATCCCTTCAGGAAGTCCCAGGTTCAGGGCCTGGGCTGCTAGGGTGTATGGGTGGAAGGAATAGGAAAGGATGAAAAAACCTTTGCAAGTGAGGCCTTTATATTGGGGGTGGGTGCAGCTCAAGCTCTTTCCTGGATAGAGGATGGATGGAAGGGTCCCCAGAATGCCCAATCCTTTGCTCCCCTGTCCCCTGTCCTGAGGGAAGCCCTCCTCAACTCCCCACAAGCCCCCAAGGCAGGGCCAGTCAGCCTCTTAGACTTGGGGACAGATCACCCCCCCCAAAACAAGCTCTCCAACCCAATTTAGCTAACTCCCAATTCATCCCCAGGACCACCCCTCCCATAGCAACACTTAGACACTTCATTCAATCTTAGCCACCCCCCAATAAGGACCAATTCAAGAGCCTCAACCCATTCCCAAGGGTATCAAATGAAGCCCCCATATCTAGCCCCAGTTCCTCCAGTATGGCCAGATAAACCCCCCAAACAACCTCCCAATTAAAGCCAACTCTAGCTCTCTCTAAACTAACCCTCTAATCTGGAGTAGACCCATCCTCCATAATCGAGATCTAGCACCCCTAATGAGCCCACAGGGCTCCCCAGTTCTAGCCCTGGGACTCTAAGACCATAGATCCCCAAACCATGACCAGTTCTAGCCCTCAACCAAAGCCAACCCCAGCCAAATGTGAAAAACAAAGCTGTGTTCTGGCTCTCCAAACCAGTCTACCCCAAAATCTAGCCACAGACTCTCCATCGTGGATCAGATCGGACCTCCCAAGCCCGGCCAGCACCCCCACCCCTACAACTAAAGCCAGTTCTAGTCCTCCTACCCACCAACAAAACCAGTCATCCAAAACGCAAGCACCAAGAGTGGGCCCCTCTCACGGCACTAGAGAGGATCAATCACAGGCTGCTTTTTGAGCCTCCCCCAACCCCCTCCAGTAAAAAACCAGACTTATCCTCCAAGCCAGAACTTCCCCACTCATGACCAAACCTGGCACCTGAAACAGTTTGCTCCTCCCCTTTCTCCTCCCCACTCCAGTCACAAGATCCTCCCTCCTCCCTCCTGCAAAAAAAAAAAAAAAAAAAAAAAAAAAAAAAAAAACAAACACTGGACTCCAGCTCCGCGGTCCCGGGAGGCAAATGCAGTCATAGCCAAGGACAAATCCCAGATCCCCAGCCGGCCAAACCCCAGCCCATGTCCCCTGAGCATGTGCTCCCCAGGGGTCCAGGACAGCATCACACTCCTTCATACACACACTAGAACCAAGTCCAGTGCTGAACCCCCCAACTCAATTCACAGGTTCCCGACGTGCAGGGAAGAGTCCAACGGCAACCACAGCCCGCAGTGAAAGCAGAGCCCTTAAAGAGATGGTACCCCATCCTCAAAGTAAAGCCCCCTCAAAAGTGATTCCTTCATGATGGAGGGCAAAACCAGACTATCCAACAACCCAGGAAAAGCCCCACAAAGTCAGAGCCCCCTAGACCCAGAGAAAATCCAAGGCCCCTCATCTTCCAAGGCAGAGCCCCCCAAAAGTGATTCACCTCCATCATCCAAGGCTGATACAGATCCTCCCAAAACAAGAAAGAAACCCCCCAAAAGGTTGAGAAACCCCCAACCCCAGGGCAAATCTTAGATGCCCCATTACCCGGAGAAGAGCCCCCCCTCGAAAGGCTGAGACGCCCTGAACCCTTAGGGCAAATCCAGATTACCCTAGAAGTGGTCTTAGAAGTCCCCCCGCTTCGCTCCCCTCCCTTGGGGGCCGGCCCCTCAGTCCCGCCCGCGCCAGCACCGCGGACAGCTCCCGGCGTCCTTGCCCCTCCCCCAGGGTGGGGGTCCGGGCGCCTGCCCGGCCCGCCCCCGCGCCGCCCCGCCCCTCCCTCCCGCGGCCACGACGGGCGGGCACGCGCCCGAGCCCCCTCCCCTGTCTGCGTCCGCGGGGTGCGCGCCAACCCCCTCCCCTGGGCGCCCCCGAGACCTGAAGCGGCAGTGGCGTTGGCGGGGCGTCCCTGCAGCGGGCGGGCGGGTGCTCGCCCCTCAACTGCGACGGCAGCGGCAGCGGCGGCGAAGGCTGAGGCTCCGGCGGCCGCGCGCCCCCTCCCTCGCCCCCGCGCGGCGGCCGCGCGCCCGCCCGCGTGCGCCCCCTGCCTGCCTCCCTGCCCGCCTCTTTGCGGGGCCCCAGGTGGGGGTGCAGGAGGAACCACCACTCGCCCCAAGGCTTCGGGTGGGGGGCTTCTGCGCCATCTCAGATGATTGCTGCCTGATCCAGAACAATCTCATGAGGGATGGGGGGTGCTCCTGGACCAAATCTAATGCCGGGAGGGAGCGCCTGGGGCTTGGACTGCCTCACTAAGGGAGTGGGGATTATGGTGAGGGGCTGGGTGGGGGCCTCCTGAACCATCTCTAATGGGAAGAAGCTCGGGCTCCTGGCCACCACATGTGGACAGGGGATATGGGAGGGCGACCTGGAACATCTCACAATCTCCAGTGGGGGCGAGGGGGAACAGGGGGTTCCTCCAGTGGCTCAAGTCCCGGCCTACCCCAGTTATGGGGGAGGGGGGCACGGTATGGAGGCCCTTGTTTATTCCGTGTGCGGAGAGAACAATCTCCCATGGGTGTTCAACATAGGGGGGAGGGTCGAATCGTCTTTAATTGAGGCTGAGGGGTTTAGGGGTTAGACCTGGTTCCTGAACCAGCTTTGGTTGGAAGAAACTTAGGTACGGGGTGATGATGGAGGAGGGGATGATCCTGGGTCACACAGATGGAGGGGCTCAGGGCCAGGCCTAGCTCTGTTTAGGGTTTAGGAAAATGTTTACTAGGCCATCTCTAATGTGGCCAAAGTCTAGAATCGTTTCTATGGAATGCAAGGGAAGGAGGGGAAGACAGCAGGTCTCCTGAACCGTCACTAATAAGGAAGGGGGCCTGGACCATCTCGGATTAGGGGAGATCGTCCCTAATGTGTGCAGATCATCCCTAAGGGAAGGGGCTTGATTACTGAACACCTTTAAAGGGGCGAGGGCTTGGTTCAGAGCCATCGCTGGCTGCAGGAGGGCGCAGGGCCGCTGGCCCCCCCACGGCCCTCGGCCCTTATCCCCACCGCCCGCCCCGCCCCTCTCCTGGGGTAGAGCGATTCTCACAAATCTCAGGAGAGAAAGGTGAGATCAGCGCGCGTCCCCGCGGGACCCGTAGGCGCGGACACGCGCGGTTGCCAGGGGCGCCCGGGGCCCCTCCTTCGTTTCCCGGAGTCGGCGTGGGCGGGCAGGGACTTGCGGAGCATGCGCACTGAGACCCGGCTCCGCGCGCCCCCTGGCGGCTTAGAGCGAGCATCGCTCCGCGACCCACTTAGACGGGGCGTCCCCACCCCCACCTCGGCCGAGAAGCACTTCCCTCCCGACTAAAGGGGATGTCTCCGTCCCCAGCACACCTGGAGTTCCTACCTCGTGGCAGTCTCGGAGGAAGTGCTGCAGCTCAAGTTGGTCATGTAGCTTTTGCATCCATTGCTGGGCCCGTAACTGGTTTTCTTGGTTCCTGGGGATGGGGAGATAAGGGCTGGGGAAAGGCCCCGGGTTGGGGGGTGCGGCGCTGGCAGTAGGACTGTGAGGGCACTGGGCTGGGTAGGGGAAGAAGGGCGTGGAAAATATGTAAGAGAGAGGGAGGAATTAGTGGGGCAAAGCCAGGGACGCAGGGACGGGGCTGAAGAAGGGCAGAGAGAGAGACAGACAGAGGAAGAGAAAGGGAGAGGCAGAGACAGGCACTTAGAAAGAAAGAGATATAGACGGAGAGAAAAAAAGGCAAGTCCAGAGAGAAAGATAACAGAGAAGTAAAGACAGACATACCTAGGGACAAAAACAAAACAAAACAAACGAGAAAGTGAGAGGAGACACCAGAAAGAGAGCGAGAGAGAGAATAAAAAAAGACGAGAAAAGAGATGGAGCAAGGCAGAGCCAGAAAGAAACTCAGGGAGCAGCAGACGACGAAAGAGAGGAGGCAGAGAGAGGGAAAGTGACAGGAGGAGTCCGGTCAGGGACAGCCCAGAGAGAGACAGGCAGAGGAGTGGCAAATGCCACCAGGAAAAGACAGCCCCACAGACGACAGACAGACCAGGGGGCCGCAGAGTTGGAGAGAGGGAAGAGAGCAGAGTGTGGGGAGAGATGACAGCAGAGTCGCAGAGAAGCTGAAGTGGGCACTCCTGCAGGCAGAGCGAGGCCCTTGGCCTGACTGAACTGACCAGGCTGGACCCAGGCCGTACCACTCTGGAGCCGGCTGGGACCATGGGCCCCGGGCAGTCTGGCCTCCTGCCCACAGTGCAAGGCAAAGTGCCCAAGAGGCCTGGTGGATGGGGCTGGGGCATCCCACATGGGCTCCCATGCATCCCTGTCCTGTTGCTATCTGTCTCCCCCAGGGAGAGAGAGAGAATGAGACTATCCTCCCAGGGTCTCCATGAGAGTCCTTAGAGATCCTCCCAGGGTCTCCATGAGAGTCCTTAGAGTCCTTTTTTTTTTTTTTTTTTTTTGAGATGGAGTCTCGCTCCATCGCCCAGGCTGGAGTGCAGTGGCGTGATCTCGGCTCACTACAACCTCCACCCCCCAGGTTCAAGCGATTCTCCGGCCTCAGCCTCCCAACTAGCTGGGATTACAGGCGCCCACCACCAGGCCTGGCTAATTTTTGTATTTTTAGTAGAGACGAGTTTTCGCCATGTTGGCCAGGCTGGTCTCGAACTCCTGACCTCAAGTGATCCACCCGCCTTGGCCTCCCAAAGTGCTGGGATGGGAGTGAGCTCCTGCACTCGGCCAATCTCAGAGGCCTTTCTGACCTACCAGGCCCCACACCCCCACCTTTCCAAACTCTTATTCTCCTTGCACTCTTCCCCCTCACTCTGTGGTAACTGTACTGCCCTTCTCGCTGTGCCTTGAGCAAGCCTCAGGCCCTTGGCACTAGCCGTTCCCTCTGCTGGGAATGCTCCTTCCCCCAACATCTACTCAAAGATCACCTTCTTCGTGAGGTCCCTCCTGACCACTCCCCAACACTTTCTGGCTTTCTTCCCTTCTTTAATTTTCTCCTTAGCACTTAACGCAATCTAACACGTGCTATATGTTACTTATTTATCTTGGCTGTCTCCCATGCTAGGATATATCATTTCCATGAGGGCAGGGATTTTTGTCTGTTTTGTTCATAGATGTGTCCCCAATGCTTAGAAAAAGGGCTTGGCATACAGTACACGCTCGACTTATATTTGTTAAATGAATGAATGCAAGAAACACAGTGGCAGAGAGAAAAAAGATGGGAGAAACAAAAGTACAGTATCTGTGAAAGACAGAGGCAGAAAAGACAGGGTTAGAGAGGTGCAGATGGAGGGAGAGAAAAACGGAGAGAAAAACAGAGAGGGAGCAGGAAACAGAGATACAGAAATAGATGGATAGATGGAAGCAAAGAGACAGAGTGTATAGGAGACAGTTGCAGAGACAGAACCAGAGAGAAGGAACAGGAAGGGCCTGAGACAAGCAAGCGAAGCACTGACTGCCTCCTGCCCAACTTAGCTTAGGAGCCAGGAAAGATAAAATGCCTCTGAAATTGAGCTGAAATCAATCTTTCCAGGCCTTCAGCAGCCAAACTGTCAAGCATCAGTCCTAGAGATGAGGAAGACCCTGAGTCTCCATGAGGGTGAAAGAACAACAGAGTAGGCCGGGCACGATGGCTCACGCCTGTAATCCGAGCACTTTGGGGAGGCCAAAGTAGGAGGATTGCTTGAGCCCAGGAGTTTGAAACCACCCTGGGCAATATAGTGAGACTTCATCTCTACAAAAAAAGAATGAAAAATTAGCCGAGCAAGGTGGCACATGCTTTTAGTCCCAGCTACTCAGAAGGCTGAGGCAGGAGGATTGTTTGAGCCCAGGAGATTGAGGCTGCAGTGAGCAGTGATCGCACCACTGCACTCCAGCCTGGGCAACAAAGCAAGACCCTGTCTTTAAAAAAAAGAAAAGAAAAGAAAGCAACAGGGTTCAAATCTAGGCTGTGGCACTTCCTGGCCATGACTCTGGGCAAGTCAGTTTTCCCCTCTGAGCCTCACATGCAAAACGCAGATAAGAACAGCACCTAGCGGCCGGCGCGGTGGCTCACGCCTGTAATCCCAGCACTTTGGGGAGCCGAGGCAGGTGGATCACTTGAAGTCAGGAGTTTGAGACCAGCCTGGCCAACATGGCAAAACCCTGTCTCTACCAAAAATACAAAAATTAGTTGGACATGGTGGCTCTTTCCTGTGATCCCAGTACTCAGGAGGCTGAAG
This sequence comes from Homo sapiens, assembly GCF_000001405.40. Taxonomy (NCBI): domain Eukaryota; kingdom Metazoa; phylum Chordata; class Mammalia; order Primates; family Hominidae; genus Homo; species Homo sapiens. The sequence continues at coordinate 40,526,285 of NC_000019.10, read as the reverse complement.
CAGGAGAATAGCTTGAACCCTGGAGGCAGAGGTTGCAGTGAGGCGAGATCGCGCCACTACACTCCTGCCTGGGTGACAGAGTGAGACTCCATCTCAAAAAAAAAAAAAAAAAAAAAAAGAACAGCACCTCACACACAGGTTCCAGGTGAGGGGCCAGGCAAGCTGAAGCTCTAAGTGACTTGCCCTGAATGTCACGGATTCAGGGGTGAAGCCAGGTCTAAGACCCCCAGGGCCCCAGGGCCCCAGTCCCCAGCTCTGTATGGCTCTGCCCCCTTGGCGGATGTGGAAACTCCTCCCACTCCTCCCACTCCTCCCACAGGGTGGGAAATGTGTCCCTAGACAAATAAATGACTGGGATGGTGGGAAGGTGCAGAGATTAGTCCGTCTCAATCCCTCTGTGACCACACCTCACCCACCACAAGCCTGGGACAAATGCTGCCTCTCCCACAGCGGCTGCACGTCTCCCATCCGGGCCCTGACCTTTCTGCCTGGACTTCCTCCATCCCAGCCCCGAGCATTCTGGGCCATCCTTGTCAGATAACGTTCGAGCTCTGTGAGGCAGGAATCATGTTCTGTCCTGGTCATTTCTGTGAACACACCCCCACTCCGTACAGAGCACGGGCTCAGTACATGTTTAATTGACTGGAGGATGAGTGAATAAACAATAGAGTGAAAGGAGCAATTAATGAATGACTGAAAAGTAATGAATGAATGAATCATGGAATGAACAGTCCCCCGGGCTCCTCCTCCTCGTTTTGCTGAGCCTGGCATGCAGCAGGTGCTCAAGAAATGTGGAACAGGCCATGCTCAGTGGCTCACACCTATAGTCCAGCTACTCAGGAGGCTGAGGCAGGAGAGTTGGTTGAGCCCAGGAGTTCCAGGCTGCAGTGAGCTATGATTGCACCACTGCACTCCAGCCTGGGCAACAGAGTAAGATCCCTGTCTCAAAAAAAAAAAAAAAAAAAGTGGAACAAAGGAAGGATCCAGGCCTGGATGGAAAAGGGGGCACTAAATGATGAGTTTGCATCCTCAAGAACAGAATTCCCATAAAAGTTTCCTTTAGAAGCATGCTGCCTTGCCCCAGATAAATCTAGGGAAAGGATGTCTGAGCCGTAAACAGAAAAGGGGTAGCGGTCCTGGGGCTGGGGGTGGCACAGTGAAGTGACCAGGGATGCTTTCTGTCAGGAGATGGGAAGACAGAAGGAGGGGTACTGGGTCCCCTTCTGGCCTGGATCATGCCGGAGAGAGCCAGAGAGCCTGAGAGGAGAAATTTAGGGTCACCAGGAGGAGCAGAAACAGCTCTAATGACAGACAGAACTGGGTCTGGAAGATGAGAAAGGACTTCCCATGATGGCTGGAGGTGGTGGTGTTGTTTTGTTCAGTGCCTACCTACAATAGTGCCTGGCACACAGTAGATGCTCAATAAATATCTTCGCTTGATTAGTGCAAGGACAGACAAGAGAGTGGTGGCAAGAGACAGATGGCGACAGAAGCAGAGAACAATGAGGTTCAAGAGATGAGAGAGACACAGAGACATGCAGACACTCACTTTGCATGCTTCCTAGAGTGGCTGGGGCCAGGAAGAGGTGCTTATGCAAAATATTTGACAACCAGCCTGGCAGGGGACACTGTCCCATCTGGAAAGCTGGAACACACCTGTGCCTGGCCTCTAGCTGCTGGATCTGGGGAGGTCTGGGGGTTCCCAAGGAGGGTGCAGAAGAGCAGGATGGATAATGAGGCATCTAGGGAAGTAAGTTAACACATTTTTTTTTTGGAGGGGGGACAGAATGTTGCTGTGTCATCCAGGCTGGACTGCAGTGATATGATCACAGTTCATTGCTGCCTCAATCTCCCGGACTCAAACAGTCCTCCCATCTCAGCCTCAAGAGTAGCTGGGACTACAGGCACGCATCACCACGCCCAGCTTTTTTTTTTTTTTTAATTTTAGAGAAGGGGTCTCACTATGTTGCCCAGGCTGGTCTGGAACTCTTCAGCACAAGCAATCCTCCCGTCTCAGCCTACCGAAGTGCTGGGATTACAGGCATGAGTCACTGCACCCAGCCTAACATTTTAACAACAGGACCAGCTATCCCATGCTCAGGGCAGACTTAAGAAAGAAACCTTTCATTGTATATCCTTCTGTATCTTTTGGGTTGACAGCCTCAGGTTACCTTTTCACAATATATCCACTTAAGGCCAGGTGCAGTGGCTCATGCCGCTAATCACAGCACTTTGGGAGGCCAAGGTGGGTGGTCAAGAGTTCAAGACCAGTCTGGCCAACATGGTGAAACCGTGTCTCTACTAAAAATACAAAAATTAGCCAGCGTGGTGGCTCATGCCTGTAGCCCCAGCTACTCGGGAGGCTGAGGCAGGAGAATCACTTGAACCTGGGAGGTGAGGGTTGCAGTGAGCCGAGATCGTGCTACTGCACTCCAGCCTGGGCAACACAGTGAGACCCCGTCTCAAAAAAAAAAATCCACTTAAATCAAATCTAAGACAACATGGAATTAAATAGAAATAGGAAAGAGCCCCAGAGAAGCAGAAATCGTGATGAAAGGAGTGGGACCCTGGCCTCCCACACCACTCCCCTATGCTGGGCCCCATCTTCTGCCCCCTCCCTGGGGTGGATGGGTCTAGGGGACCTACTTCTCCAGCAGCCGGGTCACAGCCTCCTGAGCCTGCTCCCCGTAGATGTTGCCCTGCCTCAGCAGGCCCTCTGCAGCCTGCACGGCCACCTGCATCTTTTGCTGGCTCAGCTCCATGGTGGTGAGAAAGTCACGGTGCTGTTTCAAGGCCTCCTCCACCGATTCCACTGTGCCCGGGAGCTCCGCACCAGACAGCGCCATCTCCTGGGGAGGAGGGAGCGTGGTGCAAAGGTCAGCCTCATTCCATTCCAGGACCTGGGAGAGGCTGCCAGCCTGGCTTGCCACCACTCCCCGCAACCTTGCAAGCATAGAACATTCCAGTTGTGGTCCCACCTCGGGGCTGTTGCCCATGCTGGTGCTTCTGCCTGGGAGTCTGTCCCTCCAGATACCCCCATGGCTGGCTCCTTCACTTTCTTCAGGTCTCTGACCAACCTGCCAAATTTATCAACTCCCACCCCAGCCCTATCCCACTACCCTCCTGTATTATTTCTTTTTGGCAGGGAGGGAGCAGATGGAGTCTCACTCTGTTGCCCAGGCTGGATGCAGTGGTGCAATCCCGGCTCACTGCAACCTCCACCTCCTGGGTTCAAGTGATTCTCCCGCCTCAGCCTCCCAAGTATCTGGGATTACAGGTGCATACCACCATGCCCGGCTAATTTTTTTGTATTTTTGGTAGAGACGGGGTTTCACCATGTTGGCCAGGCTGGTCTCAAACTCCTGACCGCAGGTAATCCACCTGCCTTGGACTCCCGAAGTGCTGGGATTACAGGCGTGAGCCACCACACCCAGCCAACCCTCCTGTATTATTTCTCATAGCATGTACCTGGCAATATTAGCGATGCATTGACTTGTTTACTCTCTCCTCCCCTACATACTAGAATGTCAACCACATGAGGGCAGGATTTTGTATTTTGTTGCCTGAGGTGTGCTCAGCCCCAAAATAGCGCCCAGCACAGAGGAGGCACTCAGTAAATATTTGGTTAATATTAGGCCGGACATGGTGGCTCATGCCTGTAATCCCAGCACTTTGGGAGGCCGAGGTGGGTGGATCACCTGAGGTCAGGAGTTCGAGACCAGCCTGGCCAACATGGTGAACCTCATCTCTACTACAAATACAAATATTAGCCGGGTGTAGTGGCACACACCTGTTATCCCAGCTACTCAGGAGGCTGAGGCAGGAGAATCGCTTGAACCCAGAAGGCGGAGGAGGTGCAGTGAGCCAAGATCACGCCACTGCACTCCAGCCTGGGTGACAGAGCAAGACCCCATCTCAAAAAAAAAAAAAAAAAAAATTGGTTACTATGAAGACTGAAGGCTGGGCACGGTGGCTCATGCCTATAATCCCAGCACTTTGGGAGGCAGAGGCGGGAGGATCACTTGACCCCAGGAGTTCAAGACCAGCCTGGGCAACATGGTGAAATCCCATCTCTACTAAAAATACAAAAAATTAACCAGGCATGGTGGCACGTGCCTGTAGTCCCAGCTACTTGGAGGGCTGACGTGGGAGGATTGCTTGAGCCCCATAGATCAAGGCTGCAGTGAGTCATGATCGTGCCACTGTACTCTGGCCCGGGTGACAGAGTGAGGTCCTGTCTCAAAAAAAGAAGACAACTAAACTGGGTACTGTGTGAACTCAAGGAAGTTCTTTTCCCTCTGGGGTTAGTTTTCTAACTAGTAAAATGAGTGGGTCAGGGCCGGGCATGGTGGCTCACACCTGCAATCCCAGCACTTTGGGAGGCCAAAGCAGGGGGACTGTTTGAGCCCAGGAGCTGGAGACCAGCCTGGGCAGCATAGCAAGATCCTGTCTCTATTTTTTAAATGGGTGGGTCAGAAAGGGTCTCTCAAGGCCACTTCAGCTCCATATTTAGTAATCTTATGATTCAGGGGCTCTCTGTCCTTTCTCCTCCACTCCCTAGATCAGGATTTCCCAAGCCCTGGGCCACAGAGGGGTACTAGTCCATCGCCTGTTAAAAACTGGGCCGCATAGCAGGAGGTGGAGGGGGGGCGAGTGAGCATTACTGCCTGAGCTCTGCCTCCTGTCAGATCAGCAGCAGCTTTACATTCTCATAGGAACACAAACCCTATTGTGAACTGCGCATGTGGGGGATCCAGGTTGCACACTCCTTATGAGAATCTAATGCCCGATGATCTGTCGCTGCCTCCCATCACCCCTAGATGTCACTAGATGGGAACGTCTAGTTGCAGGAAAACAAGCTCAGGACTCCCACTGATTCTACATTATAGTGAGTTTTATAATTATTTCATTATATGTTATAATGTAATAACAATAGAAATAAAGCACACAATAAATGTAATTCGCTTGAATCATCCTGAAAACATTCCTCCTTTTCCCACCGGTTTGTGGAAAAAATTGTCTTCCAGAAAACCAGTCCTTGGTGCCAAAAAGATTAGGGACTGGGCCTGGTGCAGTGGCTCATGTCTGTAATCCCAACACTTTGGGAGGCCGAGGCAGGCGGATCATGAGGTCAAGAGATCAAAACCATCCTGGCCAACATGGTGAAACCCCATCTCTACTAAAAATACAAAAATTAGCTGGTCATGGTGGCTCGCGCCTGTAGTCCCAGCTACTTGGGAGGCTGAGGCAGGAGAATCGTTTGAACCCGGGAGGCTGAGGTTTCAGTGAGCTGAGATCACGCCACTGCCCTCCAGCCTAGCTACAGAGCAAGACTCTATCTAAAGAAAAAAAAAAAAGATTGGGGACCACTGCTGTAGATAATCCTCAAACTGGGTCAGCATCCCTTATATAACCAGTACAGGCAGGCACCCTTTCTAACATGATCCCCAAACACTGGACAATCTGAAAACTGGCTGTTCCATCTTGCCAAAATTCTCAAACTTGGTTCCCATCCCAGAGTGATCTCCCAACTGGATTGGCTGTCCCCAGATAACCACTGCACTTGGTTCCTCATGCCACAGACACAGTTACTCTCTCCAGAGAATCCATAGTTGTCATTCCCAGAAATGAAGATATTGTGCTAATTTAGCCATCCACACCATGTAATCCACAATCACTGACTGACTCCAATAACCCCTCAGCCTGTTACCTACCTCCATAATCCTAATCCTTTGTTATCCATACCAAGATCTTCTTTGAACCCCATTTAACCATCGCCAATCAACCTCATAGTCTTATTTCCTTTCAGATAATCCACGAACCCAGGAAGCCACTCCAATAAATATCCTCGTGCATTACTTACTCGGGATAGCCCACAAACTGTCACCTCCGATAAGACACCAACCTACCCCACTGATGATACTCCTCAAATTCTGTTACATACACACTTCCACACACACTGGATGTTCCACAAACTCAGTTATCCATTCCGGATACTCTCTCACCTCCCACCCACCTCAGAACCCAGTGGTCCCAGGAAACACCCTCCTCCCCACCCCCGCATGTCCCTGTCCCTGCAATCCCCCCGCGGCCTCGGACTCTCCCTCTCCGAAATGTACACCCCGAGTGGGCACCTGGTTACGCAGCACCACGAGCGCCTGGCGTAGATCCCGCAGGAAGAGCTGGTAGATGTGCGCCTGGACCAGCGCCTCCCTGCGCGCCTCCCACAAGCCGAGCAGTTTATGCCAGCCAAGTTCGAGGTGTGGCAGCCACTCGTCTAGTGCCAGGCCCGGGCCCAGCTCTGCGCCGTCGGCGGCCAGCAGCGCCTCGCTGGCCGCCACGATGCGAGCATAGTCTTCCTCGCGCTGGTCCACCTCCTCCTTGAGCGCAGCGTGGCGCGCCAGCAGCGCGTCCGCCTCTTCTAGGCTGTTGGGCAGGGGCCCCTCGCTGCCGCCCGCCGCCTCCTGGGCGCGCACGAGCCAGTCCAGGAAAGCGTCGAGGTCATGTAGGAAGCGCTGCAGGCGCCCTGCTGCCGCCACCGCCTCGCCGCAGGCCTGAGCCGCGCTAGCTAGCGCGCCCCACTCGGCGCCCAGCTCCTCCGCGCCCTGGTGCAGCCGCGCCGCCTGCGCCGGGAAGCGCTCAGCCAGCAGGGCTGCCTCCTCCAGAAGGGCCGCCTGGCGCGGCTCCAGCGCCTGCAGAGCGGCCTCTAGGCCGCTAAGACGCCACTGCAGGGCGCCGCCGGCCCGGGGCGCGCTCTCCACAGCTCTCCGCTTCTCACGCACCTGGGCGCGCACCTCGGCCACCTCCAGCACGTGGTTCTCCACCAGCAGCACCGCGCTCATTTCCTCTTTGCGCTGTTCCACTAGCTCCACGATGCGGTTCCACCTGCCCAGGGGAAAGAGAGTGACTTGAGGAGGACAGGGACTCCTCTTGGGCGCGGAGGGCCCGCCGACCCAGGGTAGAATCCAGGCCCAAGCCACCCAGCCACTGTGTGACCTCAGAAAGTTTCTCCAGTTTCTGCCGGTGTAAAATGGAACCCTACGCAGCACTTTTGCTTAGGGCAGCCATTCTCAACATGTAATCTGATAGAGGACAAAACTATCTTCATAAAAATGTGTTAAGACGCCATTTGCTTTTTCACTCTCATTCTTTCCCGAGTGTTCAGTGGAGTTTTCCAGAGGCGGCAGGAGAGACTGAGAGCAGAAGCCGACTCTGATTTAAGAGAAGCCCAGCTGCCATCTCTTAAACCAGACTTTAAAGAGATTTGCAAAGGTACGAAACAATGCCACTCTTAGTACATTTTGTGTTATGAAAAGTTATTTTTAATAAAAAAGTTATATTAACACGTTAGATATTTAGATTTAAAAAAATTTTTTTAAGACGTGAGATCTCACTATGTTGCCCAGGCTAGAACGCAGTGGCTATTCATGAACTCGTTTATGGCACACTGAAGCCTCCAATTCGCAGGCTCAAGCGGTCCTCCCACCTCAGCCTCACAGGTCTAACAGGCACGCACCACTCCCAGTGTATTGTTATTTTTAAATAATGTTTTCAAATTTCTCAGCCGGGTGCAGTGGTTCACACCTGTAATCCCAGCACTTTGGAAGACGGAAGCAGGTGGATCGCTTGAGCTCAGGAGTTGGAGAGCAGCCTGGGCAACATGGTGAGACTCCTAAAATACAAAAATTAGCTGGGCGTGGGGGTGCACACCTATGGTCCCAGCTACTTGGGAGGCTGAGATGGGAGGATTGCTGGAGCCTGCGAAGTCGAGGCTGCAGTGAGCCATGATTGTGCCACTGCACTCCAGCCTGGGTGACAGAGTAATGAGACCCTGTCTCAAAATAAATAAATAAAAATAAAAACATTTTAAATTTTCTCAGTACTAAGTTCTAATATAGTAAATAGCAATAGATATGACCCACTAAAACAAGCTCTTGGGGTCCTCAATAGTTTGGGTTTTTTAAATTTTGTTTTCTTTTTTAGACAGAGTCTTGCTCTGTTGCCCAGGCTGGAGTGCAGTGGCACGATCTCAGCTCACTGCAACCTCCGCCTCCCAGGTTCATGGGATTCTCCTGCCTCAGCCTCCCAAGTAGCTGGGATTACAGGCGTGCACCACCACACCCGGCTAGTTTTTATATTTTTAATAGAGATGGGGTTTCATCACATTGGCCAGGCTGGTCTCAAACTCCTGACCTCAAGTGATCTGCTTGCCTCGGCCTCCCAAAATGCTAGGATTACAGGCGTGAGCCACCATGCCCTGCCTGTTTCTTGCATAAAGCCATTATGATTCTCTAAATATCTTGTCCATTTATTAGTGTATTTAACTGTCTTTCTGCCCCCTCTAGAATGGACACACCATGAGGACAGAGATTAGGACTCTGAAATCAGGCAGACCCGAGTTCAAGTTCTGCTCTGGCCAGATTTGCCATGTGACCTTGGGCAAATCATTTCCTTCTCTGATCTTCAGTTTCCTCATCTGGAAAATGGGGATAATAAAGTCCACTTCATTGAGTGTGTAACGAGATCATGTGGCTAAAGCACTTGGCATATAGATCTCTCTACATGCTGTAAATCGTTATGATTGTAGTTATTTTTTTAGGCCTGGATGCTTTGCGATGGTCTTGGCTACAGAGGTTTTAAAATCCCTGGATATTGGAATCTTGCAGCACAGAGTCAAGAGCGTAGTCTTTGGGTGGGGCAGAGTGGCTCATGCCTGTAATTCCAGCACTTGCGGAGGCCAAGGCAGAAGATCACTTGAGCCCAGGAGTTCGAGACCAGTCTGGGCAACAGAGTGAGACCCCATCTGTACAAAAAATACAAAAATTAGCCGGGTGCAGTGGTGTGCATCCATAGTCCCACTACTCAAGAGGCTGAGGCAGGAGGATTTCTTGAGCTCGGGTCGGGGGCGGTGAAGGCTGTAGTGAGCCATGATCGTACCACTGCACTCCAGTCTGGGCGAAAGAGCAAGACCCTGTCTCAAGAAAGAAAAAAAAAAAAAGAGCACAGTCTTTGAAGTCAAACATATCCATCTTCAAAGCCCGGTTTGATCCCCTAACTTGCTGTGTAACCTTGGGCCTCCATCTTCGCCTCTCTGAGATCCAGTTTTCTCCTCTCTAATGTGGGGTAGTTTCCACCTCATAGTGTTACCAGGAAGACTGGATATATTAGATAAACAGCTACAGCTCAGGATTCAGCCAGAACTGTATTTGACTCCTACTTATAGACTGAGTAATCTTGGATAAGGAGTTCACCTTTTTGGACTTGTATCTTCATCTATGAACCCCACCTGCACTGGGAGAATTGCTGGTAGTATTCCAGAGGTACTGATATTAGTTTGTTACTTATCTTAAAGAGTTCTGGGCTAGGAGCAGTAGCTTACACTGTAATCCCAGCTCTTTGGAAGGCCAAGGTGGGAGGAGGCCAGGAGGTTTTTGTTTGTTTGTTTGTTTGTTTGTCTGTTTTGGTATAGATTCTTGCTCTGTCACCTAGGCTGGAGTGCAGTGGTGTGATCTTGGCTCACTGTAGCCTCTGCCTCCCGGGTTCAAGCAATTCTTCTGCCTCAGCCTCCTGAGTAGCTAGGACTACAGGCACATGCCACCATGCCCGGATAATTTTTGTATTTTTAGTAGAGATGGGGTTTCACCATATTGGTCAGGCTGGTCTCGAACTCCTGACCTCAGGTGATCCACCTGCCTTGGCCTCCCAAAGTGCTGGGATTACAGGTGTGAGCTACCACGCCCAGCCGAGCCCAGGAGTTGTAAGACCAGCATGGCCAACACAGTGAGACCCTGTCTCTACAAAAAAAATTTTTTTTAATTAGCTGGGCATGGTGATATGCACCTGTAGTCCCAGTTCCTCAGGAGGCAGAGGTGGGAGGATCGCTTGAGCCTAGGTGTTGGAGGCTGCAATGAGCCATGATCATGCCACTGTATTCCAACCTGGGCAACAGAGCAAGATCCTGTCTCAAAAGAGAGAGAGAGAGAGTTCTGAATTCTAGGATCTTTACTATGGAAATTGGGATATTGGGAATTTTTTTTTTTTTTTTTTTGAGACAAGGTCTGGCTCTATTGCCCAGGCTGGAGTGCAGTGGCACAATCTCTGCTCACTGCAATCTCTACCTCCTGGGCTCAAGGCATCCTCCCAACTCAGCCTCCCATGTAGCTGGGACTACAAATGTGCACCACCATGCTTGGCTAAATTTTGTATATATATATACATATATATAGTGTGTATATATATATACATATATATGTGTATATATACGTATATGTGTGTATATATACGTATATATGTGTATATATACGTATATATGTGTATATATACGTATATATGTGTATATATACGTATATATGTGTGTATATATATGTGTGTGTATATATATATTTTGTGTGTGTGTGTGTGTGTGTGTGTGTGCGCGCACGTAGAGAGAGAGACGGGGTTTCACCATGTTGCCCAGGCTGGTCTTGAATTCATGAGCTCAAGTGATCCACCCATCTCAGCCTCCTGAAGTGCTGGGATTACAGTATGAGCCACTGTGCCCGGAAGAATGTTGGGATACTTTAGAAAGGTATATAAAGTGCTTGGGAATACTCCTGGCAGATTGTAGATATCCAATACATTCTTTCTGGACAAATAAATGAACAGCCAACTGAAATGTTGTTTTAATTTTACCACGTCATCACCAGTATCAGGGATTATGATTTTTGGTCAACATTTTGTTGATTTATCGGGTGGCCATTATGATTCCAGGGGTTTGAGATTGCACATCTTGCTGTCCATGGCTGTGTGAGTGTGGAAGGGAAGGATGGGAGGGACTCCCAGCCCCAGGCCCTCCTACCTGCTGTTGAGGTGGTCCTGGCAGGAACGCACCTCATCTGAACTGGGGTGGCCTCCTTCCACCAGCTCCTGGACTGTGTGGTTCACGTCCAGAACGCGGCCCATCAGGCTGTTCATCTCTTGGTCCAGGCTCTCGAATCTGCAGGAGGATGGAGATGCTCAGACACCCGAACCCTGCGGACCTTGGTTTTATGAAATACCTTCTACTGGTTCTACTCCTAATTCTCAATCCACCCTTCTTTTCAGCCTCCTTTGTGGGCTCCTTCTCTTCTACTTGCTGCTTATTTTATTTAATTTAATTTAACTTATTTAATTTAATTTAATTAATTTATGTATGTATGTATTGAGACAGAGTCTCGCTCTGTCACCCAGGCTGGAGTGCAGTGGCGCGATTGTGGCTCACTGCAACCTCTGCCTCCCGGATTCAAGCGATTCTCATGTCTCAGCCTCCCATGTAGCTGGGATTACAAGCATGCGCCACCACGCCCAGCTAACTTTTCTATTTTTAGTAGAAACGGGATTTCACCATGTTAGCCAGGCTGGTCTCCAACTCCTGATCTTATATGATCCACCTGCCTTGGCCTCCCAAAGTACTGGGATTACAGGCGTGAGCCACCACGCCCAGCCTCTACCTGATGTTTAAATGTGAGATTCCTCAGCAGCAACTCCACCCTGAGCCCTCTGGGTTTTCCTTCACACCCTTCTTCAATGATTCCACCCAGCCCCACAGCCTTGGTCTTTGCCCCTGAACTCATGACAGTCACACCTCAGTCTCCAGCCTCAACCTCTTACCTTTTGAACCTGTCTTCGACCTCAAAGCCTACTGTATACCTTCTTGGGGCTATTCACACCCACCTGACTCAAATTTGTTCTTCCTCTGGGCCCCCATGTTGGGGACAGCACTGTCATCTGCCAGGCCAGAGCCCTGGGCTTTGTTTTGGAAAATCGCTCCAGCCCATCAGTCTCCATGGCCTGTTTACTTACCTCCCGCCCTGGTCTAATCTTGTTCCGCTCCATCTGGGTCCCCAGCCCAGTTGCCTCTCTGGGTTCCCAGCCACAACTCTTACCCGCTCCAACCTGCCCTCCACATGGCAGCCACTGAGGTCTACTTTAAGCTAGACATGGTCCTCCCATCTTTAAATCAATGTTTCAAAGAACTGGGCAACTGCAGGCACAGTAGGGGCAAGGAGCAGCCCTGTGTTTCCAGCAGTGCCCAGCACAAGACCTAGAAAGGCATAGGCACTCAGTAAACACCTGCTGAATGAATGTATGGATGAATAAGATGCTCAGACAGAGTGGTGCAGAGGGGGAATAGGCATTGTTCACCCACTAATTGAACAACTCATTGCTAAGTCAGCCAACAGACAAGTCAGTATACAATATGTCATGGGATGGTAAGTGCTACAAAGAAATGTAAAACAGGATGAAACAATGGAAAATCACAAGAGTCAGAGCTATTTTAGTAGCTAGGGAGGTGACATTTATGCAGAAGCAATGGGAGGCCTCCCAGCAGAGGGGCCAGGCTGAGGTGTCCCTGTAGAAGCATAGGTCGTTGATTTCATGCTTGGCGAATGTAAGCCTGGGTAACAAGAGCAAATGCTGGGGGAATGCTTCCTCTACCCCCAGGCATTTGCTTCGTATTCTGCATGTATGAACTCATTTACCGTTCATCACAAGCCTGGGTAGGGACTAATATCACCCCCATTATACAGGTGGGCAAGCTGAGGTTCAGGAAGATTAGGCAGGTTGCAGAACTGTCACAAAGCTGGCTATGGGTGAAGCAGGGATTGGAACTCCTAGTTCCAGCTGAGCAAACATGGGAACTGTTGAGCCAATGAAGGTGAGACTGGGTGCATGAGGAAGGGGACCCCGGAGTCCCACATGTGCGCGCTCACCGGTGCTGCACCACCTCGACGTCGTCGAGTGAATCCGGCACACGCATGGAGAGCAGCCATTGCTCCTTCTCGCCGATCCACAGCTCACACGCGTGCACCTCGCCAAACATGCGGTAGACAGCGAGCGCGTCCCGCAGCCACTGGCGCCTCAGCGCCGCCACTTCGGTCACCTCAGCGAACAACTGCTCTGCTTCCACCACGCGCACCTGCAGCGCCACCACCAGTGGCCCTGCGCCACTGGCACCCCCGAGTGTCGCCAGCTGGCGCCGCAGGCCGCTCACGGGCCCGCGATGTGCCTCCACCTCCCCGGTGAGCGCGCGGTGCTGGCGCGCCAGGCGGCGGCTGGAAGCTTCGTCGTGGCCGAAGTCACCGGCGGCTGCCAGGCGGTAAGCGTCGCGAAGCCAGTCCAGCAGCCCGTCGAGGTCAGCGCCGAACTGGTGCAGCGCCCGCGCCTCCTGCAGCCGCCGCTCTCGCCGCGCCGCCGCCTCTTCCAGCCTCTGCCAGCGGCGCCGGGCGCTCGCCGCGCGCTCCGCCAGGCCTACCAGGTGCACGGTGTCTGCTCCCGGGCCGACGGCACCGCCGGCCGCAACCAGCTCCTCGCCACACCGCAGGGCCTGCTGCAGCAACGCTCGCCGCCCGCCCAGCTCGCCCTGCAGGATCTTGTGCTGGGCCAGGAGGCGCGCTGTGCTGGACAGGTCATGCGCGCCGCCCGCTGTTCCCGCTGCGCCCGCTGCGCCCGCCGCACCGCCGCCGCCCGCAGCCTCCAGGAGACGCTCCTTGTCGCGCGCCCAGCTCTCGGCCTCCTCCAGCTCCTGCAGCAGCGCCCACAGGCTCCGCGAAGCCTCCAGCTCCGCGCGTCGCCGCGCTGCCTGCTCCTGCAGCTCCGCCAGGCAGCCGTGCACGTGGTTCACGCGGTTGCAGATGACCTGCGGGTCGCAGGGCTGGTAGCCTGAGCCAGGAGAAGGGGAGCATCCAGGATTGGTCACAAGCCAAGGGGCGCCCAAGAGAGGATGGTGCGGGCTACCTACCCTGTCCTTGGTGTGACTTCATCAGATGCCGGGTCACGTGGCTCCTCCTCCAGGCAGCCTTCCCTGACACCCCAAGGCTGGAGCAGGCTCCTCCTCGACCCTCTCAGGCTTCTCTGCTTCCCCATCCTAGCCCTGACTACTCTGTGTTGTCATTGCCTTGTCCTGTCTCCCCCACTGGACTGAGAGCTCCTTAAGGGCAGGACCTGGGTCTGTCACACCCTATCCCAAACACTGCCCAGCAAAGGGTGGAGCCCAGAGCTGTAGCCTAGTGAATGTAGTGATTTGTTGACTGAATGATGGATGGATTCAGAGCATCTCAGATTCTGTATATTTGAGTGAAAATTGTGCTTATGTCAGAACTGAGTCAAATGAAACTTCTTTGTTTTTTGTTTGTTTGTGTGTTTGAGACAGATTCTTACTCTGTTGCCCAGGCTGGAGTGCAGTAGCGCGATCTCGGTTCACTGCAACCTCCACCTCCAGGTTTAAGCGATTCTCCTGCCTCAGCCTCCCCAGTAGCTAGGATTACAGGCGCCCGCCACCACGCCTGGCTCATTTTTGTATTTTTAGTAGAGACGGGGTTTCACCATGCTGGCCAGGCTGGTCTCAAACTCCTGACCTCCAGTGATCCACCCGCCTTGGCCTCCTAAACTGCTGGGATTACAGGCATGAGCCACTGCCACCGGCCAACTTCTCTTTTCTTAAACCATGTTTCTAGGTTCCCTCTGTCATCCTCTGTTGCATTATCTATCAATCCCAGTGGTTATCTGCACTCCTTTTTCTTTTTAAAATAGAGACAGGATCTCACTATGTTGGCCAGGCTGGTCTTGAACGGCTGGCCTCAAGCAATCCTTCCACTTGGCCTCCCGAAGTGTTGGGATTATAGGCATGAGCCACTGTGCTTAACCCCGAACTCCCTCTTTTTCCTTAAATAGTTCACCTTCCTCCTGGATGGCTAGTTGGCGACTAGAAAACAGTGAAGTTAATTTAATGGGTCACAGCCAGCATTTGTTTGGTGGAATAGAATAGAAGGAACGGAAAATATCACAATGCAAAACAAGGTCGGGGGAGTATTTTTGTTGTTGTTGCTGTTGTTGTTTGGTATTGTTTGTTTGTTTGATTGAGACAGAGTCTCTCACTGTCGCCTGGGCTGGAGTGCAATGGCTTGATCTCAGCTCACTGCAGCCTCCACCTCCCAGGTTGATGTGATTCTCCTGCCTCAGCCTCCAGAGTAGTTGGGATTACAGGCGCGTGCCACCATGTCCAGCTAATTTTTTTTTGTATTTTTAGTAGAGATGGGGTTTCGCTATGTTGGCCAGACTGGTCTCGAACTCCTGACCTCATGATCCGCCCCCCTCAGCCTCCTAAAATGCTGGGATTACAGGCCTGAGCCACCGCGCCCAGCCTGGAAGTATTGTTTTATAAAACCTCTGTGTTAGCCTGTGTGCCCATGTATGCATGTGAACTGTGAGTCATGAGGTAAGTGTGTTTATTTATTTATTTATTTATTTTAGAGATAGGGTATCACTCTATCACCCAGGCTGGAGTGCAGTGGCATGATCATGGCTCACTGCAGCCTCCAACTCCTGGGCTCAAGTAATCCTCCCGCCTCAGCTTCCTGAGTAGCTGGGACTATGGGCCCACAACACCATGCCTGGCTAATTTTTTTTCTAAGTTTCTTGTAGAAATAGAGTCTCGCTGGCTGGTCTCCAATATCTGGGCTGAAGAAATTCACCCACCTTGGCCTCCCAAAGTACTGGGATTACAGGCGTGAGCCACTGCCTGGCTGTGTATTTCTTACTGGATCATAAAAGTGAGACACTGCCCTATGTGGAATGCGGGATTTCTGTAATTCTGGACATTCGCTGATGTTGACTCAAACCACAAGGTATCCAACTGAATAATAGTTACAATAACAACAGCTTCTTGCTAGGCGCAGTGGCTTACACCTGTAATCCTAACTTTGGGAGGCCGAAGCAGGCAGATCACTTGAGGTCAGCAGTTTGAGACCAGCCTGGGTAACACGGCAAAACCCCATCTCTACCAAAAATACAAAAATTAGCTGGGCATGGTGGCGTGCACCTGTAGTCTCAGCTACTCGGGAGGCTGAAGTGGGAAGATCACTTGAGCCAGGGATGTTGATGCTGCAGTGAGCCGAGATAGTGCCACCGTACTCCAGCCTGGGCAACAGAGTGAGACTCTGTCTTAGAAAACAAAACAACAACAACAAAAAAAAAACAGCTTCCATGTACCCAGCCCTTACTCTGACACAATGTCATTTGATTCTCACAACCATCCTATGAGGCCAGTGTCCTTATCAGCCCCATTTTCCAGATTAAGAGACTGAGCCTCAGAGAGGGGAAGGATTGCCCTAGGATCAGCTAAGAAGTGGCCCATCAGGAGCTCACACTCTGGACCACCCATCAGGAAGCGCTGCCTCCCATCCCCATGACAACGCACTCCCCACACTCGCACTCCCCACACTGGCCCCTCTGCTGTATTCTCGGAGCTGCTGATTGTCACAGGAGCCGAGAATTCACAAGGCGAGGGCAAAGGGAGCTTCCTGAGACAAACCTAGCTAAGGTGAAGGAGAGGGTCCCAACAACCTCCCCTGGAGGTGAGATGGGGATGGGAGGGAGCTGAGCCAGGGTCAGGATGTCCACACCAGGGCGTGGAGGGAAACTTCAGCATTTGCATTTAGGATGTGACCCAGGTCGGCTAGGGTGAGAAACTTCCCCATCAACCTGCAAGCCAGACAGGTTCTTCCTTTTCGAATAATGCTCCAAGATTCCAAAGGGCTGTGGGCTCCAGATAAAGGAGGAGAACATCTTAATGGAGAGATACGGACCAGCCTCAAGACCCTCTTATCAGCTCCATGGCCTGGGCCTCAGTTTCCTCATCAGTGAGAAAGAAATAAAGCAGCCCCAACTGCCGTCAGCACTCAGGGCTAGCCATCGTGTTCTGAGGAGTATAAATAATCTCACAGGCCAAGCGCAGTGCCTCACACCTGTAATCCCAGCACTTTGGGAAGACAAAGCGGGCAGATCACCTGAGGTCAAGAGTTTGAGACCAGCCTGACCAACATGGAGAAACCCAGTCTCTACTAAAAATACAAAATTAGCCGGACATGGTGGCGCATGCCTATAATCCCAGCTACTCGGGAGGCTGAGGCAGAAGAATCGCTTGAACCCAGGAGGCAGAGGTTGCAGTGAGCCGAGATCGCGCCATTGCAATCTGGCCTGGACAACAAGAGCAAAACTCCATCTCAAAAATAAATAAATAAGTAAAAATAATAATCTCACAGAAATGGCCAGGGACAATGGCTCACGTCTGTAATCCCAACACTCTGGGAGGTGGAAGCGGGAGGATTGCTTGAGCCCAGGAGTTCAAGACCAGCCTGGGTAACATAGAGAGATCAAGTGTCTAAAAAAAAAAAAAAAAAAAGCAATAAACAACAACAATAATAATAAAAAAAACTCACAGAACGCTCATATCAGATGGGGCCACTCTGACCACGATGGAGTAGGACAAAACCAAGCTCGCTCCATAATCTTGCCTGAGCACAGACAAAATCAAGGTCACTGTGCAAACCACAAAAATGACCACGCATCCCCTCGCCGGCTCAGATGAATGACAGCTGCCAATGAATGCAACAGCCTCCTTCTCTTCCTCCCACCACCTAGATCAAAATGATTAAGACCCCCAATCACCTAGTCACCCCCATATTCTGACAGCATCCAATCCACAGCAAAACTCACTACACTGAATCATCTTCCAAATCACCTAACACAAGCCCAAATCCTACAATAAGCCACCAGTCATATATATATATATATTTCTTTGAGATGAGGTCTCGCTCTGTTGCCCAGGCTGGTGTGCAGTGGCACGATCTAGGCTCACTGCAACCTCCGCCTCCCAGATTCAAGCGATTCTCCTGCCTCAGCCTTCTGGGTTGCTGGGATTACAGGCTCATGCCACCACACCAAATTAATTTTTTGTATTTTTAGTAGGGATGGGGTTTCACCATGTTGGCCAGGCTGGTCTCGAACTCCTGACCTCATGTGATCCACCTACCTTGGCCTCTCAAAGTGCTGGGATTACAGGCGTGAGCCACCGCGCCTAGCCCCCCATCATACTTTCTTGCTGAGAAGCCCCACAGCTCCCCATGGTGGGTGTAAAGAGCCACCAAACCCAACTTCGTTTGACCACAGAGGGACTCCTGGTGGTCTCTGGCTGGAGGGCATTGACATAAGTAAGACAGGAACCTTATTAGAGCCAGTCTTGGTTTTGCCTATCAGCATCCATGTCCCATCCATATCTGGTAAGGCCGTCCCTCTCTCCTCTTTTTCAGTCTAAGCCTTTGTAATGGGCTGACCCCACTCCTGGCCCTGGGGTAGGCAGGTCACATGCATGTGGCCGATTAGATCACTGCATGCCCTGGGGCCACAATGATTGGCTGAGCAATGATGGAACCCACTGTGAGCCAATGCAAGCTCTCCTAGGACTTTTTGTCAGAACTCTTGGGAGAAAGGGGCCTGGGTCCCATTGGCTCTGCTAACCTGTTAGGCTGTATACCTGGGGCTGAATGATCCCAGATTTATACCACAAGGGACAGGACTGCTCAACAGTGACACTAACACAAAGACTAGTGATGGAGAGAGACGAGAGAGATGGAGTCTTTTGTTTTTGTTTTGAGAAGGAGTCTCGCTCTGTCACCTAGGCTGGAGTGTGCAGTGGTGCGATCTCGGCTCATGGCAACCTCTGCCTCCTGGGTTCAAGCAATCCTCCCACCTCAGCCTCCTGAGTAACTAGGATTACAGGTGTGCACCACTATGTCCGGCTAATTTTTTTGTATTTTTAGAAGAGACGGAGTTTCACCATGTTGGCCAAAGCCTGACCTCAAGTGATCCGCCTGCCTCGGCCTTCCAAAGTGTTAGGATTACAAGCATGAGCCACCGTGCCTGGCCTGAGTCTTTTTCTTTTTTTTTTCTTTTTTGATATAGAGATGGGGTCTCACTATGTTGCCCAAAACTCCTGGCCTCAAGCAATCCTCACATCTTTGCCTCCCAAAGCTCTGGAATTACAGGCATGAGACACCATGCCTGGTCTCAGATGGAGTCCTAAAAGCACCCTTGAGCCATACCTGGATCCAGCCATGCCTGAGGTAAAACCCACCCTTCCCCAGACTTTTTTTTTTTTTATTTTATTTTTTTGCTGACAGGGTCTCAGTCCAGTTGCCCAGGCTGGAGTTTAGTGGCACAATCTTGGCTTACTGCAGCCTCGACTTCCCAGGCTCAGGTGATTCTCCCACCTCAGCCTCTGCAGTGGCTGGGACTACAGGCGTGCACCACCATGCCTACCTAATTTTTTGTATTTTTGGTAGAGACGGGGTTTCGCCATGTTGACTAGGCTTCCCTGAACATTTTGGTTACATTAGCCAATCCACTCCTTTTCACCTTAAGCCATTTGAACTGAGTTTCTATCACTTGTGTTAAATAGGCCCTGATTAACATTACTTAGCACAAGTTTTCTTTTTGGTTTTTTAAGAGACAAGATCTCACTGTGTCACCCAGGCTGGAGTGTAGTGGCATGATCATGGCTCACTGAAGCCTCCAATTCCTGGCCTCAAGTGAGCCTCCTGCCTCAGCCTCCAAATAGCTGGCACTACAGGCTTGTATCACCGTGCCTGGCTAATTTATTTATTTATTTATTTTGGTACAGATGATGTCTTTCTATGTTGGCCAGGCTGGTCTTGAATTCCTGGGCTCAAGTGATCCTCCTGCCTCGGCCTCCAAAAGGGCTGGAATTATAGGCATGAGCCACCGTGCCCAGCCCACACAAGTCTTTTTAAATGGTATTCGTTGAGATCAATCTGTGAAGGGCTTGGCACATAACAAGTGCTCAATAAATGTGGGTTATTACTGCAGAATCTAAAGCAGGAAGAGGTCGAGTGGCCCATCCTGCCACTCAGGGCACTGATTCTCCCTATGACTTCCCCAGTGGAATGTAATCTTAGGCTCTGCTTAAATGCCTCCAAGGACAAGGAGCTCACTCTTTCCTTCTCTCAGGAGTCACTCTTGCCTCTATTAGCACCAGTCCTGACAGTCTCCACCCATAGCCCCAGCCCCAGCCCCAAGACTCACCCTGCAGCTGGGAGAAGCGCAGGGCAGCGGCATTGAGAGCCTCCACCCGCTCGCTCTGGGCGGCAATGTCTCCCTCCAGCAGTCCATGCTTCTGCAACAGGTCGTCTGCCTCCACCAGGTGCTGCCCACACTCCCGGGACAGCAGCTGAGCCTACAAGCGGGGACAGCACTGAGCACACCTCTGGCACTGCCCTGGGCCACTCACCTCTCCCCCATTGCCTATGCCAGCCCCTGCTACTCTGCACCATCACTCCCGACTCTGACCCTCTTGGAGAGATATGGACCAGCCTCAAGACTCTCTTACCAGCTCTGTGGCCTGGACCTCGGTTTCCTCATCAGAAAGAAAAAAGCTGAGCCCCAGCTGCTGTCAGCTCTCACAGCTAGCCATGGTGTTCTGTCTCTGTCTCCCTCTCTCTCTACCAGTCTCTCTCTGAATGTTTCCATCTCTCGTGGACTCCACATTTCTGGGCTCTGTCTCTGTCACAGTGGCTCACTCTCTGCCTCCATGTCTTTCTTATCTATACATCTTTGTCTCCATCTTTCTCTGCCTCTCTTTCTACATTTCTACCCTTTTCTCTTTCTCTCCATCTCCTGTTCACCTTCCTGTCTGTGTCTCCTGTTCACCTTTCTTTCTTCCTTCCTTCCTTCCTTCCTTCCTTCCTTCCTTCCTTCCTTCCTTCCTTCCTCCCTTTCATTCTTTTTTCTTCTTCTTTTTTTGAGACAGAGTCTGCCTCTGTCACCCAGGCTGGAGTGCAGTGGCGCGATCTCAGCTCACTGCAAACTCCACCTCCCAGGTTCAAGTGATTCTCCTGCCTCCCGATTAGATGTACTTCGCCCGGCTAATTTTTGTATTTTTTAGTAGAGATGGGGTTTCGCCATGTTGGCCAGGCTGGTCTTGAACTCCTGACCTCAGATGATCTGCCTGCCTCAGCCTCCCAAAGTGCTGGGATTACAGGTGTGAGCCACCGTGCCCGGCTTCTTCTTTTTTTTTTTTTTTTTTTTTTGAGACAGGGTCTCACTCTGTCATCCAGGTTGAAGTGTAGTGGTGCAATCATGGCTCACACAGCCTCAACCTCCTGGGCTCAAGCGATCCTCCCACTTCAGAGTAGCTGGGACTACAAGCGCACACCACCACGCCTAGCTAATTTTTTTTTTTTTTTTTTTTGTACAGACAGGATCTCACTATGTTGATCAGGCTGGTCTCAAACTCTGGGGCTCAAGCAATCTGCCTACCTCGGCCTCCCAAAGTGCTGGTACCGCAGGTGAGAGCCACCATGCCCAGCTGGCTTCTATCTTTCTTGTCTCATCTCTCTCTAGATCTGGTAGGTCTCTCTCTCTCTCTCTTAAATTGATTCCATCTTCCTGTATCTTTCTCTGTAGTCATGTAGATTTCCATGTCACCTTTGTGTCTGCCTTCTCCTCTCTCTGTCTCTCTGATTTCCTCTCTCTCAAACTGTCACTATCTCTCTGTCTGCATCCCTGGTTTACTCTGTTTCTATATCTCTATGTCTTTTTTCATTTCTCTCTTTTTTTTTGAAACAGAATCAAACTCTGTCACTCAGGCTGGATGGAGTGCAGTGGCACCACCTTGGCTTACTGCAGCCTCTGCCTCCTGGATTCAAGCAATTCTTGAGCCTCAGCCTCCCAAATAGCTAGGACTACAGGCACACGCCACCACGCCCAGCTAATTGTTTTTTGTTTTTTTTGTTTTTTTTTTTGAGACGGAGTCTCGCTCTGTCGCCCAGGCTGGAGTGCAGTGGCGGGATCTCGGCTCCCTGCAAGCTCCGCCTCCCGGGTTCACGCCATTCTCCTGCCTCAGCCTCCCAAGTAGCTGGGACTACAGGCGCCCGCCACTACGCCCGGCTAATTGTTTTGTATTTTTAGTAGAGATGGGGTTTCACCATGTTGGCCAGGCTGGTCTGAAACTGCTGACCTCAAGTGATCTGCCCTCCTTGGCCTCCCAAAGTGCTGGTATTACAGGTGTGAGCCACCGTGTCCAGCATGTTTCTATTTCTCTCTATTTGTCTCTGTCTCTTTCTCATTCTGTGTTTCTTTGTCTGCCTCTCTTGTCCATCTCTGTATCTTTCTCTCCCTCTCTCTCTTGTTCTCTCTTTTTGTCTCCCTGGCTTTCTCTCTATCTTCTTCTATCTCTGCCCTTCCCTCTCCATCTCCAGCTGTCTGACAACTCTTTCAGCGTCTGCATCCTCCCCTCCCTCCTGGCACTCCACCCGCATCCCCGCCCCCCCGCCGGCACCTGCATCTCCTCCATCCAGTCCACCATGTACACCATCTCCTGGAAGACCTTCTGCAGGGCAAGGTTCTGCTCAAGTCGTGTCCGCCGGGCACCCACAAGCCCAGTTAGCAGGGCCCACTGGCGCAGGACGCTGTCACGCTGGGCTGCCACCCGCCGGATATCGTAGTAGCCTTCGGCTGCCAATGCCTGGGCCAGCTCCGCCACACCCTGCACCCGCTCCTCGTAGGCCGCAATGTCTGCCTCGATCGCTTCGTGTTTCTTCATGGCTGCCTCCACTGCGGGCAGCTCATACCCAAAGTTGTCCTGGGGCAGTGAGCCAGACACTCACCCATGCTGCCTCAGCAGTCCACCTGTTACCTTGACCCTGTGTGACCCTGGGGACTCCCCACTCCATTACCTTGGAGACTGGCCCTGCCCTCCCTAGTTATCCTGGAGACCAGCCTCATCCTCCCCTGTTACCCAGGTAACCTGGAGACCAGCCCCACCCTCCATTGTTACCTTGGAGACCAGCCCCACCCTCCCCAGTTACCCTAAAGACCAACCCCCCATCCCCTGTTGCCCTGGAGACCAGCCCATCTTCCACAGTTATCCTGGAGACCAGCTCCACCCTCCCCTGTTGTCCTGGAGACCAGCCCAATCTTCCCCAGTTACCCTGGAGACCAGACCCACCCTCCCCTGTTGCCCTAGAGACCAACCCCACCTTCCCGTTTCCCCAGAGACCAGCCCCACTCTCTCCAGTTACCCTGGAAACAAGTCCCACCCTCCTGTTACATCTCTAACCTTAAACTTGTTACCCAGGAAGGAGGCCCATGCTTCCCCTGTCCTGGAGATTAGGGACCAGGTTTACCTGACTCTGTTACTTAGGAAACCAATTCTATCCTTCTGAGTTACCCTAGACACAAGATACAACCTCCCTTGTCACTTAAAACACTCCCCCATTCCTGAAAAGATGAATTCTGCCCTCTCTAGTTACCCTGGAGACCAGCCTCACTCTCCCATTACCCTGGAGATCAGGCCCATTCCCCTCACCCAACAATCACTTGGAAGGCCAAGTCTCCCATCCCCATCCTCATTTATCACCAGGAGACTAATCTAACTCTTCCCTGTTGCCTAGAAGATCAAGTCTCCCTCTCTGGTCCCAGGACCATCAGCCCCGCCCTCCGTCCCTTTACCCTGGAGCCAAGCCCTACACCTTGTACCTGGGAGACCAGACGCTGGTTCTCATTCAGCCAGCTCTCCCTCATAGCCACCTTGTGGTCAAACCTCTGTGCCAGTAGTTCCAGCTTCTCCTGCCGAATCAGCTCAGCCCGTAGGGCAGCCTCCCGCTCATGCTCAGCCTTCTCCAGCTCACCCCATGCCTGCAGGAGATGGGAGGAGGCACTCAGACTCTGACAGCTCCCCACAGTTTAATGGTCTTGACTTAGTCTGAGGTCACTCATAGCATTATGGCAACTTCATGCAAATTGGAAAAAATATTGCTTCCTTATGACACTTTACTACTGAAAAACTGTCAGAATGAATATCTAATCCATCATGTCTACAATGTGAATGATTCCCTTGAGCAGTGTGCAACCTATACAACTCCACAGTGCAACCCCGCCTCTCCCCTGCATCCCCGGCCTCACCTTGTCAATATCCCAGATGCCACAGCCCTCCCGAGGCACAAAGAGGCGACGGTTGCAGGCACGCAGTTTGCTCTGGATGCTGAAGAGCAGCACCTCTAGGTTCCCCTTCTCCTGGAACCTGAAGGGGCATGAGCTCAGGAGCCCTGCCGTCATGCCACCCCTGCCCACCCTCCCTCCAGAGCTGGGCCTCACTTGACAGGCTTCTCCAGCGTGCAATAGGCCGTGAAAGCCTGGAGTTGCTGCTGCACCCCACTTAAGGAGTTGGCAAATTTCTGATTGCTGATGAGGCCCACGGTGCGGTGGATCCAGGCCAGCAGCTCAGCCGCCAGCTCCTCGTAGCGTTCTATGATCTTCCCCACCTCCAATACCTGGTCCAAGACCTGACACAGCAGAGGAAGGGGGGTCAGCCTCATCCCACCCGTGCCTGCCACCAGCTTCCAGCTTCCCACTCACCCACTCCTTGGCTCCTTATACCTTCCCGATACGCTTCCCCTCCACAGCCAGAGCCTTCATCTTGGAGAAATAGTGGTAGAAAGAGACCACGTAGGTGATGATGGACTTCTCATCTGGAGCCTCCATGTTCACATCTGGAAGCAAGAGGGAGTGGGGAAACAAGACAGTGGGCACTTTGACAGAGTGCTTGAAGGTATTGGATGGAGGGATGGAGAAGCCACTCTCACTAGCTGTGTGACCTTGGGCAAGATAATTAACCTCTCTGTTCCTCAGGTTTTGTATCCGTCAAATAGAAATCTACCTCCTGGAATTAAATAGTGCCTGACACATATAAACCACCGCAGAGAAATAAGCTATACTTTTCTTTTTCTTTTCTTTTTTTTTTTAAGATGGAATTTTGCTCTTGTTGCCCAGGCTGGAGTGCAATGGCACGATCTCAACTCACTGCAACCTCTACCTCCCAGGTTCAAGTGATTCTTCTGTCTCAGCCTCCCAAGTAGCTGGGGTTATGGGCATGCACCACCATGCCTGGCTAATTTTATATTTTCAGTAGAGACAGGGCTTCACCATGTTGGTCAGGCTGGTCTCGAACTGCTGACCTCAGGTGATCCGCCCACCTCGGCCTCCCAAAGTGCTGGGATTACAGATGTGAGCCACCGCACCTGGCCTATATTTGTTTCTTGAACACACCTTTCTACCTTCCACCTCAGGGCCTTTGCATGTGCTGTTCTCACTGTCTGGAGCACTGTTCCTCTTCTGTGTTCCTAATTCCCACTTATTCTTCAGAGCTCAACTTTTTACTTTTTTTTTTTTCAAGAGATGGAGTCTGGCTCTCTTGTCCAGGCTGATTGTGCAGTGGTGCAATCATAGCTCACTGCAGCCTCGAGCTCCTAGGTTCAAGCAATCCTCCCACCTCAGCCTCCTGAGTAGTCAGAACTAAAGGTGTGAACCACCATGCCTGGCTCAACTCAAATTTCCTTAGACAAGCCTCCATGTTCACTCTGTCTATAGTTGATAATCCTCATGTTATTCTCCTCTTAGCATCTTATGATGTCCTTCCCAGAATGTATCACAATTTGTAATTACATATTCACTTATGTGATTATGTCATTATCTAGAGCTTGAGCTTCATGAGGACAAACACTATGCCTGTTTCCTTTCTTTTCCTTTCCTTTCCTTTCCTTTCTTTTCTTTTTCTTTCTTTTTTTTTGAGACAGTCTCAAGCTATTGCCCAGGCTGGAGTGCAATGGCGTGATCTTGGCCCACCACAACCTCTGCCTCCCAGGTTCAAGCAATTCTCATGCCTCAGCCTCCCAAGTAGCTGAGATTACAGGCACACACCACCACGCCCGGCTAATTTTTTGTAATTTTTTAAATAGACTTTTTATTTTTTATAAAACATAGACAGGGTCTCTCTGTGTTGCCCAGGCTAGTCTTGAACTCTTGGGCTGAAACAATACTCCTGCCTCAGCTTCCCATAGTGCTGGGACTATAGGCGTGGGCCACTATAGGCGTGGGCCCAGCCGTATGCCTATCTTCTTTATCACTGTTCTGTCTTACCCAGCACACAGTAGGTGCTAAATTAAAATTTAGTTAGCTTGCAAATTGTGCACAAGGCTTGATGTCAAGAACATAGGCTTTGGAGGCAGCATGCACTTGGATCCCAGTTCAACACTTACTCACTGCATGTCCTTAGAAAATAACCTAGCTTCTCTAAGCCTCAGTTTCCCCATTGTTATAATAAAGATTATCATGGTTCCTGCCTCCTGGGAACAATGTAAGTATTAGAAAGACTAGCCTGGCACAGAGGGGAAACTCAACAAATTCTAACATCACTTTAATTGGTTGTTGTTTTTTGCTTTTTGAGTTGGGATCTGGGGTGCAGTGTTGTAATCAGAGCTCACTGCAGCCTCGAACTCCTGGGCTCAAGTGATCCTCCTGCCTTGGCCTCCTGTGTAGCTGGGACTACAGGTTTGTAGATATGGGATTTCACTACATTGCCCAGGCTGGTCCTGAACTTCTGGCCTCAAGCGATCCTCCTGCCTTAACCTCCCAAAGTGCTGGGATTACAGGCACAAGCCATCACCATGACTGAGTGATATCATTTTAATTTACCCACTGGATGCACAACAGTATACCTGGCCTTTATTCTTCACTGCCTTGTCCAACTGACATCCATTAGCACCTACTACGTACCAGGCACTGAGCACAGGATACAGCTATAAGAGGCAGGGTAGAGGACTGATTAAGACCATGAATTCTGGAGCCATAAGGTCTGGTTTCCTGATTTTCAGTGTGATGCTGGGCAAGTGACAACATCCCTGAGCTGTCATTCTCATCACTTTGGAAGACAGGTTAAGCCAGGCATGTGGCTCGGGCCTGTAATCCCAGGCACTCTGGGAGGCCAAGGTGGGAGGATCGCTTGAGTCCAGTAGTTTGAGACCAGCCTGGGCAACATAGCGAGACCCCACCTCTACCAAAAAAAAAAAAATCAAAAATTAGCTGAGCATGGTCGTGCACGCCTATAGCCCCAGCTACTCTGGGGGCTGAGGTGAGAGGATTGCTTGAGCACAGGAGGTTGAAGCTGTAGTGAGCCAAGATTGTGCCACTGCACTCCAGCCTGGGCAACACAGTGAGACCCCATTTCAAACATAATAATAATAATTAAACAGGGTTTAAATATTAAATTCAGTTGGATAAAAAAATAAATAAGTAAGCCAGGTGTGATGGCTCACGCCTGTAATCCCAGCTCTTTGGGAGGACGAGGCAAGCAGATCACTTGAAGTCAGGAGTTTGAGACTAGCCTGGCCAACAATGGTGAAACCCTGTCTCTGCTAAAAATACAAAAAAAAAAAAAAATTAGCCAGGCTTGGTGGCGTGCACCTGTAGTCCCAGTTACTTGGGAAGCTGAGGCAGGAGAATCACTTGAACCCGGGAGGCGGAGGTTGCAGTGAGCTAGGATCGCCCCCACTGCACTCCAGTCTGAGTGACAGAGCGAGGCTCTGTCTCAAATAAATAAATAAATGAACATAAGAACAATAAATAAATAAAACGTCCAGGCACGGTGGCTCACACCTATAATTCCAGCACTTTAGGAGGCTAAAGTGGGCAGATCACCTGAGGTCAGGAGTTTGAGACCAGCCTGGGCAACATGATGAAACCCCACCTCTACTAAAAATACAAAAATTAGCCAGGTGTGATGGTGCACACCTGTAGTCCCAGCTACTTGGGAGGCTGAGATGGGAGAATCACTTGAGCCTGTGAGGTGGAGGTTGCTGTGAGCCGAGATCATGGCACTGCACTCCAGCCTGGGCAACAGAGCCAGACCCCGTCTCAAAAATTAAATAAATAGGCCGGGCATGGTGGCTCATGCCTGTAATCCCAGCACTTTGGGAGGCCAAGGAGGTGGACCATAAGGTCAGGAGATCGAGACCATCCTGGCTAACACGGTGAAACCCCGTCTCTACTAAAAATACAAAAAATTAGCCGGGCGTGGTGGCGGGCGCCTGTAGTCCAAGCTACTTGGGAGGCTGAGGCAGGAGAATGGTGTGAACCCAGGAGGTGGAGCTTGCAGTGAGCCGAGATCATGCCACTGCACTCCAGCCTGGGCGACAGAGTGAGACTCCATCTAAAAAAATAAATAAATAAATAAATAAATAAATAAATAAATAAATAAATAAAATAAAATAAAACAGGGTTGATAAATTCTCTCTAACCAGGTCAGTGTGAAGATGAAAGTGAACAGCTCTGATAAGGTTCCCAGACATGTGTCTGGCACACAGTAGAGCTCAGAGGAAGGGAGCAGCTTTAATTTGGGATGGGAGATGGGTGTCAGGGCTGATCCTGGTTTGGGGCTGAGGCTGAAGTCAGGGATGGGATTAGGGATAGACTGGAAATGGAAAAGCAGCTGAGGATGAGGATGGAGTTGTGGGAGAGATAGACATGGGGATGGGCTAGGGCGAAATGAGTTTGGAAATGGATTAGGGTGGGGATAGGAATGGAGTTGGAGCCGAAGATGTGGTGGGGATGGAGACACTTGAAGATGGGGTTGGCGTTAGGGGTGGGGATGGCGTTGGAGATGCCACTGGGTTTGGGGCTGGGGTAGGGGAGTGGGAGTTGGTTTAGTGGGAGATGGTTGAAAGCAGGGTTGGGGAGGGTGTTGGGGATGGGTGGAAATTGAGAATGGGGAAGAGGAGGGGTTACGTTGGGACACGGTTGGGGATGAGAGAGGAAGAGGTGTGAGGATGGTATGTGGGAGGGATCGCACATGAGGAAGGGGAGGCACAAGGGGAGGAGGCTGAGGAGACAGTTGGGATTTGGAAAGAGTTGGGATTTGGAGAGGCCTCAGGATTTGGGATGGTGCTGGGGTGGGATGGAGTTGAGTGTGACATGGCATTGGGGTTGGGAGTCCCCCAAGACGAAGTCTGGGCTGGGCCCGCGAGAGGCTCACCTTCAGGATCCAGCAGCCGCGCCAGCCCCAGGTGCTGCTCAGCTGTGCGGAAGGCTCTCTGCAGGTTGTAGTTGGCATTGGACTTGGTGAGTTTGCTGAAGTCCACGAGATCAGGCCTGGGCAGGGGCACAGAGCAGGCAGGCAGCAGGCAGGCTCCAGAGCCGGCGGGCAAGCAGGGAAGAAGCCACCCTTGTCTGAGCACTGCCCAGGGCAATGGGCAGAAGGGCACAGTCTAGCCAAGGGGCAAGCTGTGTGTGCTGTGCAGCATTTAGCTGTGATGTGAGTGTGATGGACGCGGGCATGTCTCTGTGCGTTCCCGGGAATGTGTGTGTGCATGTGCATTTGTTGCTGGGCCGGCCTGTGCACACAGACGAATGGGTAGGCCAGCCTGAGTGTGCTTGGAAGAGATGAGCCCACACGGTGCCTGCCTGTGTATGTCTCTGTGAAATCATATGACAATACGAGTGTGTACAGCCCTTATGTGTGTTGTGTGAGGACACATGTACCTCTTTTTTTTTTTTTTTTTTTTTTTGAGATGGAGTCTCGCTCTGTCACCCAGGCTGGAGTGCAGGGGCGCGATCCCAGCTCACTGCAACCTCCGCCTCCGAGGTTCAAGCAATTCTCCTGCCTCAGCCTCCCAAGTAGCTGGGATTGCAGGTGTGCACCACCAGGCCCTGCTAATTTTTATATTTTTAGTAGAGACGGGGTTTCACCATGTTGGCCAGGCTGGTCTCGAACTCCTGACCTCAAGTGATCTGCCTGCCTAGGCCTCCCAAAGTGCAGGGATTACAGGTGTGAGCCACTGCGTCTGGCCAGGACACATGTACCTCTGACACACATATGCTTACTTTGGGGATTCTTATGTAGTGTTATGCAGTGGTTAGAAGTGTGAGGACCAGAGCCAGTTCATCAGAGCTTGAGCCCCAGCTTGGTCATATCCTGGTTGTGTCACTCTAGGTGAGCTACTGCGTTTCTCTGTGCTTTGGTTTCCTCTAAAATGGGGATAATAATAGCACCTGCCAGCCGGGCATGGTGGCTCATCCCTGTAATCCCAGCACTTTGGGAAGCTGAGTTGGGCAGATCACTTGAGGTCAGGAGTTTGAAACCAGCCTGGCCCAAATGGTGAAACCCCATCTCCACTAAACAAACAAAATTAGCCGGGCGTGGTGGCACATGCCTGTAATCCCAGCTACTTGGGAGGCCGAGGTGGGTGGATCACCTGAGGTCAGGAGTTCAAGACCAGCCTGGCCAACATGGTGAAACCTCATCTCTACTAAAAATACAACAATTATCCAGGTGTGGTGGCGGGCGCCTGTAATCCTAGCTACTCAGGACGCTGAGGCAGGAGAATCACTTGAATCTGGGAAGCAGAGGTTGCAGTGAGCCGAGATCGTGCCACTGCACTCTAGCCTGGGGGACAGAGTGAGACTCACCCTCAAAATAAATAAATAAATAAAAATAGCACCTGCCCATAGGTGGATCGGACACACTGAATGGATACATTGACTATTGAATGTTTTAGTGGGAAGCCCTTAGAACAGTGCCTGTGCATAGAAAACACTGAGCGAATGTCACCTAGTGTGAGGATGACCCTGGTGCAGCTTGTGAGTTTCTGTGTATGGAGGTGGGTCTGGGTCTCCCCATGTGTGTACGAGTGTGTGTAGGTGTGAGAAGCAGGGATTGTGAGTGGACAGGTGTCCACAGCAGAAAAAGCTGGGTTCTGGCTTCAGCTACACCACCACAAGCCCCTTCCTGCGCCTGAGTCTCAGTTTCCCCAATATGTCATGCGAATGATCATGATGTGTGTCTAATTTGTGTGGGTGTCTGACCCTCAGCTATTTCAATGTCAGGCCCCAAGGTATGAATCCGTGGGTGTACAGGGACGGGGACTCTAAGGGCTCACTTTGAGGAAGTGTTTTCTTTTCTTTTCTTTTTTTTGGTGGTGGTGGGGGGGTTAGGGGTGGAGTCTCACTCTGTTGCCCAGGCTGGAGTGCAGTGGCACAATCTCGGCTCATTGCAACCTCCGCCTCCTGGGTTCAAGCGATTCTCCTGCCTCAGCCTCCCCAGTAGCTGGGACTACAGGGGCGCACCACCACACCTGGCTAATTTTTTATTTTTATTTTTAGTAGAGATGGGGTTTTGCCATGTTGGCCAGGCTGGTCTTGAACTCCTAACATCAGGTGATCCTCCCACCTTGGCCTCCCAAAGTGCAGGGATTACAAGTGTGAGCCACTGCGCCTGGCCTGAGAAAGCATTTTCTGATAGGAGGAGGTGCTGGGTACACAGCAGCATGACAGTGACAGGGGAGCGAGCTTCCTACCCTGCGGGCAGGCTGTGCACGTGCGTGGGTATCTGTGTGTGTGTATGCATCTGTGCGAGGGCTCATGTGTGTCCATGTGTGCACAGGGTATGTGGCCTGGACAGGAGCCTGTGTGGGTGTGTGTTCCTGTGTGTAAATGTGCAGGGCATGTGTGTGAAGGGAAAGAAAACTGTATGTGTGTGTAGAGGTGAAGGGATGGGTCTTTATGTCTGTGTGTGCCATCTACACAAGTACATGTACAGGTGTGCAGCTGCAGGGATATGGGGGGCTGAAGGGCAGGACTGGGCTGTCCCAGGCCAGGTGGTACCTGTGCCGGTGAATGAGGGCATTGAAGGCCAAGCCATCCCGCCAGCTGGTGGTGAAATTCTGGATGTTTACCTCAGGGTAACTGGAAGGGTGAAGGGAGAAACAGAGGCAGAGATGGGGAGAGTTAGGAGGGAAGAAAGGGGAAAAAGACAGAGGGAGACCGAATGATAGGGAAGGAAGATGAGAGAGAGGGGGTAGAACATAGAAAGATGGATGGATGGGTGGGTGTTGGGTAGGTAGAGAGAGAGATAGGTAGATACACAGATAGATGATAGACAGGTGATAGATGGTGAGTAGAGAGAGAGATAGGTAGATACATAGATAGATGATAAATAGGTGATAGATAGATTGATAGATGATAGACAGATAATAGATATAGGTTGATAGATGATATATATATAGATTGATAGAAGATAGATAGATAGATACATACATACATAATAGATATAGGTTGATAGATGATAGATATATAGATTGATAGAAGATAGATAGCAGGAGAGAAGAGAAAAAGAGAAGCAAAAGAAAGAAGAGAGAAGAGAGGGAAGGAGAGAGAGAGGAAGGAGAGAGGTATCAAGACAGGGAGAGAGCAAGATATAGACAGAGATGGGGAGGGAAAGGAGAGGAGAGAGAAAGAAGACATGAAGAGAAAAGGGAAGGAGGAAAGGAGGGAAGGAGGGAGGAGAGAAGAGATAAGTACAAGGAAAAGCAGATATAGAGATAGACACATGGAGAAACAGATGGCAAAAGTCCCCATGATCTCCTTTGCAAGACAGACAGCCAGAAGGATGAGAGTCAGAGAAGCCCACCTCCATCCCACACCTGCCCCTCCCTCCGTCCTCCCAGGAGCTGCTCTACAGAGGACAATTGAGTTTCAGGTCTTACTGCTCCCTGCAGGGCAGAGAGTTGGGGGCCAAAGGGAACCTTCCCAGTAGAGCCTGCACCCCACCCCGCCACCAGCTCAGCCACACTGAAGCGACCAAGGACTTTGAACTTTCCTGTGTATGCCCTGTGAGGCAGAAGGGAGATGCTCACAGCGGGAGAGGGTGGCCAGAGCTTGGACATAGCACTGAGGGTCCACACAGGTGAATGTGAGATCTCTTGAAATGTAGGATGAAATGGGATGGGGGAGAGAGAGAAGAGAGCAGGCTGGGGACAGTTCACCTCTTTCCAGCATTGGTCTCTGAGGAGTCCAAGAGTTCTATTTTATTTTTATTTATTTGTTTGTTTATTTATTTATGTGTTTGTTATTTATTTTCAAGACAGGGTCTTGCTCTGTAGCCCAGGCTGGAGTGCAGTGGCATGATCGTAGCTCACTGCACCTTGAACTCCTGGACTCAAATGATCCTCCCATCTCAGCCTCCTGGGAACCTGAGAAGCTACGACTACAGACGTCTGCCACCATGCCTGTGATTAAAAACAACAACGACAACAACAACAAAAAAAACCCCACAACTTTTTGTAGAGATGGGGTCTTGCTATGTTGCCTAGGCTGATCTCAAAGTCCTAGCCTCATTCTCCCAAAGTGACAGGCATGAGACACTGTGCCTAGTGAGGCCAAGAGTTCTACATTTGAAACTGGGTGGGGTGCAGTAGTCCCAGCTACTTGGGAGGCTGAGGAGGGAGGATCACTGGAACCTAGGAGATCAAGGCTTCAGTGAGCTATTCAGTGCATGCCACTGCACTCCAGCCTGGGTGACAGAGCAAGTTCAAAATAAATTTGAACCTGGCCTTCTAGCATGTTAGGAAGGATTATTAGTCAAGGCTGGAGAAGTGGACATATTTTATTTACCAGCTGGTTAGTTTCAGATGTAACTTTTTGACCCTGAGGACATGGGCTGCCCCTTGAGCTCTTGTCTGGGAAGGAATTGCAGAGGTTAGGGGACCACTTGCCTAACCTCCTAAGGAAGGTGGTGGGGGTGCTTACCCAGCTGTCTTCATCTGACACCACAAGAGCAGAGCATCCTTGGCTGAGCGTGTCTCTCTGTTGTCCTCAGTCTCAATTTTGATGACTTGAATCTGTGAAGATACAAAAAATGGCTACCAGGGCCTGGAGAGCTTGAGGCTTCGAATGCCCCCCACTCACCATCTGCTACCAGAGAAGGTGGCAGGTGACAGAGGAGATGGGGGAGGCAGCTTCTGGCTGGGGGTGGGGGTCCAGGAGTGTGAGGATAATTCCTGAGGGCCAGGACATCCACAATTAGGGGATCAGTTAGGACTTCGGTCTCTGTTTCCAAGAAAGCCTCCAAACTGAGCATCTGGGCCACTTTCCTGGTCTAAGGCACTGCCGTCTCCTGCCTAGGCTAGTGCGGTGGCCTTCATGCTGATCTCCCCACTCCTGCATCCACAGTGTGTTCTCCACATGGCAGAGAGAGGGACCCTGCGAACACTCAAATCAGATCCTTGCTCCTCTTTTCAACACCCTCCGTATCTCTGTTTCATTCAAGGTAAAAGTAAAAGTTCCCATGATCTCCCATCAGTAAGTTGATGACCTCATCTTCAACAGCTCACTCCACTCCATACCTGCTGGCCTTTTTCCTGAATCACAAGCATCCTCCCTCCTTGGTCCTTTAGCACTGGCTGTTCCATCTACCTGGAACATCCCCAACTCCAATGTCCTGGACCCATAACCACTGGACCCATCTCAAACTGGCCTCAGGGTGTTCCTCAAACCTGCTCCTTCTCCCTGTCCCTGTCTCAGGGCAGCCCCATCATCCTCTAGTCCCCAGGCCAGAGCTCTGAGTCTTCCCCTGGACACCCTCTCCCTCTCCCCTCCCGTAAGGCCTGTCCACTCCACTCCCTGAGTGTCTTCCCCACCTGCCCCTTGTTGCTTCCCCATAGTCCCACCCTGGTCCAACTCTATCCTCCTCCCTGGGCTCTCAGCTCCCAATGTTGGTGAACACCTCCAACCCAGAGGGATCTTTCTTTGTTTTTTTTTTTGTTTTGTTTTTGTTTTTTTTAGATGGAGTTTCACTCTTGTTGCCCAGGCTGGAGTGCAATGGTGTGATCTCAGCTCACCGCAACCTCCACCTCCCAGGTTCAAGCGATTCTCCTGCCTTGGCCTCCCTAGTAGCTGGGATTACAGGCATGTGCCACCAGGCCCAGCTAATTTGGTATTTTTAGTAGAGATAGGGTTTCTCCATGTTTGTCAGGCTTGTCTCGAACTCCTGACCTCAGGTGATCCACCCACCTCAGCCTCTCAGAGTGCTGGGATTACAGGCATGAGCCACCAAGCCCGGTCACTTTTTTTTTTTTTTTTTTTTTTTTTGAGACAGAGTCTCTATCTATTACCCAGGCTGGAGTGCAGTGGTGTGGTCTCGGCTCACATTCTCCTGCCTCAGCCTCCTGAGTCGCTGGGATTACAGGCGTGCACCATGAAGCCCAGTTAATTTCTGTATTTTTAGTAGAGACGGGGTTTCACCATGTTGGCCAAGCTGGGCTCGAACTCCTAAACTCAGGTAATCCTCTTGCCTCAGCCTCCCAAAGTGCTGGGATTATGGGCATGAGCCGCCATGCCCAGCCAAAGGGATCTATCTTTCTAAACTTGTATGCACCTCCCCTTGATAAAATGTTGCAACCTCTCCCCATCTCAGACAGAATAAAATCCAAACTACTCATCACAGATCACCTAGCCCCTTCCATCCCCTGAGCCTCAGCTCCTCCATGTCTCCCGTTGCCTCCCATTCTCTAGCCACTCTGCTCTTCCTCCTGTATTTCCAACAGGCCAAGCTCATTTCTATCTCAGGGACTTTGCATCTGCTGTGCCCCCTGCCTGGAATGCATTCTCTCTTCATCTTTGTATGTCATTCAGCCATCAACTTCCCAGACAGCCCTCTTCTGACCACCATATCTAAAATCTCAACACCACCAACTGACATTTTATATCCCTATTACTTGTTTTATCATAATCTGTATTTTTCTGGGTAGCTTTTTTTTTCTTTTAAGTCATGGTCTCACTGTTGTCTAGGCTGGAGTGCAGTGGCATGATCATAGCTCACGGCAGCCTCACACTGCTGGGCTCAAGTGATCCTCCTGCCTCAGCCTCCTGAGTAGCTGGGACCACAGGCATGCACCACCATGCCTGGCTAATTTTTTAAATTTATTTAAGGTCTCATTATGTTGGCCAGGCTGGTCTCAAACTCCTGGCCTTAGTGTTCCTCCCATCTCAGCCTCGCAAAGTGCTGGGTTTACAGGCCACTTCACCTGGCCCTGCATAGCTTTTTAAACTTCTCTAACTAGAACTGGTCCTTTTTCCATACATGTCTTCTTTACATATTTATGTATTTATTATCTGTCTTCCTCACCACAATGTAAGCTCCTAAAAGGCACACCTTTGTCTATTTGTCTCTATACTGGATCAAGATTGCCTGGATTCGAATTTCAGCTCCAACACCCAGGTATATGTGATCTTGGGCAGATGACACCACCTATCTGGGCTTCCATTTCCTCACTGGTAAAATGGGGTACTAAATAGTACCTAATTTATGGGGTTGCTGTGTGTATTAAATGTCAAGTGCTTAGAACAGTGTTTGGAACAGGGTCGATACAAAATGATTATCGTGATGGTGGTGATCGTGACAATTATTTTTATCATTATTTTCATCCCTAACACCTGGAATAGGATTCCAGCATATTAGGATATTATTGGAAGGAAAGAATGAATGGGTAAATGGTGGGGAACGCTTTCCTAAGTCCCATGTTGCGGGGCTTGGCAGGGGCCACTCGAGGGTCACCTGGAAGCGCAGGATGATGGTCCAGACCAGCCCCAGCGTCAGCCGGTGATTCCCATCCACGATGTCATGCGAACCCACGTTCTCCAGGTGCACGCGCTGCTCCTTCAGAAACTGCAGCGCCTTGTCCACGTTCTCCAGTGAGTGGATCCGCATGCGGCCGCGCGTGGGCCTGGGCTAGGGCGACAGGGGCGGTGGGCGATCGGGGGTCTGGACAGACAGGAGTATGGCGCCCTCGGCCCCGCAGCTTCCAAAGAAGCCCGCCTCCCGTGGCCACGCCCCCTGAGTGTCCAGGATCAGGCTGTCCTCCTCTCGTTTTATCCAAGACACAGGACTCAATCCTTCTAAAGAAGCTCTGTCTCTTCCCATAGCCAGACCCTTTAAAGAATCACATCCCTTCAAGGTTTATTCACGTCCCTGGCTCTGCCCCTTCCACGGGCGCCCCACTTCGAACCTGATAACCACGCCCCCATCATGAAGCCCCGCCCTCCTAGCCCATAGTCTCAGCCCTGGCCCTGCCATTGGATCCCTCTCTACCAATGTTTTGCCACTAATCCCATGGCCGCCCCGGCGTAGTGGCTCAATCCTGTAATCCCAGCACTTTGGGAGGCCGAGGCGGGTGGTTCACTTGAGGCGAGGAGTTCGAGACCAGCCTGACCAACATGGCGAAACACTGCCTCTAACTAAAAATACAAAAATTAGCCGGGCTTGGTAGCGCGCTCCCGCAATCCTAGGTACTCGGGAGGATGAGGCAGGAGAATCCTTTGAACCCGGGAAGCGGAGGCTGCTGTTGAGCCGAGATCGCGCCACTGCACTCCAGCCTGGGTGAGGGAGCGAGACTTCGTTTCAAACAAACAAACAAAAACTCCGCGTCACACCCCTCGCTGCTTCCCTTTCGGGTCCCTAGCTAGAACCACGCCCATCCCAATCAAGCTCCGCCCTGCCCCAGTGCTCTTCCCCTTGTTTATGGCTCAATTCCTTCCAACAGCGTTGGTTCCTATCTATTCTTTTTTTTCTTTCTTTTTTTTTTTTTTTGGCTTTTGTTGTTGTTTTTGAAACGGAGTCTCACTCTGTCGCCCAGGCTGGAGTGCAGTCGCGCGATCTTGACTCACTGCAGCCTCTGCCTCCTGGGTTCAAGCGATTCTCCTGCCTCAGCCTCCTGAGCAGCTGGGACTACAGGTGCCCGCCACCACACCCAGCTAATGCTTTTTGATTTTTTAAAAATTTTTTGTAGAAACGGGTCTCACCACAGCGCTTGGGTTATTTATTTATTTTTGAGACAGGGTCTCTGCCCGGTGCAGTGGCTCACGCCTGTAATCCCAGCACTTTGGGAGGCCGAGGCTGGAGGATCGCTTGAGTCCAGGAGTTCTAGATCAGCCTGGGCAACATAGTGACGCCTCGTATCTATTTAAAAGAATAAAAAAATTAAGAAAAAAGAGAGAGAAACAGAGTCTCGCTTTGTCGCCCAGGCTGCAGAGCAGTGGTGCAATCATGGCTCACTGCAGCCTCGACCTCCCAGGCTCAAGCGATCCTCTCTCCTCAACCTCCTGGGTACTTGGGACTACAGGCCTGCGCCACCACGCCTGGTTAATTTAAACAAATAAACAAACAAACAAACAAACCGTAGAGACGGGGGTCTCATTATGTTGCCCGGGCTGTTCTGAAACTCCTGAGCTCAAGTGTTCCTCCCACCTTGGCTCCCCAAAGTGCTGAGATTACAGGCATGAGCCACAGCGCCCAGCTGTTTGTTCCTATTCCATAGCCATGCCCCTCACAATTCCTTGAGATCCAGGCTCCAGTCCTTTAACGAATCTCTACCCCATGAGAATCCCACGCTTTTAGATGAAACCCCATTCAAGCCCAGAGACACAGCCCCAATTTATACAACAAGCCACATCCCAGGACACCGTCTGCGTCCCTAGACACCGACGACCTAGGTGTCACCCTACCAACGAACACTGCCCCCTAGCCTAGAGCCCCGCACCTTCATCCACTACCCACCCCCAACCCGCAATACAGTTCTGCCCCTGTTTTATAGCATGCCCCTACTAGCTCATAACCCGGGCCAGTCCCTTCTAACAAAGCTCCTCCCTTCTCTAATAGCCCTGCCCCTTGCAACAGAGCCCGGCCCCTTCCACCGAAGCCCCGCCTCGCAACCGTAGCTAGCGAGCCATCAGCTTCGGTTCCAGCCACGCGCCCAGGCTTCTCACGACCAAGCTCCGCCCCAGCGCCACAGCCCCACACACCCGAGTAGAGGGACCTCTTACCCACAGGGCCCTTCCAGCACGTTCCACTCGCCCATGAGCCAGGCCCCTGCTTGCAGTTCAGCCCTTCCAGAGAAGCCCAACCCCCAGCCTGAGACCCCAGGGAGGACCCCTGCCCCAGCCCTTCAGGCCCCCTCACCAGCTGCTCCCCAGACAGCACTTCCAGGAGCCGCGTGAGCACGAAGCCGTCCCGGAGGTCCACATAGAGGTCCCCGATGTGGCAGCCCACGCGGGCGAGGTGCGAGTTCACCCACTTGGTGAAGGTTTTCTTCTGCACGGCTTCCCGCTCATCTGGAGGAGAGGCCCTGATGAGCCCCCAGGCGCTTCCACCTTCACCCCAGCCCTCCGCGAGCCAAGCCTGCTCAGACCCAGCTCTCTGCAAGAGTCCAGCCTCACAGGCGGATCACCTGAGGTAGGAGTTCGAGACCAGCCTGGCCAACATGGTGAAACCCCGTCTCTACTAAAAATACAAAAAGCAGCCGGACATGGTGGCGGGCGCCCATAATCCCAGCTACTGGAGAGGCTGAGGCAGGAGAATTGCTTGAACCTGGGAGGTGGAGCCTGCAGTGAGCCAAGATCGCATCACTGCACTCCGGCCTGGGCGACAGAGCAAGACTCCATCTCAAAAAAAAAAAAAAAGAGTGAGTCGGCTGGGCGCGGTGGCTCATGCCTATAATCCCAGCACTTTGGAAGGCTGAGACGGGCAGATCACAAAGTCAGGAGTTCAAGACCAGCCTGGCCAATATGGTGAAATCCTGTCTCTACTAAAAATACAAAAAGAAACTTAACCGGGCATGGTGGTGCATGCCTGTTAATCCCAGCTACTCGGGAGACTGAGGCAGGAGAATTGCTTGAACCAGGGAGCGGAGGTTGCAGTGAGCCGAGATCACGCCACTGCACTGCAGCCTGGGCAACAAGGCAAGACTCCTTCTCAAAAAAAAAAAAGAGAGTCCAGCCTCAGCAGTCATGTCTCCTCCTACCTGTGACGCCTTCCCCGACCCTCTGCCACCCACCTGGTGAAAACCTTCCTGTCCCTTGAAGTTTTCCTGACATGTCACTTGCACAGGAAGCCTTCCCTGCTTGTGACCCCAGTTGGCTCTAGTCATTCATTCATTCAATAAATATTCGAATGCACACTCTGTGCCTGTTCAAGGCTCTGTGAATACAGCAGGGCCCTCACAGAGCTCAGTTCAGAGAGGACACGGATAAATACAGCCATGGCCTCAGCCTCCCAAAGTGCTGGGATTACAGGCATGAGCCATTGCGCCCGGCCTTAAGGAACTGTCAAACTGTTTTCCAAAGTAGCTGCACCATAGGCCAGGCATGGTGGCTCATGCCTGTAATCCCAGCACTTTGGGAAGCCAAGGCGGGTGGATTGCTGGAGTACAGGAGTTTGAGACCTGCCTGGGGAACATGGTGAAGACTCTGTCTCTACAAAAAAATACAAAAAATTAGCCAGGCAGGGTGGAATGCCCCTGTAGTCCCATCTCCTTGAGTGGCTGAGGCAGGAGGATCGCTTGGCCTTGGGAGGTTGAGGCTGCAGTGACCTGTGCTCATGCCACTGCACTCCAGCAAGGGTGACAGAGCCAGACCCTGTCTCAAAAAAAAAAAAAAAAGTTGCTGCACCAGCAATGTGTGAGGACTCCAAATCCTTGCCAACACTTGCTGTTTCCCAACCCCTCCTTTTTTTTCCCTTGAGACGGGGGTCTCACTACGTTGCCCAGGCTGGAATGCAATGGTGCAATCTTGGCTCATTGCAACCTCTGCCTCCCAGCCTCAGGTGATCCTCCCATCGCAGCCTCCCAAGTAGCTGGGACCAAAGGAGCATGCCACCAGGCCTGGCTAATTTTTGTATTTGGTGTGGAGACAGGGGTCTCACTATGTTGCCCAGGCTGGTCTCAAACTCCTGGGCTCAAGGAATCCACCCACATAGGCCTCCCAAAGTGCTGGGATTACAGGTGTTAGCCACTGCGCTTGGTCATTTCCCTCTACTGTTTTTTTTTTTTTTTATGGCCATCCTAGTGGGCGTGAAGTTGTACCTCACTGTGGTTTTCTTTTGCACTTCCCTAATGGCTAATGATGTTGAGCATCTTTTCATGCTCCATCAGACAGTTGTATATCTTTGGAGAAACGTCATTAAAATCCCTTGGACATTTTTTAGTAGGATTACTCTTTTTTTTTTGAGTCACAATCTCACTCTGCCGCCTAGGCTTGAGTGCAGTGCCACAATCATGGCTCACTGCAGCCTCAACCTCTCAGGCTTATGCAGTCCTCCCACCTCCTGAGTATCTGGGGTTACAGGCACATGCCACCATGCCCATCTGATTTTTTAATTTTTATTTTTGTAGAGACAAGGGTCTCACGATGTTGCCCAGG
Source organism: Homo sapiens (assembly GCF_000001405.40). Taxonomy (NCBI): domain Eukaryota; kingdom Metazoa; phylum Chordata; class Mammalia; order Primates; family Hominidae; genus Homo; species Homo sapiens. The sequence goes on along the minus strand of NC_000019.10, from coordinate 40,485,611 downwards.
CTGGTCTCAACCTTCTGTGCTCAAGCAATCCTCCCACGTACGCTTCCCAAAGTGCTGAGATTACAGGCTCGAGCTACCACAACCAGCCAGTTACATGTCTTTTTATCATCTCTACTATCTTTGCGACTTCCTATGAATGTGTAATTATTTCATAATCTAAAGTTTTAAAAAGGCTGGGCATGGTGGCTCACACCTGTAATTCTGGCACTTTGGGAGGCCAAGGTAGGTGGATTGCCTGAGCTCAGGAGTTCGAGACCAGCCTCTCGAACACTGTCTCTTCTAAAAATACAAAAAACTAGCAGGACTTAGTGGCGCACATCTGTAATCTCAGCTACTCAGGAGGCTGAGGGATGACAATCGCTTGAACCAGGGAGGTGGAGGTTGCAGTGAGCCGAGATCGTGCCACTGCACTCCAGCTTGGGCTACAAAGCGAGACTCTGCCTCCAAAATAAATAAATAATAAAGTTTAGGCCAGGCACGGTGGCTCACGCCTGTAATCCCAGCACTTTGGGAGGCTGAGGCAGGTGGATCACCTGACGACAGGAGTTTGGGACCAGCCTGGCCAACATGGTGAAACCCCACCTCTACCAGAAAAACAAAAATTAGCGGGCATGGTGGTGGGTGCCAATAAAGTGGTTTTTTTGTTTTTTGTTTTTTGGTTTTTGTTTTGTTTTTTTTTTGAGACGGAGTCTCACTCTATCGCCCAGGCTGGAGTGCAGTGGCGCGATCTCAGCTCACTGCAAGCTTTGCCTCCCGGGTTCACGCCATTCTTCTGCCTCAGCCTCCTCAGTAGCTGGGACTACAGGTACCTGCCACCACGCCCGGCTAATTTTTTTTAATTTTTTTTTAGTAGAGATGGGGTTTCACCATGTTAGCCAGGATGGTCTCCATCTCCTGACCTCGTGATCCACCCCCCTTGGCCTCCCAAAGTGCTAGGATTACAGGCGTGAGCCACCTCGCCTGGCCAAAAATAAAGTTTAAAAAAGAAAAAGAAAATTGCTGCCTGGCCTTCCTCTTTCTTCCCCTGACTCCCATAAACTGGAAAACCAAGGTCAATGTCTACAGAATACAAGATGAAATTAACCTGGAATGTACACTGACCTCTCTGAGCTAAGTCTTCCTGCCAACTGTGTTGATCATCTCGAGGTTATCTGGGAGGGAGAAATAGCTTCTCCATTAAGCCACTGTACTGTGAAGTCGATTTGTTGGCAGCTTAGCCTGTACAGTTACTGTTAAAATCCCATTACTAAATAATATTAAGTTTCCTATTAAGTTTTCCATTAATTCAGGAATAAAGATGTATATTTCCAGTTTATTTCTCCTTCAACCATTTGAAATCTCTCAATAATTTCCTTTTTCATAAAATTTACCTTTTGTAACATTATCAATAGTGGGGTTAAGGGAAGGGGTGATGGTTAATGGGTACAAAATATGGAAAGAATGAGTAAGATCTAGTATTTGATATCAGTACAACAGGGTGATTATATTCAATAATAATTTAATTGTACTTGTTTTTCTCTCTTTTTTTTTGATACAGGGTCTGCCCTGTATAAAATCCAGGCTGGAGTGCGGTGATGTAAGATCATGGCTCACTGCAACCTCTGCCTCCCAGGCTCAAGCCATCGTTCCACCTCAGCTTTGCGAAGAGCTTTGCGATGATCCCCCAGAATCCACTGAAGAAAGCCAAATCTAGTCCAAATCCCTCTTTTTGCAAATGTGAAAACCGGGGTCCCGAGAGGGGAGATGACCTCGAGAAGTCACCTGGCCAGTTATTAGTACAGACAGGGCAGAACCCAGTTGTCCTCATTCTGGTACCACTCTAGGGATGCACTAAAATTCCACTTTGGCTTTAGTACTAGCCAAAACCTGCTATTTGGCATGGGCATCATCTGTTAGAAGGCAGAGGAATAAATCCTCAATTTAGCATCTTTTCTGCCATCACTTTCTCAGGTATGATTGATGATCAGTATTCACATAGGGTCCCATCTTATCTAAACAGCACAAAACCCACACTGACACAAACAAGATATTTCCTTTGCATTTACTGTTAATATTTGCATATTTGTTTTCAAACTAGAGGTAAACATTCAAGGTGCAATTTAAAGTTAAAAAATACAGATAAGTAAATGTATATTTTCTACTGCTAGAGTAAGAAGCAATATTTTTTTTAAAAAATTGTATTTTTAATTTTAGTGGGTACATAGCAGTTATATATATTTAAGGGATAGATACTTTTGTGTTGCAGACAATCCAATTATACTCTTTTAATTATTTTAAATTGAGGATTTATTCCTCTGCCTTCTAACAGATGATGCCCATGCCAAATAGCAGGTTTTGGCTAGTACTAAAGCCAAAGTGGAATTTTAGTGCATCCCTAGAGTGGTACCAGAATGAGGACAACTGGGTTCTGCCCTGTCTGTACTAATAACTGGCCAGGTGACTTCTCGAGGTCATCTCCCCTCTCGGGACCCCAGTTTTCACATTCGCAAAAAGAGGGATTTGGACTAGATTTGGCTTTCTTCAGTGGATTCTGGGGGATCATCGATTTTGGGAACTCATACTTGAGAGAGGTAGGGGTGTGTGTGTCTATGTGTGTGTGTGTATACATATATATTTTATTTATTTATTTTATTATTTATTATTATTTTTTTGAAATGGAGTCTCCCTCTGTCTCCCAGGCTGGAGTGCAGTGGTGTAATCTTGGCTCATTGCAACCTCCACCCCCCAGGTTCAAGCAATTCTCCTGCCTCAGCCTCCCGAGTAGCTGGGATTACAGGCATGCGCCACGAGGCCCGGCTAATTTTGTATATTTTGTAGAGACAGGGTTTCTCCATGTTGGTCAGGTTGGTCTCGAACTCCCAACCTCAGGTGATCCGCCCGCCTCAGCCTCCCAAAGTGCTGGGATTACAGGCATGAGCCACTGCGCCCAGCCTCTGAGATATATTTGGTTGCACCCCGACTGCGTTTTATAAAAATGTAAATCAGTTGCCAACATTTTAAAATAGGAAGACTTTGTCTTTAAAAAATTTAGATTTTGGGCTTCTCATGAAATATCACATGATACGGCAACCCTGGACCTCCATTCCTGCCAGGCTGCCATCGCGGGAGCTATGTGGCCGCTGCCCTCTTACAGGAGGTCCCAGTTCTCTCAGTGTATGCAGCCCGTCTGGTCTTGGTGGGCATTTCAGTTCTCAACTCTTGCTCCATGCTAACAAGACTGTAATCAGGAATAGAAAAATCAGGCCAGGCATGGTGGCTCATGCCCATTATCCCAGCACTTTGGGAGGCCGAGGCAGGAGGATTGCTTGAGGCCAGGAGTTCCACACCAGCCTTGGCAACATAGCCAGACCCCATTGTATAAAAAATTAAAAATCAGGCCAGGCATGGTGGCTCACGCCTGTAATCAGAGCACTTTGGGAGGCAGAGGTGGGTCGATCACCTGAGGTCAGGAGTTCGAGACCAGCCTGGCCAACATGGTGAAACCCCATCTCTACTAAAAATATAAGAATTAGCCAGGTGTGGTGGCGGGCACCTGTATTCCCAGCTGCTCAGAAGGCTGAGGCAGGAGAATTGCTTGAACTTGGGAGGCGGAGGTTGCAGTGAGCTGAGATCGTGCCATTGCACTCCAGCCTGGGCAACAGAGCAAGATTCCATCTCAAAAGAAAAAAAAAAAAGACTTGAATGGCCATCTCACTAAAGGATATTTGAATGGCCAATAAATGTATGAAAATGTGCTTCACCTTCTTCGTTGTTCTTAGTCATCAGGAAAATGCAAAGTAAAACCACAACAGAATGCACAGCCACCAAAATGGCTAAAATTAAAAAGACTGACCATCAGCTGGGCATGGTGGCTCACGCCTGTAATCCCAGCACTTTGGGAGGCTGAGGCAGGCAGATCACCTGAGGTCAGGAGTTCGAGACCAGCCTGGCCAACATGGCGAAACCCCGTCTCTACTAAACATACAAAAATTAGCTGAGCGTGGTGGTGTGCGCCTGTAATCCCAGCTACTTGAGAGGCTGACACAGGAGAATTGCTTGAACTCAGGAGGCGGGGGTTGCAGTGAGCAGAGATCGCGCCACTGCACTCCAGCCTGGGCGACAGAGTGGGACTCTGTCTCAAACAAAACAAAACAAAACAAAAAACCTGACCATCGCAAGGGTGGGGTGCACAGTAACTGAATCTCTGGTACACTGCTAGTGGGAATATAAAACGATACAAACGGGCAGTCTCTACTAAAGTTAGATATGCACTCACTTGGCCGGGCGCATGGCTCACACATGTAATCCAAACACTTTGGGCAGCCAAGGCAGGAGGACTGCTTGAGCCTAGGAGTTGGAGACCAGCCTGAGCAACATAGCGGGACCTTGTCTCAATTAACAACAACAGATACATATATATGTAAAATAAAATATATACCCTTACTCTATGATTGGACAGCTTCACTCCTGCGTGGGTGTAAACCACCAGAAACAAGCGCATATGTCCACCAAATATGTGTACTAGAAACTTGAGAACACCACCATTTATTTTATGTATTTATTTATTTAAGACAGAGTCTCACTCTGTTACCCAGGCTAGAGTCCAGTGGCACTATCTTGGCTCACCGCAACCTCCACCTCCTGGGTTCAAGTGATTCTCCTGCCTCAGCGTCCTGAGTAGCTGGGATTACAGGCATGCACCACCACACCCAGCAAACTTTTTTGTATTTTTAGTAGAAATGGGGTCTCACTGTATTGCCCAGGCTGGTCTTGAACTCCTGGACTCAAGTAATCCGCCTGCCTTGGCCTCCCAAAGTGCTGGGATTACAGGCATGAGCCACCACACCTGGCCCAACACCACCATTTATAGTAGCCCCAAACTAGCAGCAACCCAAATGCTTATCAACAGGTGAATGCACAAACACACTGTGGTACATTCACACCACGCAACACTATACAGCAAGGAGAAGGACCACCCCACAAGCACAGGGAGACATGGATGAATCTCCCACAAGCATAATGTTGAGTGAATAATGCCGGACATAAAACAACACACAATGCATTATTCCATTTACAGAAAGTTAAAACACCAGCAAAATGAAGCTGAGCTGTTAGAAGTTAAGAGAGTACACCCTTGGACTGTAGTGATAGGGAGGTGGCATGAGGATGCTTTTCTGGAGCTGTCATATGTCACATTCTGTTTGTTTGTTTTTTAGAGATGGTATCTCATTCTGTTGCCCAGGTTGGAGGGCAGTGGCACCTTCTTAGGTCACTGCAGCCTGGAACTCGGGCTCAAGCAATCTTCCCACCTCAGTCTTTTGAGTAGCTAGGACTACAGGCTCATGCCACCACACCCAGCTAATTTTTTTTTTTTTTTTTTTGAGACGGAGTCTCTCTCTGTTAACCCCGGCTGGAGTGCAGTGGCTTGATCTCCGCTCATTGCAAGCTCCGCCTCCCAGGTTCACACCATTCTCCTGCCTCAGCCTCACGTGCAGCTGGGACTACAAGTGCCCACCACCACGCCCAGCTAATTTTCTGTATTTTTAGTAAAGACAGGGTTTCACTGTGTTAGCCAGGATGGTCTCAATCTCCTGACCTCGTGATCCATCCGCCTCTGCCTCCCAAAGTGCTGGGATTACAGGCGTGAGCCACCACGCCTGGCCCCACCCAGCTAATTTTTAATTTTTTTTTTTTGTAGAGACGGGGTCTCTCTATGTTGCCCAGACTGGTCTTGAACTCCTGGCCTCAAGTGATCATCATGCCTCAGTTTCCCAACGCACTCGGATTACAGGCATGAGTCACCACACCCCATTGTATATTCTGTTTTTTAATATGGGTGCTGGTTACAAGAGAGTACTCATTTGTGGAAATATTGGCATGATTTATCTGCCATTCTGTGTCATGAACTACTTTAATAATAAAAAGTTAAATATATATATATATATATATATATATATGCTTACTCATTAGCAATGCACATTTTGCAAAATTATTCTCATGCAAAGAAAAAGATTCACATTAAAAACTATCTGAATGGGGTCAGAAGCAGTGGCTTCCCAACACTTTGGGAGGTCGAGGTGGGAGAATTGCTTGGGCCCAGGAGTTCAAGACCAGCCTAGGCAACATAGCAAGACCCCATCTTTATTTAAAAAACAAAACAAAACAATGTCAGTGGTTGCCTACAGGGGAGAAGAAATTGATTTGAGATTTGGGAATAAAAGAGAATTGGAGAGAGGCGTCACACAGATCAATGACAGTAGTGAGCCACAAACTGTGGAGGGTGAGTAGGAGAACACACTGAACGTGGGGTCCAAACAATTTTCCTTAATGTTGAAAACATTGATAGAGACAGGGTCTCACTATGTTGTCCAGGTCGGTCTCAAACTCCTGGGCTCAAGTGATGCTCCCATCTCAGCCTCAGTGCTAGGATTACAGGCAACCTGGGAGGTCGAGGCTGCAGTGAGCCGTGATAGCACCACTGCACTCCAGCCTGGGTGACAGAGTGAGACTCTGCCTCAAAATAAAAGCGGGAGAAAAACCATGAGAGAGCTGGGCAAAGGGATGCAAAAGAAATGCAGCGTAGTGGTCTACGTCATATTTGCACTTTGAGTGGCAAGGTGGTTTCAGCAGGAGAGCAGCATCATGAAGTTACTATTAAGCTGAATGTTACTGGTTTGGGGTCTGGAGTTCCTCTATAAATGTGTTTTACTTGTAGAGCTATATGTGAACCCTAAGCATGGGAGATTTAAGCAGAGTTGTGCATTTGTGAGCATTTATGAAAGTCATACAGGCCGGGCGTGGCTCACGCCTGTAATCCCAGCACTTTGAGAGGCTGAGGCAGGTGGACCACTTGAGGTCAGGAGTTGAAGACCAGCCTGGCCAACATGGTGAAACCCCATCTCTACTAAAAATACAAAATATTAGCTGGGCGTGGTGACGGGCGCCTGTAATACCAACTACTCGGGAGGCAGAGGAAGGAGAACAGCTTGAACCCAGGAGGCAGAGGTTGTAGTAAGCCAAGATCGTGCCATTGCACTCCAGCCTGGGTGACAGAGCGAGACTCTGTCTCAAAAAAAATAAAATAAAATAAAATTTCTTAAGGTGGGATCTCACTCTGTTGCCCAAGCTGGAAGGTTGGAATGCAGTGGTGCCATCATAGATCACTGCCTTCAATTCCTGGGCTCAAGCGATCCTCCTGCCTCAGCCTCCAGAGTAATATAGGCACATGCCACTGTGGCCAGTTAATTTTTAAAGTTTTGTGCATACAGGATCTTGCTTTGTTGCCCAAACTGGAGAGGATTTTTTTTTTTTATCTTAAAGGGGATTTCTACATTTCCCTGGGCAAGATGCTCTCAGAAGCATGGTTCTAAGATTTGGAGAGTCCTTAATTCTCATCTTACCATATCCCACCTCTGCTTAAAATCTTCCCACCTCTGCTTAAAATCTTTCCATAGCTCCCTGGTACCCCGCAAGGCCCTTTAAGAGCTGGCTTCTGCCAGGCTCAGTGGCTTATGCTTGTAATCCCAGCACTTTGGGAAGCTGAGGCAGGTGGGTCACCTGATGTCAGGAGTTCGAGACCAGCCTGGCCAACATGGTGAAACCCCCATCTCTACTAAAAATACAAAAATTAGCCAGGCAAGGTGACAGGCGCCTGTAATCCCAGCTACTCAGGAGGCTGAGGCAGGAGAATCGCTTGAACCCAGGAGGCGGAGGTTGCAGTGAGCCGAGACTGCGGCATTGCACTCCAGCCTGGACAACAAGAGCGAAACTCCGTCTCAAAAAAAAAGGATCTGGCTTCCACTGGCTCCTCTCCCATCATCATTTACTCCTCACCTGTATCCTTCTCAGTCAAGCCACTCCCAGCTTCTGGAGGCCTTGCATATGCAGTTCCCTCTACCTAGAATACTCTTCCACTCTTCACTCCAGTGTTCATGCCAATTCATCCTTTAGGCCTGAAGTTAGGCCTCTCCTTCTCCAAGAAGCCCTCCTTGATTCTCCAGGCTGGATCAAGTACATCCTATGGGCTCCCACAGTCCTTGGGCTTCCCCATCACAGCCTGATGCTTGTGCCTTTCTGTCAACAGCCCCAACCTCTCTGCCTGTGCCTCCCCTACCCTGTCTCTGACCCCTCTGGGTCATCATTGTCTAACCGGATCTCTCTCTCTCACTGACCTATGAGTCCTGTGGGGGCAGGACCCAGGCTGCCTCAGTCACCACTATGCCCCTCATGTTGTCCAGCATGAGCCAGGCACACAGCAGGCACTGAATTAATATTTTCTAGATAAAATAAATTCCAGTGGTTCACACCTGTAATCCCAACACTTTGGGAGGCCAAGGTGGGAGGATCACTTGAGTCCAGGAGTTCAAGTTCAGCCTGGAAAATATTGCGAGACCCTGTCTCTATAAAAAAATAAAATAATAAGAAAATTAGCTGGGCATGATGGTGCATGCCTGTAGTCTCAGCTACTTGGGAGGCTACGGTGGGAGGATTGCTCAAGCCCAGGAGTTGGAGGTTGTAGTGAGCTATGATTTTTATCACCACACTCCAGCCTGGCAGCAGTCCAAATAATAATAATGATAATGATAATAATAATAATAATAATAATAAATTCTACAGCTGGGAGTGGTGGTACACATCTGTAATCCCAGCTACTCAGAAGGATGAGTTGACACCGGGAGTTTGAGACCTGTCTAGGCAACATGGAGAGACCCCCTCCTCCTCAAAAAACAAACAAAAACTAAAAACAGGACGGGCGCGGTGGCTCATGCCTGTAATTCCAGCACTTTGGGAGGCCAAGGCGGGCAGATCACGCGGTCAGGAGATCAAAACCATCCTGGCTAACACAGTGAAACCCCATCTCTGCTAAAAATACAAAAAATTAGCGGGGCATGGTGGCAGGCGCCTGTAGTCCTAGCTACTCGGGAGGCTGAGGCAGGAGAATGGCATGAACCCAGGAGGCGGAGCTTGCAGTGAGCCGAGATAGTGTCACTGCCCTCCAGCCTGGGCGACAGAGCAAGACTCCTTCTCAAAAACAAAAACAAACAAACAAAACTAAAAACAAACTCACTTACACTAAATTAGTAAATTCTAGAATTCTAAGTTGATATGTTCCTACCTTTTTAAGGTTCTAAGGCTCTAAAAGTATGACTGTAAGTTTCCATGAGTGTATGTTTTCATCAGTCTAGGTTTCTAGATCAGACAAAGCTGGCAATCCACCAGTTGAATCTGGTTCATACTTTGTGGCATATACAGATTTCTCTCTCTCTCTCTTTTTTTTTTTTTTTTTTGAGACAGAGTTTTGCTATTGACGCCCAGGCTGGAGTACAATGGCACGATCTAGGCTCACTGCAACCTCCGCCTCTGAGGTTCAGGCGATTCTCCTGCCTCATCCTCCTGAGTAGCTGGGATTAGAGGCACGCGCCACCACACCCAGCTAATTTTTGTATTTTTAATAGAGACAGGGTTTTGCCGTGCTGGCCAGGCTGGTCTCAAACACCCAACCTCCAGTGATCCCCCCACCTTGGCCTCCCAAAGCGCTGGGATTATAGGCGTGAGCTACCGCGCCTAACCAGGTTTCTTATTGTTTTGAGACAGGGTCTCAACCTGTTGCCCAGGCTGGAGTGCAGTGGCACAATCTCGGCTCACTGCAACCTCTGCTTCCCGGGCTCAGGAGATTCTCCCACCTCAGCCTGTTGACTAGCTGGAACTACAGGCATGCGCCACCACACCTGGCTAATGTTTATATTTTTAGTAGAGACGGGGTTTCACCATGTTGGCCAGGCTGGTCTCGAACTCCTGGGCTCAAGCGATCCGCCCGCCTCGGCCTCTCAAAGTGCTGGGACTACAGGTTTCTAGATCAGCCAGGTTTCTTGAGCCAGCGCCATGGCTCATGCCTGTAATCCTAGCATTTTGGGAGGCCAAGGTGGGCAGATTGCCCGAGCCCAGGAGTTCAAGACCAGCCTGGCCATCATGGTGAAACCCCGCCTCAATTAAAAATACAAAAATTAGCCAGGCATGGTGGTGCGGGCCTGTAGTCCCAGCTACTCGGGACTCCCGAGGCGGGAGAATCTCATGAACCTGGGAGGTGGAGGTTGCAGTGAGCTGACATTGCGCCACTGCACTCCAGCCTGGGCAACAGAGTGAGACTCCACCTCAAATAAATAAATAAATAAATAAAGTTCCAAAAATCTTAGTATCAGAGATCCATCTTGTGATTATAAACTGCTGAGTTACTAAAGTTCTAAGATTTGGAGGGAACTGATTCTGACCTTTGGGTTTTAAGAATTCATGATTATGATCATCTATATTTTATGATTCTAGCGCTCCGTGTTTCTAAGATGTTAAGGTCCCAAGGGTCAAAGGTGCTAGGGTGTCATGTTTTAAAGGCTTATGATTATGACGTTCCATATCTCTGAGGCTCCTCAGGGTCTTTGCCAGTTTTAATGCTGATGATTAAACACTTCTAAGGTTCCAGACCTCTATGAATACTAAGTACTAAGGTTCAAGGGTCTACAGTTCTAAAGGTCTAAGGTCTTTCTATAACTATAAAGTTCTCTGGTCTTTGCTAATATTGTTCTGATACATCAAAGTAGGGTGACTACTAGGCACTCTGGCTTACCCCTGTAATCAAAGCACTTTCGGAGGCCGAGGTGGGAGGGTTATTTTAGCCCAGGAGTTCCACACCAGCCTGGGCAACATAGCAAGACCCCATCTTACAAAAAAATTTTTTTGTTTTGTTTTGAGACGGAGTTAAGCTCTTGTCACTTAGGATGGATTGAAATGGTGTGATCTCAGCTCACTGAAACCCCCATCTCCCGGGTTCAAGTGATTCTCCTGCCTCAGCCTCCTGGGTAGCTGAGATTACAGGTGCCCACCACCACACCCATCTAATTTTTGTATTTTTAGTAGTGTCACCATATTGGTCAGGCTGGTCTCAAACTCCTGATCTCAAGTGATCCATCCGCCTCAGCCTCCCAAAGTGCTGGGATTACAGGCATCCGCCACCATGCTTCGCCAAAAAAAAAAATTATTTTTAATTAGCCAGGCATGGTGGCGCATGCCTGTAGTTCCAGCTATTCAGGAGGCTGAGGTGGGAGGATCACTTGAGTCCAGGAGTTCAAGGCTGCAGTGAGCCATGATCACACCACTGCACTCCAGCCTGGGTGAAGAGTGAGACCCTGACTCAAAAAAAAAAAAAAAATGGTAGGGTGACCCACTGTACTGGTTGGCCCAAGGCTGAGAGTTTCGGTGGTAAAAGCAGGAAGGTTTTGGTCACTCTATGTCAGATTTCTCAAGATCCACATTTCTAATTGGAAACTCCAAAGGTTTAGTATTATCAAGTCCCAAAGGTTCCTGTGTATTACAGTTTCAGTTTCTAAGGGCCTATGATCCTAGGGAACAATGACTAAAATTTCTTAGGTCTGTGATGATAACGTTTCACATTTCCAAAGCTCTTTTTTTTTTTTTTTTTTTTTTTTTTTTGAGATAGGTTCTTGCTTTACTGCTGGGGCTGGAGTGCAGTGGCGCGATCTTGACTCACTGCAATCTCCACCTCACAGTCTCAGGCCATCCTCCCACCTCAGCCTCCCAAATAGCTGGAACTACAGATGCATGCCACCACGCCTGGCTAATTTTTTTTTTTATTTTTATTTTTAGTAGAGACAGGGTTTCACTATGTTGGCGAACATGGTCTCGAACTCCTGCACTCAAGAGATCTGTCCACCTTTGCCTCCCAAAGTGCTGGGATTACAGGCGTGAGCCACCGCGCCAGGCCAGAGGTCTTCATTTCAAGAGGTCTAAGAATCTCTTAGACATTTCAAGTTCCAAGGATCTGATGGCTCTGCATTTCGGGATTCTAAGGGAATATGCTTACAGAGTCCCACCATTCTGGGACTGTACATTTCTAAGGCTCTAAGGCTGTGCTGACCTATACAGCAGTCACAAGCCACATGTGGCTATTTAAATTTAATTAAAACAGGCCGGGTGCCGTGGCTCATGCCTGTAATCTCAGCACTTTGGGAGGCCGAGACATGTGGATCACCTGAGGTTGGGAGTTCGAGACCAGCCTGACCAACATGGAGAAACCCCGTCTCTAGTAAAAATACAAAATTAGCTGGGCGTGGTGGCACATGCCTGTAATCCCAGCTACTAGGGAGGCTGAGGCAGGAGAATCGCTTGAACCTGGGAGGTGGAGGTTGCGGTGAGCCGAGATCGCGCCACTGCACTCCAGCCTGGGCAACAAGAGCGAAACTCCGTCTCAAAAAAAAAAAAAAAAAAAACACCAGGCCAGGTGCAGTGGCTCATGCCTGTAATCCCAGCACTTTGGGAAGCCAAAGCAAGTGGATCACTTAAGATCAGAAGTTCAAAACCAGCCTGGCAAACACAGTGAAACCCGGTGTCTACTAAAAATACAAAAAGAATTAGCCGGGTGTGGTGGCGGGCACCTGTAGTCCCAGCTAGTCAGGGGGCTGAGGTAGGAGGATGGCTTGAGCCGGTGAGGTGGAGATTGCAGTGACCCAAGATCTCACCACTACACCCCAGCCGGGGCAACAGAATAAGACTCTGTCTCAAAAAATATATATATAAATAAATTTAATTAAAACTAAATAAAATTTAAAACTCAAAGGCTGTCACATAGCACTGGCCACATTTCTAGCATTCAAAAGTCACAGAGACTAGTGATTATTATATGGTACATTATGGATATAGACTATTTCCACCATCATGGAAAGTTCTATTGGACAGTGCTGGTCTCTTTTCCCACCCTCCCAGCCACCAAGGTTCTCGGGCACCCTTCCCCCTTCCCCCTCCTCCTCATCCCACCCCAGCCCTCCTCCAGGTACCTGCCAAGGCCTTGATCCGGGAGCACTCAAAGAGCGAGGCCGCTGCGGTGGACGCAGCCGGCTGCTCCCGCTCCCAGCCCCGATCCGGACTCTCCCAGCGGGCAGCAGGGTTGTTGTTAGGAGCAGGCAGGCCCTCCATGTTGTCCACTTCCCCTGGTACCTGCGCCATCGGGGAAGGTGAGGCCTGGACATAGGGAGAGGTAGGTTAGGTCTAGGATCAAGTCTCATTTCTAACAGTGACTGGCTTTGAGTCCTGTCCCCTCTCTTGTCCTCAATTTCTCTGTCTTTAAAGTGGACATAATAACAATGATAAGGCCTAGGCACAGTGGCTCATGCCTGTAATCCCAGCACTTTGGGAGGCAGAGGCAGGAGAATCGCTTGAGCCCAGGGGTTGGAGACCAGCCTGGGCAACATAGCAAGATTTCATCTCTATAAAAATAAAAATAAGCCAGGCGCAGTGGCTCAGGCCTATAATCCCAACACTTTGAGAGGCTGAGGAGGGCGGATTGCTTGAGCCCAGGAGTTCGAGACAAGCCTGGGCAACATGGTGAAACCCTGTCTCTACAAAAAAATACAAAAATTGGCCAGGCACGGTGGCTCACACCTATAATCCCAGCACTTTGGGAGGCAGAGGCGGGCGGATCACCTGAGGTTGGGAGTTCGAGATCAGCCTGACCAACATGGAGAACGCTGTCTCTAATAAAAATACAAAATTCTCCAGGCGAGGTGGAGTATGCCTGTAATCCCAGCTACTCGGGAGGCTGAGGCAGGAGAAGCGCTTGAACCCGGGAGGCGGAGGTTGTGGTGAGCCAAGATCATGCCATTGCACTCCAGCCTGGGCAACAAAAGCGAAACTCTGTCTCAAAAAAAAAAAAAAAAAAAAAATAGCTGGATGTGGTGGCAACGTGCCTGTAATCCCAGCTACTCAGGAGGCTGAGGTGTGAGGATGGCTTGAGCCTGTGAAGTGGAGGTTGCAGTGAGCCAAGATAGCGCCACTGCACTCCAGCCTGGGCAGCAGAGCCAGAAACTGTCTTTTAAAAAAATTTAAAAATTAGCCAAATGTGGTGGTTGCCACCCGTAGTCCCAGCTATTTAGGAGGCTGAGGCAGGAAGATGGCTTGAGCCCAAGAAGCCAAGGCTACAGTGATCTATAATAGTGACACTGCACTCCAAACTGGGCAATATGGCGATACCCTATTTCTAAATAATAATAATAATAATGTTCACCCTCACCACTTCACAGGATGTGATAAAACACATGGCTTAGCCCCTGGCACATATTAAGGGCTCAGCAAATTGTCACTGTTATTATTAGAACAATAGAGTTCTGTAATGCAGTAATAACAATAATGAACATATTGAACACTTGCACTGTGGTCAGTACTTCATGTACCTTCTCTTATTATTTCCACAAATTTAATTCCCTAACAGTTGGCTATTATTACACCTATTTTACAGAGGAGGAAACTGAGGCACAGAGGAGTTGATCTATTTTTCCAAGGTTACACAGCCAGTTAGTATCTAGGATTCAAACATAGATGATAGGGCCAGGCGCGGTGGCTCATGCATGTAATCCCAGCACTTTTTGGGGCTGAGATGGGTAGATCACCTGAGGTCAGGAGTTCAAGACCGGCCTGGCCAACATGGTGAAACCCTGTCTCTAAAAATACAAAAATTAGCTGGGCGTGGTGTCACACACTTGTAATCCCAGGTATTCAGGAGGCTGAGGCAGGAGAATCACTTGAACCTGGGAGGTGGAGGCTGCAGTGAGCCGAGATCATGCCAATGCACTCCAGCCTGGGAGACAGAGCAAGACTCCGTCTCAAAAAAAAAAAAGGTGATAGAATATTTGCATTAATGGGGCTGGGCACAGTGGGTCCTGCCTGTAATCCCAGCACTTTGGGAGGCCGAGGCAGGCGGATCACGAGGTGAGGAGTTCGAGACCAGCCTGGCCAACATGGTGAAACCCGGTCTCTACTGAAAATACAAAAATTAGCTGGGTGTGGTTTCGGGCTACTGTAATCTCAGCTACTCAGGAGGCTGAGGGAGGAGAATCGTTTGAACCCAGGAGGCGCAGGTTGCAATGAGCTGAGATTGTGCCACTGCACTCTATCCTGGGCGACAGAGTAAGACTCATTCTCAAGAAAAAAAGAAGAAGAAGAAGAAGAAAAATTTAAAGTGGAGGGGGCAGGCACAGTGGCTCATACCTGTAATCCCAGCACTTTGGGAGGCCAAGGCAGGCAGATCGCTTGAGGTCAGGAGTTCAAGACCAGCCCGGCCAACATGGTGAAACCCCATCTCTACTAAAAATACAAAAATGAGCTGGGCATGGTAGTGCATGCCTGCAATCCCAGCTACTCAGGAGGCTGAGGCAGGAGAATCGCTTGAACCTGGGAAGGCAGAGGTTGCAGTGAGCCAAGATGGCACCACTGCACTCCGGCTTGGGCAACAGGGCGAGACACCATCTCAAACAAAAATAAAAAAATAAAAATAGGCCGGGCACGGTGGCTCATGCCTGTTATCCTGGCACTTAGGGAGGCCAAGGCGGGTGGATTGCCTGAGCTCAGGGGTTCGAGACCAGTCTGGGCAACTTGGTGAAACTCCATCTCTACTAAAATACAAGAAATTAGCCAGGCATGGCATTGTGCACCTATAATCCCAGCTACTCAGGAGACTGAGACAGTAGAATCGCTTGAACCTGGGAGACAGAGGTTGCAGTGAGCTGAGATCGTGCCACTGCACTCCAGCCTGGGCGACAGAGTGAGACCCCATCTCAGAAAAAATAAAATTAAATTAAATGAAAATAAAAAAATAGAAAACAAAAAATTATTTAAAAAAAGAAGAAATTGGCCGGGCACAGTGGCTCACACCTGTAATCCCAGCACTTTGGGAGGCCAAGGTGGGTGAATCACCTGAGGTCAGGAGTTCCAGACCAGCCTGGCCAACATGGTGAAACCCCGCCTCTACTAAAAATATAAAAACTAGCCGGGTATGGTGGTACATGCCTGTAATCCCAGCTACTCAGGAGGCTGAGACAGGAGAATTGCTTGAACCCAGGAGGCGGAGGTCGCAGTGAGCCGAGATCGCACCACTGCACTCTAGCCTGGGTGAGAGAGTGAGACTCCATCTCAAAAAAAACAAAAAAAAAGAGAAGAAATTTAAAGGGTTAAGTGACATTAGATGTATCTCCTTTACCTTCTGGGCCCCCAGGCCTGATTCTAAGACTAACGGCTGGGCGTGGTGGCTCACACCTGTAATCCTAGCACTTTGGGAGTCTGAGGCGGGTGGATCACGAGGTCAGGAGTTCAAGACCAGCCTGGCCAACATGGTGAAACCCCATCTCTACTAAAAACACAAAAATTAGGTGGGCAAGGTTGCAGGTGCCTGTAATCCCAGCTACTCAGGAGGCTGAGGCAGGAGAATTGCTTGAAACCGGGAGGCGAAGGTTGTAGTGAGCCGAGATTGTGCCACTAAACTCTAGCCTGGGCGACAGAGTAAGACTCCTTCTCAAAAGAAAAAGGAAAAAAAAAAGACTAACAAAGGAGGAAGTTGGGAGATCAATGTCCTCAAAAGACCCAGACAATTGCCAACCCACTGAATTCTAGGAAGGCAGGGTCTAAGTCTTGGTCAGTAGAGTGAGTAGAGTGGAAATTGTCCCTTAGGGGGACACATTGAAATCTTTTTTTTTTTTCTGAGACAAGGTATTGCTCTATCACCCAGGCTAGAGTGCAGTGACACAATCATAGCTCCCTGTAGCCTCCAACTCTTGTGCTCACGCGATCCTCCCACCTCAGCCTCCTGAGTAGATGGGACTAGAGGCAAGCTCCACCATGACCAGGTAATTTTTGTATTTTTTGTAGAGAGGGGGTCTCACTATGTTGCTCAGGCTGGTCTCAAACATCTGGGCTCAAGCTATTTGCCCACTTCAACTTCCCAAAGTGCTGGGGTTACACATGTGAGCCACTGTGCCCAGTCCCAAATCCATTTTTGTTCTTCCCTCCTTCCATGGAAAAGTGAAAGTGAGCACACAGCTACCTACCACCTGTGTGACCTTGGCTGAAATACTTCCACTCTTTGGGCCTTAGTTTGTTCATCTGCAAAATAGTAATGATGGCCCGGCACGGTGGCTCATGCTTATAATCTCAGCACTTTGGGAGGTCAAGGTAGGTGGATCACTTGAGGCCAGGAATTCGAGACCGGCCTGGCCAACATGGCAAAACCCGGTCTTTACTAAAAAAAATACAAAAATTAGCCAGGCGTGGTGGCACGTGTCTGTAGTCCCAGTTACTTGGGAGGCTGAGGCAGGAGAATCGCTTGAACCTGGGGGATGGAGGTTGCAGTGAGCTGAGATTGACTCACTGCACTCCAGCCTGAATGACAGAATGAAACTCTGTCACACACACACAAAAGGGTAGGCCAGGCGGTGGCTCACGCCTATAATCCCAGCACTTTGAGAGGCCAAGGAGGTGGGTGGGTCACCTGAGGTCAAGAGTTGGAGACCAGCCTTACCAACATAGTGAAACCCCATGTCTACTAAAAATTCAAAATTAGCCAGGCATGGTAGCTCATGCCCGTAATCCCAGCTACTTGGGAGGCTGAGGCAGGAGAACTGCTTGAAGTCGGGAGGCAGAGGTTGCAGTGAGCCAAGATCGCGCCATTACACTCCAACTTGGGTGACAAGAGTGAAACTCCGTCTCAAAAAAAAAAAAAAGTAATGATAATCGTACCCGTTTCTTAGCGGTGTTTGAAGAGGTAAGTTATTAATGCAGGGATCATGGTATCTGGTACACTGCAAGCCCTTGATACATGTTCCTTGCTATTATTCTTCATCTTTTCCTCACACATCTCAGCAAATCGATTTGCCTCTTCTGGAGTCAGACAGAAATGAGTTCAAGTTCCGCTTTATTCTTGCTGTATCTTTAACCGAGTATCTTTAACTTGGCCTTTCTGTGCCTCAGTTTCCCTCCCTGTTAAACGGTGGTTACAGCTGTTTTCTTCAGTGGAAGACACTTAGAGATGGGGAGGCCCTTAGCACTCCTGTTAGCCCTCTGGCCAGGCCGAGGATCAGCTCTGGCCATAACGCGATTGAATGGGAAGGAAGGGAGCAGGTAATAGGGAAGCCGGGAAGGGGTGTCCTGCGAGCCTCCCCCCAACACCCCCCCCCCCCCGCAAAGGCTGGTGGGGCGCTGGGCTGCGGTGGCATCAGAGGCTTTAACCCTTCCCAGGCCGCGCCTCTCTCCCTGCGGTCCAGACACTGCGCCCAAGGAGGGGGCCTGGGAAGGACAAGGCCTGGGGGTAAGACCCACGCGTGGCGCGGAAGCTAGACCGGGTGGGGGGGTTGTGGGCTCGTCCTGCCCTCGACCCTTTGCCTCCCTCCAGCCGGGGAGACCCGGGGCTCCAGCCATGCCCCGTGCGCGCGGAGGAGGGATGCTCGCCAGGTGGGGACATACTTGGGGGAGGGGCTGTCGGCCCCCCTAGCAGCTCACCTGGGCCCGCGGCCGCCAGCGTCGCTGTCTCCGCTGCTCGCCGCGACCGACCGCCCTCCCTGTCGGCGTCCGCTGCCCGGCCCGGCCCGGCCCGGCCCAGCCCGGCTCAGCTCGGCCCCGCCGGCCCGCGGCTCAGCCAGATCCGCATGCGCCGCCGCGCCTCCCTCTCTCGCGCCGCCGCCGCGCTCAGCGCGCCCCCGGGACCCCCTCCCGCCCGCGGTCCCCGCGCCCCGCCGCCCGAGGCCCACGCGCAGTCACACCCGGCCGCGGCGTGGGGTGCACGGCTGCACTCGCGAGGGCACGGCGGCGTCACGCGCTGCACACTCCCACGGGGTCACGCTCGCCACGCTGCCATACTCGCGGGGGCCTCGGCGCACAAACTCACCCCCGCATCCACGCGCTTGCGCGCCGTCACTCCCTCCTGTGGGGTCTCACGGGGTCACACCCTCACGCCGTCACACGCGGCGTCCACACTGGAACGGTGTCACCCACCACCACACAAATCCAATAGGGTAACCACCGCCCACGCGGCGTCACACACAAATGCACCTGTCACACACAGCCGCACACTCCCCGGCAGTCACAAACAGTGTCATAGGCCCACACATCACGCACAGCTTCACAGCCACAGTGTCACACACTCTACACACTCGAACCTTCATAGCAGTCGCCCCGCACATGCTGCACCGCCGCACCTCACACATCATAGTCACAGGGGGTCACAATGAGCAGCTCAACACAGACACCCACAGCCACACACTCGAATGGGGTCCCGGTGTCACACATCCTTACACGAGACATGTGGTGTCACACACTGTCACAGTCTAATTAGTCTCACGCTTCCATGTAGCACACCTCACACGTCCCACACCCTATCGTACAGGCTGACGCAGTGTCACCCACGGTGTCACCACAAGGTCACAAAAGAACAGAATCAATGCCTGCCACACGTGGTGTCACGCACGTGTAGTCACACTGTAACACGGGATCACACTCAGAGGATGACACAAGGTGTCACCCACAGTCCTGCTTGCCCTCCGGGTCACTGAGTCACACAGGGTCATATAAGTGCATAGGTACGCCGTGACACAGTGTCTTACATCCAAGTGCACACACACACTCTGTCCTCCTAACTTTCTCCCCTTGCTGGTTCTGGGAGGCCCTGGGGCTTAGAGTGCGCCCCAGATCCGCTCCAGGCTCCGGGAGAGGGGGCGTGAGCTACGAGAGGCCGTGGGTGAGGCTCGCCTGGCCCCGCCCCTCTCCGGGAGGTGGAGCGCGGAGGCAGGGCGCTGAGTGACAAGTTATCTCGGCTCCGTCCACTCTATTTGTTGCTATGTGGAGGCGTGGCCTTCTGTGGCCCCGCCTTCCAGTCTAAGTGGCGCGCAGAGAGGGCGGTGCTGGACGGTGAGCGAATGCAAGCTGACGCCTGCCCCGCCCATCCGCGTTAGGCCCCGCCCCTTGACCTGAGCCGCGGGCGGAGAGTCTGAGGCGTGGCCCTTCGAGCCAGCTCCGCCCCGTTGTTCCTGGCTTGAGTAGGGCAGAGAGCACCGCCCAGCAGCCAGTGGGTTCCCGCGCGTGCCGAGACTCTGAGGCCTTGCACCCCCACGATCCCGTACGATGGCCGTCAAGAAGATCGCGATCTTCGGCGCCACTGGCCAGACCGGGCTCACCACCCTGGCGCAGGCGGTGCAAGCAGGCATGAGCCGGGGCGGGCGGGGCATGTCACGGGACAGACGGGCAGAACTTTAGGAAGGGGCACCATGGGGTCGGGCCGAGGCTGATTGGGGCCATGAGCGCCCCAGCCAGGTGTATGAGGACTCAGGGGCCAAAGCAAGTGGCCACGGGGGCAGAAATGGGGAAAGATGTGAGATCCAAGTTTATGTGAGTCCAAGCCAGAGAGGAATTGGCCCCGGGAGCCCCGGGAGGACTCCACTGGCACAGTCGTGTGTAAGTCCAGGGCTCTTATGCAATGCGGTTGTCATTATTGTGGTTGTGGTGGTGGTTGTTCGCACTCCCAGAGAGGATTTACTAAGCCAAGCTTGCTCTGTCGTCTCTTCACATGAGAGCTTTCAAAATGGGGTGGGAACTAGTATCACCCTACTTGACAGATGAGAAAACTGAGACCCAGAGAGTGACTTGCCCAATATCACACAGCTGTTAACTGACAGGACTGGGATTTGAACTCAGCTCATGCTCTTAACCACCACAAGTCCCCAGGCTGGAAACTGAAAAAGTTGGGGGGTCAGGTTGCTGCGAGTACCTAATGGGAAGGAGTCACAGAGAGACATGAGTGAAGACTTGGGGACAGCAGTCCTGGGAAAGTCAATGAGGGCTGAAAATTTGGAGTTGCCCCAGGAGAGAGGGCAGAAAAGGGGATAACCATCCCCCAGCACTCCCTGCCCCCACAGCCCAGACTTGACCAACTCCCAGCTGGGCCTGGGACTTCCAGATATGGGGCCCCACCCTTGCAGGCCTTGGGGACGCTGAAGATATTGACTATCTGCGTGCCCCAAAAGGGTGGAGGCCAACAGGACCCCACTCTGCTGTCTCCCTTGGAGGGACTCTGAAAGTTCTTCTCTAGGTCCATAACTCTCCCCTTCCCCAGGGAGACCACGTGAGGATCTTGACTTGTGGAGAATGGGGAGCTGTGGGCCTCTCAGTAAAAACCAGTTTGCTGATAAGCATTTATTCGGGAGTAATGGAGAAGGAAGTAAGAGAGAGAAGTTGAGAGGCGCTGAGTCACCTGGAAATCCACTAATTCCACCGAATTCCACTCGCCCACCCTGCTGGTCATAGCTGGGACTGCACTCAGAGGGTTAAGAACTGGAGCCTAGGGAGCTTCAGAGCTGTGGCTCTGAAAAATCTCTTCCCAGCTCTCAGCTTTGCTGTCCCCCTCAGCAAAGGGAAGGGCTGGCCAGGCACGGTGGATCATGCCTATAATCCCAGCACTTTGGGAGGCCAAGGCGGGAGGATGGCTTGAGGCCAGGAGTTTGAGACTAGCCTGGGCAACGTAGCAAGACCCCATCTCTACAAAAATACAAAAAAAAAATAAATTAGCTGGGCGTGGTGATGCATGCCTGTAGTCCCAGCTACTCAGAAGGCTCAGGTGGGAGGATTGCTTGAGCTCAGGAGTTCAAGGCTACAGTGAGCTGTGTTTGCACCACTGCACTCCAGCCTGGGTGACAGGGTGAGACCCTGTCTCTCAAATTTAAAAAAATACATAAAAAGAAAGAAAAAGAGGCTGGGTGCGGTGGCTCACGCCTGTAATCTCAGCACTTTGGGAGGCTGAGGCAGGTGGATCACGAGGTCAGGAGTTCGAGACCAGCCTGGCCAATATAGTGAAACCCCGTCTCTACTAAAAATACGAAAAATTAGCCGGGCATGGTGGCTGGTGCCTGTAATCGCAGTTACTTGGCAGACTGAGGCAGGAGAATAGCTTGAATCCGGGAGGCAGAGGTTGTGGTGAGCCGAGATTACGCCACTGCATTCCAGCCTGGGCGACAAGAGTGAAACTCTGTCTCAAAAAAAAAAAAATTAGCTGGGCACAGTGGTACGTGCCTGTAATTCCAGGTACTTGGGAGGCTGAGGCACAAGAATCGCTTGAACCTGGGAGGTTGCAGTGAGCTAAGATTGCATCACTGCACCACTGCACTCCAGCCTGGGTGACACAGCAAGATGAAAGGAAAGAAGGAAGGAAGAAAAGGAGGGAGGGATGGAGGGAGGGAGGGAGGGAAGGAAAGAAGGGAGGGAAGGAGGGAGGGAGGGAGGGAGGGAGGGAGAAGGGGCTTGGATTAACTGGAGTTCACAATGGTTCTGTAGGGCCAAGAGTCTTAACAGGCATGAACTCTGGTGCCAGCCTGCCCACATTCAAGTCACCAGCTCTGCGGCTTACAGCCTTTGTGACCAAATGCCTTGTCATCTGTGTACCTAGATATGTGTAAGATCATGACAAAACTGGTAGTACTTGCCCTAGGGCTCTTGGGATAATTAAATGAGATCTTATATAGGAGGTACTTAGACTAGCATTGAATTTTGCAGTCTCTGGATCAGACTTACTTAGGTAAAAATTCAACCTTCTCTACCTACTAGCTGTGTGATCCTGGCCCGGTTGCCTAAAATTGCCTCAGTTTCCCCATCAATGTGGACAGGATAATGATACCTACCTTGCAGGGTTGTTGCAACCTGATGCTTCTCAAACTGTGAGTTACAATGAGATCTGAAACATATGGTCACAACGTGTATCAACAATATAGGGTAACAAATGATGACATAGTATCAAAATGTATCACATGTTAAGTATTAGTTTTGTGAAACTCATTTTAATTATATATGTATGCGTTTGTGTACACCAGGTTAGGCAATGAAATTTTTTGTATTGATGGCTGATTTTTTTTTTTTTTTTTTTTTTTTTTTGAGACAAGAGTCTCACTCTGCCGCCCAGGCTGGAGTGCAGTGGCACAATCTTAGCTCACTGCAAGCTCCGCCTCCCGAGTTCAGCCATTCTCCTGCTTCAGCCTCCCAAGTAGCTGGGACTACAGGCGCCTGCCACCATGCCCAGCTAATTTTTTTTGTATTTTTAGTAAAGATGGGGTTTCACCATGTTAACCAGGATGGTCTCCATCTCCTGACCTCATGATCCGCCCGCCTCAGCCTCCCAAAGTGCTGGGATTACAGGCGTGAGCCACCACGCCCGGCCAATGGCTGAGATTTTCAAAAAGCTTAAAAAGAGGCCAGGCACCATGGCTCACGCCTGTAATCCCAGCACTTTGGGAGGCCAAGGTGGGCGGATCACAAGGTCAGGAGATCGAGACCACCCTGGCTAACACCGTGAAACCCCATCTCTACTAAAAATACAAAAAATTCGCCGGGTGTTGTGGTGCACACCTATAATCCCAGCTACTCTGGAGGCTGAGGTGGGAGAATCGCTTGAACCTGGGAGGCGGAGGTTGCAGTGAGCTGAGATTGCGCCACTGCACTCCAGCCTGGGCAAGAGAGTGAGACTTCATCTCAAAAAAAAAAAAAAAAAGAATGCCCATATTGGCCCATGCAAGCCCCTGCTGCTCCCCCATGTGTGAGGGCAGCACAGATCTTGTGTCATTCCCCTATGAAAGGTGGTCACATAGCACGGGGAGGCTGGTGCTGTGATCCTCACTTCAGAGATGAGGAAGCTGAGGTCCAATCACGGAAGAGGTTGCATGAGGTTCCTCAGCTGGTAAGTGGCAGAGCTGGAGTTTGGATCAAGGTCCCTGGGGCAGTAATGCCTGTGCTTTTGTGTTTACAAAGGTTCAGGGAGATGGCAGAAAACATGACACAGTCCCTGGACCCACAGGGTGCTTGGTTTGCTGCAGGTCAGCATAAAGAGGGCTGTGACAGAGGAAGTACAAGTTACTGGGGGGACCGGGTAAAGAGGGTAAAGGGTGTTCCAGGCAGAGGGCACAGCACGTGCAAAGTCCAGGAGGCAGGAAGCAGCACCATGCATTTGAGGAACTGAAAGAAGAGCAGTTGGGGCCGGGTGCAGTGGCTCATGCCTGTAATCCCAACACTTTGGGGGGCTGAGGCAGGTGGATCACACAGTCAGGAGTTCGAGACCAGCCTGGCTAACATCGTGAAACCCCATCTCTACTAAAAATACAAAAAAATTAGCCAGGCATGGTGGCAGGCGCCTGTAATCACAGCTACTCAGGAGGCTGAGGCAGGAGAATCGCTTGAACCCATGAGACGGAGGTTGCAGTGAGCCGAGACTGCACCACTGCACTCCAGACTGGGCAACAGAGCGAGACTCCGTCTCAGAAAAAAAAAAAAAAAAATGTGCTGTGGGTGAAGAGGGCAGAGGCTTCAGCAGAGCCTGGAGAGGAGAAGCCAGATCCCGAGGGGCCTGGAAGGCTGGCATGAGGAGCATGGGTTTTATCACAGGGCATTTCAGGCTTGCGGGAGGCAACTGAGCAGAGAGGCACTTAAATATTACTGTGGAGAACTCTGTCTGGCTGCTGTGTGGAATATGGATTGGAGAGGGCAGGACTGGGTCCAGGAGCCCAGGGAGGACCCAGGAAAGGGACCAGGAAGGAGACGTAGGCCTGGATCAGGCCAGGAGATAAAGTTGCAAAATGGTTACAAGGTGTAATAGGCCACGCTCGGTAGCTCATGCCTGTAATCCCAGCACTTTGGGAGGCCATGCCAGGCAGATTACTTGAGTCCAGGAGTTCGAGACCAGCCTGGCCAACATGCAAAACCCCATCTCTTTTTTTAATTTTTTTATTGTGTCTTTTTGGGTTTTTTGGTTTTTTATGTTTATTGTTGTTGTTGTTGTTTGTTTTGTTTTGTTTTGTTTTGTTTGAGACGGAGTTTCGCTCTTGTTGCCCAGGCTGGCGTGCAATGGCACAATCTCAGCTGACTGCAATCTCTACCTCCTGGGTTCAAGCGATTCTTCTGCCTCAGCCTCCCAAGTAGCTGGGATTACAGGCATGCACCACCATGCCTGGCTAATTTTGTATTTTTAGTAGAGGCGGGGTTTCCCTGTGTTGGTCAGGCTGGTCTTGGACTTCCAACTTCAGGTGATCCACCTGCCTTGGCCTCCCAAAGTGCTGGGATTACAGGCGTGAGCCATCGCGCCCAGCACCAGGTAACTCTTATTTCTGTGCCAGGTAGTAGCCTAAACTTTTTGTTAATTTAATTTAATTTAATTTAATTTAATTTATTTATTTATTTTTGAGACAGAGTCTTGTTCTGTAGCCCAGGCTGGAGTGCAGTGGTACAATCATAGCTCACTACAGCCTCAGCCACCTGAGTAGCTGAGACTACAGGTTGCGCCAGCACACCTGGCTAGATTTTTTTTATTTTTTTTGCAGAGACGGGGTTTCACTATGTTGCCCAGTCTGGTCTCAAACTCCTGGCCTCAAACAATCTTCCTGTCTTGGCCTCCCAAAGCACTGGGATTATAATAGGCATCAGCCCAGGAATTTGAGGTTACAGTGAGCTATGATTGGCGCCCCTGCACTCCAGCCTGGGCAACAGAGCAAGACCCTGTCTCTAAATATATATATATATATATATATATATATGTTGCTATTACAGTATACCCAAATGTTAACATCCTTTGCCAATGTTTAAAACAAAGGAAGAAATATGTTAGTTGTGAACTTTAAAATGTGTGTGTATGTGTGTGTGTGTTGAAGAGAAACAAAATTATCCAAAATTATTTTGGGAAGGAACATACTAAGACAATATTAAAAATCTTTAATGACCACTAAAGGAGGGCTGGGCTTCCCAGCAGTAAGGCTGGGCAGCAGGGGCTGGGACCAATCCCAGCACTGGTCAGTCTGTAGGCAACCCATGTCCCCCTCAGAACCTCAGTTTCTTCCAGGACCATGGATGGGAGACAGAGACCAGTGCAATGCCTGCATTAACCCTTTAGTTGTTAGAGGGTAGGGAAGTTGCTGGCTGGGTACAGTGGCTTACGCCTGTAATCCTAGCACTTTGGGAGGCCAAGGTGGGTGGATCACCTGAGGTTAGGAGTTCAAGACCAGCCTGGCCAACATGGTAAAACCCTATCTCTACTAGAAACACAAAAATTAGTTGGATGTGGTGGCATGCGCCTGTAGTCCCAGCTACTCGGGAGGCTGAGGCAAAAGAATCGCTTGAACTTGGGAGGCGGAGGTTGCAGTGAGCTGAGATCATGCCACTGTGCTCCAGCCTGGGCAACAGAGGGAGACTCTATCTCAAAAAAAATAATAATGATAGCCAGGTGTGGTGGCACGTGCCTGAACCCGGGAGGCGGAGGTTGCAGTGAGCCGAGATTGTGCCACTGCACTCTAGCCTGGGTTACAGAGTGAGATTCCGTCTCAAAAAATAATAATAATAATAAATAGAAGGTAAGGAATTTACAGGGTGTGGTGCTTGGAGGCTTCAGTTCAGATTATTTATGAATTATCATGAAGGTATGGTCTTTTTTTTTTTTTTTTTTTTTTTTTTTTTTTTTTTTGAGATAGAGTCTCGCTTTGTCATCCAGGCTGGAGTGCACTGGTGCAATCTCTGCTCACTGCAACCTCCGCCTGTCGGGTCAAGTGATTCTTTTGCCTCAGCTTCCCAAGTACTTGGGATTACAGGTATGTGCCACCATGCCTGGCTAATTTTGTATTTTTAGTGGCAATGGGGTTTCATCATGTTGTCCAGGCTGGTCTCAAACTCCTGACCTCAGGTGATCTGCCCGCCTCAGCCTCCCAAAGTGTTGAGATTACAGGCGTGAGCCACCATGCCTGGCCAAGGTATGGTCTATTTTAATAATCAGCCCAATACTAAGCATCAACTGTAGGTATGCCAGCAAAAATGTTTGAAGGCCACGGCGCAGTGGCTCATGGGGAGGCTGAGGCAGGCAGATCACCTGAGCCCAGGAGTTCAAGACCAGCCTGGGCAACATGGCAAAACCCCTTCTCTACAAAAGATTGCAAAATTAGCTGGGTGTGGTGGTGCACACTGTGGTCCCAGCTACTTGGGGTGCTGAGATGGGAGGATCAGTTGAACCCCGGAGGTTGAGGCTGCAGTGAGCTGTGACTGCACCATTGCACAGCAGCCTGGGCAAGTGAGCAAGACCCTGTCTCAAAAACAAAACAAACAAAAAGAAAAAACCAAAAATGTTTGAAGACCACTTCCCCAGAACAGAGGAGGGGATGGATTTGAGAGTTCATGGTGGCTTCTAGGACCCAGCTCCTGGAGCCCAAGAGTGCCAGCCCACTGACCAGGCTCTCTGCTCCTCTTTGCCCACAGGTTACGAAGTGACAGTGCTGGTGCGGGACTCCTCCAGGCTGCCATCAGAGGGGCCCCGGCCGGCCCACGTGGTAGTGGGAGATGTTCTGCAGGCAGCCGATGTGGACAAGACCGTGGCTGGGCAGGACGCTGTCATCGTGCTGCTGGGCACCCGCAATGACCTCAGTACTGAGCCCCCCCTCTGCCCACGGCCCTCCCCTACACCTCGGCCCCCAGCGCCACCCCCGCCCCCGGCCCCGCCCCTGCCACCCCTGCCGCCGCCGCCGCCCACCAGTGACAGCCACTCTCTGTCCCCTCTAAGGTCCCACGACAGTGATGTCCGAGGGCGCCCGGAACATTGTGGCAGCCATGAAGGCTCATGGTGTGGACAAGGTCGTGGCCTGCACCTCGGGTGGGTGGTGGGATCATGGAGGTGGGGCTGAACTGGGGGGTACTGGGGAGGCAGCCCAGGGGCCTCTGAAAGGTGACGCTGAAGCCATTCCATGTTACTGTGCATTTACTGAACACCAGCTGTGTGCCTGAACCTTACTGGGTGATGCTGGGGACACAGTGGTGACCTGTACAGCCCTGGGCCCTGCTCACACAAGGCTCACAGAGAGAGGTGGTAAACAGATCCATGATCAAACTGACATCCAGATCATCGGAGCTGGGATCGGGAGGCAGGCAGAGGGGATAGGGCCACAATGGGAGAAACTACAGGACTATGGGAGCCCAGAGGAGGCGTCCGACTTAGGCTGAGAGAGGTCAGGGTAGGCCTCCCAGAGGAAGTGATAGAGCTGTGGATAGACACTAGGTCTCTGCCCTCACAGAGCTCCCGATTATGGGGACACAGACATTAAGCAAATAGTTGCCCTGTATAATCATTTATTTATTTATTTATTTATTTATAGTTATTTTGAGGTTTGTTTGAGATAGAGTCTTGCTCTGATGCCCAGGCTGGAGTGCAGTGGCGTGATCTTGGCTCCCTGCAACCTCCGCCTCCCGGAGGTGGTTCTCCTGCCTCAAGTGATTCTCCTGCCTCTGCCTCCCAGGTAGCTGGGACTACAGGTGTGCACCACCATGCCCAGCTAATTTTTGTATTTTTAGTAGAGACAGGGTTTCGCCATGTTGGCCAGGCTAGTCTCGAACTCCTGACCTCAAGTGTGTTTCATGACACAAATTGCCTCCCTGGAAAGGGAAGTGGCATGAGGGAGGGCTGCCTGATGATTGTAATTACACTCCAGGCAGAGGACAAAGCAAGCAAAGAGGCCTGGAGGCCAGACCTAGTTGGAGGGTAGGAAGCAAAATCATTTATGGCTTTTTTCCTCAAGCTCTGAAATGGAAAAGTAATACACGAGTAAACTTGCGATTTCAGAATGGTTCACTTTTTTTTTTTTTTTTTGAGACTTTCTGTCACCCAGGCTGGAGTGCAGTGGTGCAACCATGGCTCACTGCAGCCTCAGTCTGGGTTCAAGTGATCCTCCCCACTGCAGCCTCCCAAGCGGCTGGGACTACAGGCATGCACCACCACACCTGGCTAATTTTTTGATATTTTTGTAGAGACAAGGTCTTACTTTTGTTCGCAGATTGGAATGGTCTGCTGTTAATTTTAGTTTTGTTTTTTTCTCCCATGTCTTTTTTTCTTTGAGATGAAGTCTGACTCCATTGCCCAGGCTGGAGTGCAGTGGCGTGGTATCAGCTCACTGCAACCGCCACTCCACCTCCCGGGTTCATGGTGCCTGGGACCAAGATCGTGGCCCACAGTGATTCTCCTGCCCCAGCCTCCTGAGTAGCTGGGATTACCGGCGCCTGCCACCATGCCCTGCTAATTTTTGTATTTTTGGTAGAGACAAGGTTTTGCCATGTTGGCCAGGCTGATGTTGAACTCCTGGCCTCAAGCAGTCCTCCCACCTCAGCCTTCCAAAGTGCTGAGATTACAGGTATAAGCCACCACGTCCAGACTCTCCCATGTCTTAAAAACCAATTTAACTGGTTAAGTTTTGCTTCCATGAAAAAGACAAACCTGTAAAATTGATTTAATTTGCTTTCTTTTTTCTCATTTTTTTTTGTTTAGATTGTTTTCTAAATATTAAAGTCTTAGGTGTGCCAGGATTTTTTTTTTCATTAAAAAAAAAACAAACATAGAGACAAGGTCTCGCTCTGTCACCCAGGCTGGAGTGCAGTGGCCTGATCATAGCTCATTGTACCCTTGAACCCCTGGGCTCAAGGAATCCCCTCACTTTAGCCCCTCAAATAGCTGGGGCAACAGGTATGAGCCATTGAGTCCAGCTTAACTTTTTATCTGGAAATGATCTTAAACTTACAGAAAAATTGAAAGGACACCAGTACACCTACCGTCCTCTGTTCACAGACACACAATGTTTTTTTTCTGACCCATTTGAAGTTAGCTTACATACATCATGGCTGCTTACTTCAATGTGTAGGTCCTCAATATACTTTTTAACTTTTTATTATAAAAATTTTTAAACAGAAAAGTTAATAGTCGTGTGAACAACCATATTCCTTTTCTTTTTTTATTTTTAAGTTTGTAGCTATCTATCTATTTATTTATTTATTTTGAGACCGGGTTATAAGGCTGGCTAATTTTTGTATTTTTGGTAGAGATAGAGTTTCGCCATGTTGCCCAGGCTGGTCCCGAACTCCCGGACTCAAGCGATCCACCAGCCTCAGCCTCCCAAAGTGCTGGGATTACACCTGAGCCACTGCACCTGGCCAACAGCCATATTCCTGATTTTAAAATTGTGATTGTGTTTTGTAATTGGTTTATCTATGCACATACACATACACAAATAGATTTTGTTTTTGTTCTCCTAAACTATTTGGGTTTTTTGTTTGTTTGTTTTTATTTGAGACAGAGTCTCATTCTGTCACCCAGGCCGGAATACAGTGGCGTGATCTTGGCTCACTGCAACATCCACCTCCTGGGTTCAAGGGATTCTCCTGCCTCAGCCTCCTGAGTAGCTGGGATTACAGGTGCCTGCCACCACATCTGGTTAATTTTGTGTGTGTGTATTTTTAGTATAGATGGGGTTTCACCATATTGGGCAGGCTGGTCTGACCTCAAGTGATCTGGCCTCCCAAAGTGCTGGATTACAGGCATGAGCCACTGCGCCCAGACTTCCTAAACTATTTGAAATGGAGTTGCACACCCACAGACACCTTCGGCAAGTCCCAAGAAAAAGGACTTTTCTCTTCCAGCACCACAGTGCTATTGTCACACTTTAATTATCTTCCAGCCTCTAATTATTAGAGTTTAATCTTCCCTCCATATTCAAATGTCAAGGTAAAAGATTAGAAAGATTTTTGTCATCTAAGGAGCTTGGAGTTTATCCATTAGGGCTTGGGGAGGATTGTTTTTTATGGAGGCATCTGAGAGGATTAGAAAGAAACCCAGAGTAAGGCCAGGCACAGTGGCTCACGCCTGTAATCCTAGCACTTTGAGAGGCCAAGGTGGGCGGATTGCTTGCGTCCAGGAGTGCAGGACCAGTCTGGGCAACACAGCAAAACTCCATCTCTACAAAAAAAAAATACAAAAAATTAGCTGGGTGTGGTGGTACACACCTGTGGTCCCCAATACTTGGGAAGCTTAGGTAGGAGGATCCTTTGAGCCTAGAAGGCAGAGGTTGCAGTGAGCCGTGATGGCACCACTGCACTCCAGCCTTGGCTGCAGAGCAAGACCCTGTCTCAAAACACAACAAAACAGCCGGGTGCTGTGGCTCACGCCTGTAATCCCAGCACTTTGGGAGGCCAAGGTGGGTGGATCACGAGGTCAGGAGATTGAGACCATCCTGGCTAACACAGTGAAACACCGTCTCTACTAAAAATACAAAAAATTAGCCAGGCGTGGCGGCGGGTGCCTATAGTCCCAGCTACTCGGGAGGCTGAGGCAGGAGAATGGCGTAAACCCGGGAGGAGGAGCTTGCAGTGAGCTGAGATCGTGCCACTGCACTCCAGCCTGGGTGACAGAGCGAGACTGCCTCAAAAAAAAAAAGAAAAAAGAAACTAGGGGTAAGTTAGAGACTGGATTTGAGATTGTGAACTGGAGACTGGAGGCTGCAGACAAAAACCCACTTCACACTCTGCACCGCAGTTTTCTCATCTGTAAAGAGGAAATCCTAGACCAGGCGCAGTGGCTCACGCTGTAATCCCAGCACTTTAGGAGGCTAAGGCAGGTGGATCGCTTGAGGTCAGGAGTTCGAGACCAGCCTGGCCAACATGGTGAAACCCCGTCTCTACCAAAAATACAAAAACTAGCCAGGTGTGGTGGCACACGCCTGTAATCCCAGCTACTCAGGAGGCTTAGGCAGGAGAATCACTTGAAACTTGTAGGTGGAGGTTGCAGTGAGAATGATGTCATCATAGCTCGCTACCGCCTCCAACTCCTAGGCTCAAGGGATCCTCCTGAGTAGCTGAGACCACAGGCATGTGCCACCATGCCCATCTAATTTTTAAAATTTTTTTGTTGCGACAGAGTCTGGCTTTGTTGCCCAGGCTGGTCTCTGTGACACACCTTTTTATAACCACTAACATTACTCAAACTATTTATTTATTTCTTTTTGTTGAGACAAGGTCTTGCTCTGTTGTCCAGGCTGGAGTGCAGCGGTGCAATCACAGCTCACTGCAGCCTCGAACTCCTGAGCTCAAGCGATCCTCTCGCCTCAGCCTTCTAAGCAGCTAAGACCACAGGTCCCCACGCCTGGCTAATTTTTTAATTTTCTGTAGAGACAGGTCTCACCATCGTACCCAGGTGAGTCTAGAACTGCTGGGCTCAACTGATCCTCCTACCTCAGCCTCCCAAAGTGCTGGGATTACAGGTGTGAGCCACTCTGCCCAGCCTTTGAACAATTTATATCATCCCAGTTTGCACATGAGGAAACAAGAAGCTGGCCAGTGGTCGATCCAGTACTTGACTTTAGGCAAAACCCAAGCTCTTTAACTATTCACCAAACTGCTCCTAAAAATATTTAGCATAGTTCTTGGCTTGAGGTAAAAGTTCTATAAATGTCAGCTGGTGTAGCTTGGCCAAGTTATAGCTTGTTGAAAGCTAATTCCTGAACAAATATTTAGTAAGTACCTACAATGTTCCAGATGCTTCTAAGGGCTGGGATTGGAGCAGGAAATGTGATAGAGTCACAGGATAACTCTAGCGTGTGGTGGCAGGGGAAGGGTCCTAGGGAGAAAACAAGGCCCCAAGAAAAGGGATTGGTAAACTGGGCTGGGGGAGACAGGATTTTGCAATTTTAAACAGGACAGTCAAGAAAAGCTGCATGGAAAGGTGACCTTTGAGCAAAGTCTGCAAAGAAAACAGGGAGCCATGTGGCTACGAGAGGGAAATGGCAAAGGGTCCTGGGTCACACCTGTAATCGCAGCATTTTAGGAGGTCGAGATGGAAGGATCGCTTAAGCCCGGGAGTTCAAAACTAGCCTGGGCAACTTGGTAAGACCTCCATCGCTACAAAAAAAATGTTTTTTTCTTTTTCTTTTGAGACGGAGTCTTGCTCTGTCACCCAGGCTGGAGTGCAATGGCACGATCTCGGCTCACTGCAACCTCTGCCTCCCAGGTTCAAGGGATTCTCCTGCCTCAGCTTCCTGAGAATAGCTGGGATTACAGGCATGCACCACGACACCTGGCTAATTTTTGTGTTTTTTTTGTTTTGTTTTGTTTTGTTCTGCTTTGTTTTTGAGATGGAGTCTTGCTCTGTCTCCCAAGCTGGAGTGCCGTGGCGCGATCTCAGCTCACTGCAACCTCCGCCTCAAGGGTTCCAGCAATTCTCCAGCTTCAGCCTCCTGAGTAGCTAGGACTACAGGCATGCACCACCATGCCCAGCTAACTTTTGTATTTTTACTAGAGATGGGGTTTCACCATGTTGGCCAGGCTGGTCTCGAACTCCTAACCTCAGGCGATCTGGCCTCCTCAGTCTCCCAAAGTGCTGGGATTACAGGGGTTAGCCACCAGACCCGGCCTAAAAAAATTTTTTAAATTAGCCAGGCTTGGCCGGTATCATGCCATTGCACTGCAGCCTGGGTGGCAAGAGGGAAGGAAACTCTGTCTCAAAAAAAAAAAAAAATAGTGGGGTTTGGTGGCTCACCCCTGTGGTCCCAGCTCCTCAGGAGGCTAAGGCAGGAGGATCACTTCAGCCCAGAAAGTCAAGGCTGCAGTGAGCCGTGTTCACGCCACTGTCCTCCAGCCTGGACAACAGAATGAGACCCTGTCTCAGAGAAAATAAAAAAGAGAGGGAAATGCATCAGGGGCAGAGGAATCAGACATTGCCAAGGCTGGGAGGCAGAACCTGGCTGGAGCAGAGGCGTGTAAGAGAGAGTGGTAGGCAGAGTAGGCAAGGACGTCAGAGGGCTGATGGGGCCATATCAGGTGGGGCCTTGAGGGCTGGCCATGGGGACTTTGCTTCTACCCTGAGTGAGATGGAGCTATGGATGTGAACTGATAGGGGTGTTCACGGGCTCCTTGGGAGGAGGGAAGGAGGGGCTGAGAGACCAGGGAGTAGGCTGCTGGGCTGGTCCAGGCAAGAGGTAACAGTGGACAGGACCAGGCGGAGTGAGAAGAGGTCAGATTTGGAATTATTGTGATCAGCAGACAGCTCTTACCTGGGGTGTGAGGGAAAGAGGAGCCCCAGAGGACTCCCCTGTTTTTGCAACTGGAAAGCAATGGTCAGCCATGGCAGGGTTTTGTCCTGGCATCAAGACAAGCGAGCCCTTGGCTGGGCACAATGGCTCATGCCTGTAATTCCAGCACTTTGGGAGGTGGAGGAGGGTGGATCACCTGAGGTCAGGAGTTTGAGACCAGCCTGGCCAACATGGCAAAACCCTGTCTGTACTAAAAATACAAAAATTAGTCAGGCCTGGTGGTGTGCACCTGTAATCCCAGCTACTGGGGAGGCTGAGGCAGGAGAATTGCTTGAACCCGGGAGGCAGAGGTTGCAGTGAGCCGAGATTGCGCCACTGCACTCAGCCTGGGTGACAAAGCGACACTCTGTCTCAAAAAAAAAAAAAAAAAGACAAGAGAGCCCAGGCTGATCCTGCCCTGTGTTCCCTCCAGCTTTCCTGCTCTGGGACCCTACCAAGGTGCCCCCACGACTGCAGGCTGTGACTGATGACCACATCCGGATGCACAAGGTGCTGCGGGAATCAGGCCTGAAGTACGTGGCTGTGATGCCGCCACACATAGGTAAGCAGGGCAGGGACCTGGTGGCACCAATGCCATCTGCCTGTTCCCTCCTGCCCTCTGGGGAGATCTGCAAGGCCTTCCCTGACCACCCTAAAATTGCAAACCTTCCTATGATATTGTGACATATATATTTGGCCTTTGTCCCTGTTTCCTGGCATACAACTCCTAAAATCCTTGGAATCTCCAAAATGGTAAATGTCTTTTTCTATGCTAATGAGTTCACTGAGAGCTGGCAGCCCCTAGGCAGCTTCAGGTCTGGTCACCAGAAAGACTAAGGCTGGATTACAGGGTTGGGACTTTCACCTCTGGGGAGTGGTGAGGGATTGAAGGTTGAGGGGATTACCACTGGCTAATGGTTTAATCCATTATGTCTATGGATTCTGGGGCTTCAGCCTCCTGAGTAGCTGGGATTACAGGCCTGCATCACCATGCCCCGCCATGGCTTACATTTCTAGTATGGGAGATAGAGATTAGATAGATAGATAGATAGATAGATAGATAGATAGATAGATAGATAGATACATAGGCCAGGCATGGTGGTTCACACCTGTAATCTCATCACTTTGGGAAGCCAAGACGGGAGGATTTCTTCAGCCCAGGAGTTTGAGACCAGCCTGGGCAACATAGACTTATCTCTACAAAAAAAAAAAAAAATTAGCTGGGCGTCGTGGCACACACCTGTGGTCCCAGCTACTGGGAGGCGGGAGGATGGCTTGAGCCCAGGAGATCAAGGCTGCAATAAACTGTTGCCCAGGCTGCTGTACTCCAGCCTGGGTAATAGAGTGAGACCCTGTCTAAAAAAAAAAAGAAAAAGACAAGAAAAGATAGATATTAATGGCCGGGTGCGGTGGCTCA
Source organism: Homo sapiens (assembly GCF_000001405.40). Taxonomy (NCBI): domain Eukaryota; kingdom Metazoa; phylum Chordata; class Mammalia; order Primates; family Hominidae; genus Homo; species Homo sapiens. Next base: position 40,450,508 of record NC_000019.10, on the reverse strand, counting down.
CGCCTGTAATCCCAGCACTTTGAGAGGCCGAGGCGGGCAGATCACAAGGTCAGGAGATCGAGACCATCCTGGCTAACATGGTGAAACCCCATTCTCCTGCCCAGCCTCCCGAGTAGCTGGGACTACAGGCGCCCGCCACCACACCTGGCTAATTTTTTGTATTTTTTAATACAGACGGGGTTTCACAGTGTTAGCCAGGATGGTCTCAATCTCCTGACCTTGTGATCCGCCCGCCTCGGCCTCCCAAAGTGCTGGGATTACAGGCGTGAGCCACTGCGCCTGGCTTTTTTTTTTTTTTTTTTTTTTTTTTTGAGACAGAGTCTTGCTCTGCCGCCAGGCTGGAGTACAGTGGTGCGATCTTGGCTCACTGCAACCTTTTGCCTCCTGGGTTCAAGTGATTCTCCTGCCTCAGCCCCCCGAATAGCTGGGACTACAGGCGCGTGCCACCACGCCCAGCTAATTTTTGTATTTTTAGTAGAGACGGGGTTTCACCATATTGGCCAAGATGGTCTCGATCTCTTGACCTCGTGATCTGCCCACCTTGGCCTCCCAAAGTGCTGGGATTACAGGCGTGAGCCACCACGCCCAGCCAAGTGTGTGAAAACTTCCACACCTCCCGATTTGAAAGCATTAAAGGTTTATGAATACACATAAGCCCTTTGTTTAGGTTCAATGCTTAGCATTTTATCCTGTTGTCTCTCCCTCTCTCCTCCTCTCTCTCTCTCCATGAATATATAGTTAGATTTTGCTGAATATATTGTGAAAACATATATGCATATGTATATTTGGCTTAATCATTTGAGAGGAATTGCAACATTGTCGCACTTAACTCCTAAATACCTAGACAGCCATCTCCTAAAAGAAAGATATTTGCACACAAAACATGCTCACACCTAAGGAAAGTGACATTTACTCTGTCATATCATTTAGTATCCACTCCGTAGTAAAATTTCCCCAACTGTCAGGCCAGCGTGGTGGCTCACATCTGTAATCCCAGCACTTTGGGAGGCTGAGGCGGGTGGATCTCTTGAGGTCAGGAGTTCAAAACCAGCCTGGCCAACGTGGTGAGACCCCGTCTCTACTAAAAATACAAAAATTAGCCAGGTGTGGTGGCGGACACCTGTAATCCCAGATACTCGGGAGGCTGAGGCACAAGAATTGCTTGAACCTGGGAGGTGGAGGTTGCAGTGAGCCAAGATTGCACCACTGTACTCCAGCCTGGGTGACAGAGCAAGACTCTATCCAAAAAAGAAAAAAAAAAATTCAACCCACTCTGCCCTTTTTCTTTAAGTTTCTCATAACATTAACCAGGCCAGGTGACTTTAAAGGCCCACATTCTGGATTTTTCTAGCTGTTTTGTCACAGATTCAGATTAAACATGTTGGGCAGGAATGCCACATGGGTGAAGGTGTGTGTTCCTTTTTTTTTTTTGAGACAGGGTCTCCCTCTGTAGCCCAGGCTGGAGCGCAATGGCACAATCTTGGCTCACTGCAACCTCCGCCTTCTGGGCTCAAGTGATTCTCCTGCCCAAGTAGCTGGGACTACAGGCATAAGCCACCACACTCAGCGAATTTTTGCATTTTTTGTAGAGATGTGGTTTTGCCATGTTGGCTGGTCTCAAACTCCTGAGCTCAAGTGATCCTCCCACCTTGGCCTCCCGAAGTGCTGAGATTACAGGCGTGAGCCACTGTGCCCAGCCAGGGCAGGAGCTTCCTGTCTGCTTTGTCCCAAGCAAACACACAGCCAAGGGTGTGTGTTCCATACTGTGCATAATTCCAGCCTGTCTCTGTTTGGGTGATGGTACATTGTATCCCTAAGTTTAGTTGGTTACTGTCAGATAGACAGATATATATCTATCTGACAAATATATATATATATATATATATATATATATATATATTTGTTGTTGTTGTTGTTAGAGACAAGGTCTTGCTCTGTCGTCCCGGCTGGAGTGCAGTGTCACGATCATGGCTCACTGTAGCTTCAACTTCCCTGGCTCAAGCAATTCTCCAGCCTCAGCCTCCTGAGTAGTTGGGACTACAGGGGCATGCCACTGCACCCGGCTGATTTTTGTATTTTTAGTGGACTCAGGGTCTCCCTGTGTTGCCCAGGATAGTTTCAAACTCCTGGGCTTGAGTGATACTCCTGTCTCAGCCTCCCAAAGTGCCAGGATTACAGGCATGAGCCACCGCCACTGGCCAGGGCAGGGGATTCCTGTCTGCTTTGTCCCTTGCTTGGGTGCCCAGCACCTGGCCACACAATAGGTAATCAATAAGGATTTATCGAATGAATGAAGCAAAGGATATAGATGAGCACCTGCATATGGAAAGTCCATTCTTGGCTGTGACACCACCCAGGCTGGACACACAGTAGGCACCCTGGGAAGGTCTTTCTGGGGGTCGAATTTTGGGGGAAGGGAAAGGTGTCTGCTTTATCCAGCCCCTCTTGTCTTTACTTCATAGGAGACCAGCCACTAACTGGGGCGTACACAGTGACCCTGGATGGACGAGGGCCCTCAAGGGTCATCTCCAAACATGACCTGGGCCATTTCATGCTGCGCTGCCTCACCACCGATGAGTACGACGGACACAGCACCTACCCCTCCCACCAGTACCAGTAGCACTCTGTCCCCATCTGGGAGGGTGGCATTCTGGGACATGAGGAGCAAAGGAAGGGGGCAATAAATGTTGAGCCAAGAGCTTCAAATTACTCTAGAGAAACCGACTGTGTGACTCTTCCTCTCTCTGCCTCTGTCTGAGTATTTTGGTGTGTCTGCCTGCCTCTGTGTAAGATTTGCTTGTTATGCATTCATTCATTTGTTCAGTAACAGTTTATTTTTATTTTTTTATTTTTTTGAGACCGAGTCTTGCTCTGTCGCCCAGGCTGGAGTGCAGTGGCGCAATCTGGCTCACTGCAAGCTCCACCTCCCAGGTTCACACCATTCTCCTGCCTCAGCCTCCCCAGTAGCTGGGACTACAGGCGCCCACTACCACACCCAGCTAATTTTTTTGTATTTTTAGTAGAGACAGGGTTTCACCGTGTTAGCCAGGATGGTCTTGATCTCCTGACCTCATGATCCGCCTGCCTCGCCTCCCAAAGTGCTGGGATTACAGGCGTGAGCCACTGCGCCCCGCCCAGTAACAGTTTATTGAGTCTGGCCAGGCATGGTGGCTCATGCTTGGAATCCCAGCACATTGGGAGGCCGAGGCGGGTAGATCACTTGAGGTCAGGAGTTCAAGACCAGCCTGGCGAACATGGTGAAACCCTGTCTCTACTAAAAATACAAAAATTACCCAGGCGTGGTGATGCACACTTGTAATCCCAGCTACTTAGGAGGCTGAGGCAGGAGAATCGCTTGAACCTGGGAGGTGGAGGTTGCAGTGATCCGAGATTGTGCCACTGCACTCCAGCCTGGGTGACAGAGCGAGACTCCATCTCAATAATAATAATAATAATAACTTAGCTGGGCATGGTGGTGTGCACCTATAGTCCCAGATACTCAGGAAGCTGAGGTGGGAGGATGGCTTGAAGCCAGGAGTCCAGGTTGGGCAACATAGTGAGACCCCATCTCTACAAAATAATTTTTAAAAACTTAGCTGGGCATGGTGGTGTGTACCTGTAGTCCCAGATACTCAGGAGGCTGAGGCGGGAGAATGGCTTGAGGCCAGGAGGTCAAGGCCTGGCCACTGCACTCCAGCCTGTAGGACAGATCCAGACCCTGTCTCTGAAAATAAAAAAAAGTTTGTGCTTTATTTTGAGGATTTATGCAAGGAGTGGAGCACCAGAGAAGTAAGGCAGGGGGGACAGTTGGGTGTTTTATGAAGCTTCCTTTGGCTACTCTGTGAAGGTGGAAAGGAAGGGTCCAGGAATGGAGGCTGATAGCCCAGAGGGAGTTGGAGGAGGAACTGTAAGGAGGGGAGGAGAGAGTGGGTGTGAGGAATGCCTGGGAGCCTGCGTGGACAGTTGGTGAGGGGTGGAGGGGAGGCATCAGAAAGAAGCATACGGCTGTAACCCGGGGACAGAGTTACACTAGTGCTTCAGGAGGGAGGCTGAGGCTGCAGTGAGCCAAGGTGCGCCACTGCACTCCAGCATCCACGACGGAGTGGGACCCCGTCTCAAAAACAAAAACCCAAATGCAGTAGGGCTTTCCTGAGTTGTGGACCCTATAGGAGGCGCAGGTTTTGGAGGAGGAAGGGGAAGAATTGCTCCTTCCTAATTATGTCCTTTTTTGGAACCTACTGTCCCTTTCTTTTTTTCCCAGGGACACCTTCCCTAGGCCTGGGTGAGCTAAGACACTTCTCTCTCCCTACCTCCAACCCACACCACCCACCTACCTATTCCCCTCCCATTTATCCTGCAAACATCAGGATGACTTGGTTGACAAACTCCAACCGGCAAGAACTGGTCTGAGGAGGCTTAAACCTCCCTTCCCAGAGGTGGCCTGGAGAAAACTGCCTCCTCCCCTTAGGGAAACTCGTTGTAGGGGCGGAGCATTACGGGTGTGGGCTTTCAGGACACTAGCAGTGTCTTCTTTCTGCCTTATTTTTCTGTCACATTCCTGAGCATTTAGCAAACTTTCACTGGGACCTGCTACGTGTCCAGCCCTGTGCTAGGTGATCCTGCAGACCAAGAGGTGGTTGACAGAGATATCCTTGGTACCTGCCCTCGGCGGGGCGTTCCTCAGTCCATATAGTAACTGACAGTCCAGGACTGGGATGGCGGCACAGGAGGCCATGGAATCCTAGAATGGATCCTAACCCAACCTGGACTGCCAGGGAGGGCTTCGGAGAGGAGGAAACCTTTGAAATGTGTTCTGAGAAGCAGCCTGGGAATTGAGGGTATATTTTGAGGATGAGGAAACAAGTTTAAATATCCAGAGGCGAGAAGATTGCTTGAGGCCAGGAGTTCAAAACCAACCTGGGCAACACAAGAAAACCCCCCTCCCCCCTCCCCCATCTCTCTGTCACCCAGGCTGGAGTGCAGTGGCACGATCTCGCCTTCACTGCAACCTCAACCTCCCAGGTTCAAGCGATTCTCCTGCCTCAGCCTCCCAAGTGGCTGAGATTACAAGCGTGCGCCACCACGCCCAGCTAATTTTTGTATTTTTAGTAGAGACGGGGTTTCACCATTGTTGGCCAGGCTGGTCTCAAACTCCTGACCTCAAGTGATCTGCCCGCCTCCGCCTCCCAAAGTGCTGGGATTACAGGCGTGCGCCACTGCGCCCGGCAAAAAATAATATTAATAATAAAGATCCAGAGGCCTTTTATTGTCATGTTTGCGAACTTATTATGTACCTGGCATTGTTGTAGACACTGGGGTAAAGCAGGGAAGAAAACAAACAGAGAAAATCCTTTCGTTTTCCTGATGGGGTGAATGGGAGCTTGAAGCCATTTTAGAAAAACTGGAAGTGACTCAATGGGGCAGGATCGGAGAGAACCAGGAGAACGCATCAAGCAAGGTCGTGAGGGGCTTTGTGGCAAAAGGAAGGAGTTTGAAGTTTGTATTCGGGGTGGGTAGGAAGCCATGAACAGTAGCAGAGGAGTCATCTTGATGGAGCGGGGAAGGAAAGAGGGTGTCAGAAGACCCAGGTGGGACCACCAGAGGACGTGCTGAGAAAACCTGAGGATTAAGAAGGGGCCGCGCGGTAACGTATAGGGGGCGGGAGGGGCAGCAAGGGGGCGAGGCTACGATCGCCTAGGCAACGCGGGCCGCGCCACTCTATTGGCTGGTCTTCCGCTACGTCATCCCCCGCGCCCCAGCGTCCTCCCTCGGAACCCCGGGGGCGCGGCCTCCTCCGGTTGCTCGGCCCCGCCCGCCTGCACAGCGACTTGGGGAGGGGCATGCCAGCCCCTCTGGCTCCACGGTGGAGTCCAGGCCTACCATAAAGGAACCGCAGGGAGCAATGGTGACGATCTTGGAGCGAGGACTGTAGCTGAGTGGAAGGAAGCGGTTCTGTTGGACCGGCCGCCCTCCACCCCGGAGTCGCTGCCCCGCCCCCTGCCAGTTGCACTTCTTTAAATGGCCCGGGGCGCTAGGGAGGGGTGGGCGGATCCGGCGTCTCGGGGCACGGGCGGATGGCTCCGCCCAGCCAATCGACGCCCCGCGGCGGGCGGGACTCCAGCCAATCGCGGCTCGCGGCTCGGCTCCGGGGCGGGGCTGGTGGGCCAGAGGCCAGACGGAGAGGCCCCGCCGAGGTGAGCGAGGCTCCAACCGGTCACTGGTGGGTCCTGGCACTGGCGGGTCGCAACGCTGTGGGCGTTCCAGGAGGTGGTCGTGGCGAACCTGGCAGCTGCGGTGAGGAGTGGTCGCCTGGCTTGGGAATTTACCTTAGGCTGGGGGAGAGAGAAGCGCGCCCCGGGGACTTGCGGAGGCGGGGTCTGGGTGGGACCGGGGGAGGGGGCCTCAGATTCAGGGTGATGATAGGGAGGGTCTGGGGACCTGAGACTGAGTTCAAGACCCAGGAGGGGAGGCGAGGTTGTTGGGGCAGTATTTTCAAGTGGAGGGAGTTTGAAGCTGGGACGTTGGGCTTTTGGAGAAGCGAGAGAACAGAGGGGAGGAACTTTTGAGACAGGGAACCTGGAGATTCGATTCCACTTGGGTCTTCCGGACGGGTTGAATTCGGGGCTTTATCGTGTTCTGGAAAAGGTGTGAGAGGTACGGAGCTGAGATTCTGAGTATTTGGAGAAGCGAGAGAACTAGGGTCAAGGATTCTTGGGACTCCAAGACGCACTGGCGGGGGAAGGAGGTTGCCGGGAAGAGTTCAATGTTCGGGTCTTGGAGCCGGACAGCGAGTTTGGAGGTGAAGTCCAGGGGCGTTTGAAAGTCAGGAGACTAGGAGAAGTGGGAGGAAGTATCAGAATTAGGATACGTAGTCTCCCGAACTAGATCGGAGCATTGTCGTCTTTGAGCGATGTGTTCGGATCTGGGTCTCTGGATCCAAGGGCAGTTTGGAAGGAGAATCGCGGACTTTCAAGGAACAGAGGGACCGGGAGAAAGCAAATTTAGAGCCGGAGTCTGGGGTGGGGGAGGGGTGTTCCGGGCCTGGAGCTCAGACTCGCGGCCCCGGAGGCAATGGAGGGCGGGGCTCGGCAGGCGCCGGCAGCTGGACGTCCAGGTTCCCTTCCCCCACCCGCCTGTGCCCCTGTGCGCATGCCCTGAGGGAGAGCGGGGTGAGGGGGGTGGCTCGTCCCCTGGACGGGCGGAGCCCTCTGGGGATTGTAGTGCGTGCTCGACGTCAATTCGTGTACCTGGCGGCTGTTGGCCCCCGTTTCCCAGAAGCCCCTGGGCCAAATTGGGGCGTTCCTGGATGCTCTGTAAGGACCCATGGGGGGGCGGGGCCTTACAGTGTCGCGGTCTGATTGAGTGGGACCTCCGAGGGGGCGGGGCTTGGTCTGAGCTGAGTTCTAGCAAGTTTTCCTATGGGGCGCGCTTTGGGGGAATCTGAAAGCGTGGGCAGAGGGAATGAGACAGGCCCCTTTCCTACTCTTGGGAGCGCTCCCAGTCGGTTAAGGAAGAGGACATAGAAATATCCCGACTGTTGAAGAAGAATCTCAACATAGGTTCCCCAACAGGGCTCCAGGAGATTTCGAATATAGTAGGCACTCAGTAAATCTGTTGAGCGAATAACTGGCAATTAACTCTTGATCGAGGCCGGGTGTGGTGGTAATCCCAGCTACTCAGGAAGCTGAGGCGGGAGGATCGCTTGAGCCCAGGACTTCGAGACTGCAGTGAGCTGTGATAGCGCTGCTGCACTCAGCCCTGGGCGACAGAGCGAGACCCTGTCTCTAACAAAAAACAAACACAACTCTTGTTCATTAAGCACTTCCGGTGTGGTGGGCCCTATAGATACGTGGCATCTCCTTGACAGAGGTGGTGAGAAGTATTTTTTTACAGTCCCTATTTTACAGATGAGGAAACTGAGGCCCTGAGAATTGACTCATTCAGATCACTTCCCATGATCACGCAGCTGAGCAGTTTCCAATACAGAATTCAGATTTGGGGTTCCCTACTTCCAATCCAGGTCTCTGTGCTCCACACTTGTCTTTCGTGCTCCATGTTTGAAGAAATTAATATTGTGGAAGAACAGTTTTAAGGCTTAGAGGAACTTGAGTTAGGATCCGTACTTGGCAGATGAGGAAATTGATTCTCATGGATGTAAATTCACTGTTTGAGGCCACAACAGGCAAGTAAGTGAGATTTAAATCTAGCTGTACGTAACGCCAGATCTTATTTTCTTAATCGTATATGTACTCACCTTCTTAAACTTGTAGGATTCAGACAGCCTTCATTTTATACATCAGTAAACTGAGATTCCGATGATTAAAAATCACTAACAACTCAATAGGCCTGAGAAAGTGGGATATGAGCCAGCACTACGGTGTCTGGTGTCTGACCTTCCCCTATGCGCCTCTTCTCTCTACAGGGCATCATGGTGGGAGGCTTGAAGAGGAAACACTCTGATTTGGAAGAGGAGGAGGAGAGGTGGGAGTGGAGTCCAGCAGGCCTTCAGAGCTACCAGCAAGCCCTGCTCCGCATCTCCCTAGACAAAGTCCAGCGCAGCCTGGGCCCCCGAGCACCCAGCCTCCGCAGGCATGTCCTCATCCATAACACCCTCCAACAGCTGCAGGCTGCACTTCGCCTGGCTCCCGCCCCTGCCCTGCCCCCCGAGCCCCTCTTCCTGGGCGAGGAGGATTTCTCCCTGTCAGCCACCATTGGCTCTATCCTCAGGGAGCTGGACACCTCCATGGATGGGACTGAGCCCCCTCAGAATCCAGTGACTCCCCTTGGCCTCCAGAATGAAGTGCCACCCCAGCCTGATCCAGTCTTCTTAGAAGCTCTGAGCTCCCGGTACTTGGGGGACTCTGGCCTGGATGACTTCTTTCTGGACATTGACACATCTGCGGTAGAAAAGGAGCCTGCACGGGCCCCACCAGAGCCTCCTCACAACCTCTTCTGTGCCCCAGGTTCTTGGGAGTGGAATGAACTGGATCACATCATGGAAATCATTCTGGGGTCCTAAAACTGTGATAGAGGGGATCGATCCTTCCTCATGTCATCTTCGGTGGCCTGGATCCCTGAATGCAACTCTGGGTGTGTGTTTTTGTGGGGGCTCGAAGCAGTGACTATGGCCTCCTTTGTTCCCATTTCAGGGTTCCACAAACTGTCTTGCATGTGTGTGTGTGTCTGGTTACCCCGACCTTCTGTGAAGGTGGGTCTTCCTGAATTAATTTATCTATTCCAAATGCCTTAACGAGACTCTGTTTCTGGGAGTCTGATTTTCCACTTACACATTTCTTCCACCTTTCCTGCTAGTTCCCACTCCCCTGTGACCACTGGGGCCTCAGGGAAGATAAAGAAAGCTGGGCCTGTCGAAGGATGACAGGGATGTGCTGCCAGGTTGCTATAGAAACCCAGGCTCTGCCTCTTGCACCTTGAGGGGGTGGGAGGGGCTGGTGTCCTCCCTCCAGGCTGAACCCCACTTCCTCGGCAGGACCCCAGTCTCAGCAGCCTCCTGATTTCATAACCAGGCCGGACCACGTGCAATAGGGTGGAAACCAAACTGCTCCATGCCGGGTTATTTAAAAGAAAGGCAGAGTTTGTGGTGGCTTTTTTTTTTTTTTTTGGATTGTTTGTAATTTTTTTAAATAAAAGTATTTTGGAAGGAGGGATGTTGTCTAATGTTTCTAAACTTCACTGGGTCAGTGGGAGGGACCTGGTAAGTTCCTAAACATCAGCACCACTTCCGTGCCATAGCTGGGGTAGGTGTATCATTGTACATGACATTTATTGAGTGCTTGTTGGCTGAGTGCTCTAGCTCCCACTTGGAATCCTAGCACTTTGGGAGGATCTGCTTGAGGCCAGCCTGGGAAATGTGGCGAAACACTGCCTCTACAAAAAATACAAAAAGGAGCTAGGCATGGCGGCCTGTAGTCCCAGTTACTGGGGAGGCTGAGTTGGGAGGATCACCTGAGCCTGGGAGGTTGAGGCTGCAGTAAGCCATGGTCACACCACTGCACTCCAGCCTCAGAAAAAAATTAGTGCTTGTTAAGAGCACTGTTCTAGCCACTTTATTTGAATTAAGTCTGTTAATCCTCATATAGAAGTAAGTACTGTTACCACTTTTTATACAGGAGGAACCAGAAGTTTAGAGAGGACAAGTCACTTAATTCAGAGCCACACAGCTAGGAAGAACAAGGACCAGGGAGCTAGGCTGAAATGGCCTCCAGAGCCTTGTCCTTCACTATTATAAATGTTGCTTCTTAGACTAACCAGCCACGTGGGTGGGCACAGGAGGGAGAAACTGAGTCACACGGAGTATGTGTCACTGAATGTGCTGCTGAGCCCAGAGGGGCAAGAAAATGCCCAAAGACCCCCAGTACTAAAAGACCTCTTTAGGAGAGTTGGCTAGGAAGCAGAGCCCAGATTAGATTTATAGTGCTAATGCTTTTTTTTTTTTTTTTTTTTTGAGACGGAGTCTCACTCTGTCACCCAGGCTGGAGTGCAATGACAGGATTTTGGCTCACTGCAACCTCCACTCCCGGGTTCAGGCAATTCTCCTGCCTCAGCCTCCCGAATAGCAGTGACTACAGGTGCTTGCCACCACGCCCAGCTAATTTTTGTATTTTTTTTAAAATAGAGACAGTTTCACCATGTTGGCCAGGCTTGTCTCCAACTCCTAACCTCAAGTGACCCGCCTGCCTCAGCCTCCCAAAGTGCTGGGATTACAGGCATGAGCCACTGTGCCTGACCTGTGCTGATGCTTTATTTCGGAGGTACGAGCCCAGGCTGCTGAGATACAGGAGAGGAGAAGGAGGTGAAGGAAGTGAAGGAAGAGGTAATGTGATACCTGTACAGGCTATGCCTTTACAATGGTCTTTGAAGAGATGAAGCAAGTGAGCTACACAGCATTAGGGACTTTTCTGGAAGGGCTGCGAGGAGGAACAACACCTGAGTATAGTCCATGGGTGGAGAAAGGATGGGGATTTTGCTTGTGGTTTCTGGGTCAAAGCCAGATTTCTCAACCTGAAGGGGTCATTGTCAGAAAGTGGAGGGATAACCTGAAGAGGTGGGTGCCAATCCAGAGAGAGGAATGAGGTGGCCCAGAGGATCTAAAGAAAGCAACCAGGTACAGGCCAGGCGCGGTGGCTCAGGCCTGTAATTCCAGTACTTAGGGAGGCCAAGGCGGGAGGATTGCCTGAAGTGAGGAGTTTGAGACCAGCCTGGCCAACATGGCGAAGCCCTGTCTCTACTAAAAATACAAAAAATTAGCTGGGCATGGTGGCAAACACCTGTGGTCCCAGCTACTCAGGAGGCTGAGGCAGGAGAATCACTTGAATCCAGGAGGCACAGGTTGCAGTGAGCTGAGATCATACCACTGCACTCCAGCCTGAGTGACAGAGCGAGATTCCATCTCAAAAAAAAAAAAAAAAAAGCAACCAGGTGTGATACTTGCTGTGGAATTGTAAAAAATAAAAATAAAAGGTAAGCAACCAGGTCTGCATCCCAATATGATGGCAATTGAATCATGTCTTCCTCCTTGAAACCTTCAGTGCCTTTTTTTTTTTTTTTTTCTTTTGAGACAGGGTCTCTGGCTCTGTCGCCCAGGCTGGAGTGCAGTGGTACAATCACAGCTTACTGCAACCTCCACCTCATGGACTCAAGCAATTCTCCCACCTCAGCCTCAGCCTCCCAAGTAGCTGGGACTACAGGCACGTGGACCACACCTGACTAATTTTTGTATTTTTTGTAGAGATGGGGTTGTGCCATGTAGCCCAGGCTGGTCTTGAACTCCTGGAATCAAGCGATCCTCACATCTCAGCCTCCCAAAGTGCTGGGATTACAGGCATGAGCCACCACGCCCAGCCTCCAGTGACTTCTTGACACACTCAATAAAGCGCCAGCTCCACCAAGACCTGCAAGGACTGACTTATTCTCACTTCGGACAACTTTCTCAGTTCCATCTCCCACTCTCTCCATCACTCAACTGGGCTCCCTTGACCCCAGCTCCTTCTCACCCCAGGGCCTTTGCCCTAACTGTTAAATTTTCCCAGTGGACATTTTCCCCAATAGCTTCACCAATCCCAATATCCCCTTCTCAGGGAGGTCTTCCTTGCCCTTCCTAGCTCAACACATCCAGGTGGGTCACCACCCCACCACAACTTGTTTGATTTTCTTTCTTTCTTTTTTTTTGAGATGGAGTCTTGCTCTGTCTCCTAGAATGGAGTGTAGTGGCATGATCTTGGCTCACTGCAGCCTCTACCTCCCAGTTCCAGCAATTCTTCTACCTTAGCCTTCCGAGTAGCTGGGATTACAGGCACATGCCACCACACCTGGCTAATTTTTTTTTTTTTTTTTTGACACGGAGTTTTACTCTTGTTGCCCAGGCTGGAGTGCAATGACGCGATCTTGGCTCACCACAACCTCCGCCTCCTGGGTTCAAGTGATTCTCCTGCCTCAGCCTCTCGAACAGCTGGGATTACAGGCATGCGCCACCACACCCAGCTGATTTTGTATTTTCAGTAGAGACAACGTTTCTCCATATTGGTCAGGCTGGTCTTGAACTCCTGACCTCAGGTGATCCGCCCGCCTCGGCCTCCCAAAGTGCTGGGATTACAGGCATGAGCCACTGCACCTGGACTGATTTTGTTTTAGTAGCATCTACCCAATCTCGAGTTACTTATTTCCCATCTATAGGTAGCCTCCTACTCTCCTGGGAACTCTGAGGGTTGTGTTGGTCTGTGCCTAGAACTATGCTTGGCACAACTGCACTCTCCAAAATTATTTGTTGTTGAAGGGTCAGGCACGGTAGCTCACGCCTATAATCCCAGCACTTTGGGAGGCCAAGGCGGTCGGATCACCTGAGGCTAGGAGTTCGAAACCAGCCTGACCACCATGGAAAAACCCTGTCTCTACTAAAAATACAAAATTAGCCAGGCGTAGTGGCACATGGCTATAATCCCAGCTACTCAGGAGGCTGAGGCAGGAGAATCACTTGAACCCAGGAGGCGGAGGTTGTGGTGAGCTGAGATCGTGCCATTGCACTCCAGCCTGGGCAACAAGAGCGAAACTCCATCTCAAAAAAAAAAAAAATTATTTGTTGTTGAAAAACTTGGCCAGGTGCAGTGGTTCACGCCTGTAATCCCAGCATTTTGGGAGGCTGAGGCAGGAAGATCGCTTGTGTCCAGTTCAAGACCAGCCTGGGCAACACAGGGAGACCCCATCTCTACAAAAAACTAAAATAAAATTAGCTGGGCTGATGGCATGCCCTTGTAGTCCCACCTACTCAGGAGGCTGAGGTGGGAGGATCGCTCGAGCTCAGGAAATGGAGGCTGTGAGCAGAGATAACACCACTGCACTCCAGCACTCCATCTGGAACAGAGCAACAGAGGGAGGTCCTGTCTCAAAAAAAAAAAAAAAAAAAAAAAAAGGCCGGGTGCGGTGGCTCACACCTGTAATTCCAGCACTTTGGGAGGCCGAGGCGGGCAGATCACGAGGTCAGGAGATTGAGACCATCCTGGCTAACACGGTGAAACCCCGTCTCTACTAAAAATACAAAAAAATTAGCCGGGCGAGGTGGCGGGCACCTGTAGTCCCAGCTACTCGGGAGGCTGAGGCAGGAGAATGGCGTGAACCTGGGAGGCGGAGCTTGCAGTGAGCCGAGATTGCACCACTGCACTCCAGCCTGGGTGACAGAGCAAGACTCCGTCTCAAAAAAAAAAAAAAAAAAATGAACTCCAGACCTAGCAATGACTAACTTTCCCTCCCACCTTTCTGAACTCATCTCCCCTACACACCCTCACTCTTATACTCCCACCACACCATTCCCTGCTGTTCCTCATATACACCATATTCCAAACTGAAGGATCTGGAGTAATACCTGCCTCACACTGCAAAGTGTCAGGGAGCCTGAGGCAGGCCAAGGATTCCAATAATGGCTCAGATTTATTGAGTGCCTGCTGTGGACCTGGCACTCTTCAGCAGGAAAATAAATAAAATAGACAATTCCTGCTCTCATGAAATTTAACAGTGGGGGAAGAGTGAAATACACATGAAAAATAATGCCAGGCATGGCAGCACGTGACTATGAGCCCAGTAACTCAGGAGGCTGAGGCAGGAGGATTATTGGAGGCCAAGAATTCAAGACCACTTTGGGCAACATAGCAAGACCACATCTCTAAAACAATTTTAAAAAAAAATTAGCTGGGCACGCTAGTCCCAGCTATTCAGAAGACTCGGGTGGGAGGATCCCTTCTTCAGCCCAGGAGTTGGAGGTTACAGTGAGCTGTGATCACAGCACTGCACTCCAGCCTAAGCGACAGAGTGAGACTCCCACTCCAAATAGATAGATAGATAGATAGATAGATAGATAGATAGATAGATAGTTAGTTAGATAGGGCCGGGCGCTGTGGCTCACACCTGCAATCCCAGCACTTTGGGAGGCCAAGGCGAGTGGACCACCTGAGGTCAGGAGTTCAAGAGCAGACTGGCCAACACAGTGAAACCCCCTCTCTACCAAAAATACAAAAAAATTAGCTGGGCATGGTGGCCGGCGCCTGTAATCCCAGCTACTCCAGAGGCTGAGGCAGGAGAATCGCTTGAACCTGAGAGGTGAAGGTTGCAGTGAACTGAGATCAGGCCACTGCACTCCAGCCTGGGCAACCAGAGTAAAATTATGTCTCAAAAATAATTAAGTAAATAAAAAGAAAAATAAGGCCGGGTGTGGGGGCTCACGCCTGTAATCCCAACACTTTGGGAGGCCAAGGTGGGTGGATAATTTGAGGTCAGGAGTTCGAGACCAGCCTGGCCAACATGGTAAAACCCCATCTCTACTAAAAATACAAAAATTAGCTGGGTATTGTGATGCACACTTGTAGTCCCAGCTACTCAGGAGGCTGAGGCAGGAGAATCACTTGAACCCGGGAGGCGGAGGTTGCAGTGAGCCGAGATCACACCACTGCACTCCAGCCTGGGTGACAGAGCAAGACTCTGTCTCAAAAAAAAAAAAAAAAAAAGAAGTGAAAATGTGTAAGTCAGCCAGGTGGTGATAAATGCTGTGGGGGCAGGGGGGAGCAGAGGAGTGAGGAGGGTGTTGCAATTTACATAGGATGGCCAGATAGGGCGTCTGAGACAAGGTGACATTTGGGTAAAAACCTGAAGAAGGGCCAGGCACGTTGGCTCACCCCTGTAATCCCAGCACTTTGGGAGGCCAAGGCAGTCAGATTGCTTGAGCCCAGGAGCTTGAGACCAGCCTGGGGTAACATGGCAAGGCCCTGAGGTCCTGTCTCTACTCAAAAAAAAAACCAAAAAAACAAAAAAAACAAAAAAACTGGGTGTGGTGGTGCTCACCTGTAGTCCCAGCTACTAGTGAGGCTGAGGTAGAAGGATCGCTTGAGCCCATAATGGGCAGAGGTTGCAGTGAGAGGAAATCCCACTGCTGCACTCCAGCCTGGGCTACAGAGCAAGACCCTGTTTCAAAAACAAAAACAGGTAGGGCGCCCTGGCTCACTCCTACAATCCCAGCACTTTGGGAGGCTGAGGCAGGCGGATTACTTGAGGTCAGGAATTCAATACCAGCCTCGCCAACATAGTGAAACCCCATTTCTACTAAAAATACAAAAATTATCTGGGCAAGGTGGCAGCTGCCTGTAATCCCAGCTACTCCGGAGGCTGAGGCAGGATAATTGCTTGAACCGGAGAGGTGGAGATTGCAGTGAGCTGAGATGGGGCCACTGCACTCCAGCCTGGGCGACAAGAGCGAAACTCCGTCTCAAAAACAAACAGGCCAGGCGCGGTGGATCATGCCTGTAATCCCAGCACTTTGGGAGGCCGAGGCAGGCGGATCACGAGGTTAGGAGTTCGAGACCAGCCTGGCCAACATGGTGAAACCCCGTCTCTACTGAAAATTAGCCGGGTGTGGTGGCGGGCGCCTGTAATCCCAGCTACTCGGGAGGCTGAGGCAGGAGAATTGCTTGAACCCGGGAGGCGAAGGTTGCAGTGAGCCGAGATGGCGCCACTGCACTCCAGCCTGGGCGACAGAGCAAGACTTCGTCTGGAAACAAACAAACAAACTTTTTGTTTAAAAAGTGAGCCACCGTGCCCCGCCCTCCCCCTTTCCCTGCAGCTCTCTGCCTGCCCTGAAGATAACCCTGGGAAGGGGAATCGCACAGTTCCTTAGCACCGCGATGAGGCCAGTAAGAGGAGCACCCTCTTTCCAGATGAAAAAACTGAGGCTCCGAGAGGCCCAGCGCCTTCCTTAACACCGCACTTGTTAAAAAGAACTGGCCACAGAAGTGGAAAGGCTGGCCCTGCAGAAGGAACCGAGTCCCCGAGGGCAGTGTCCACGTTCCCCAACCTGCCCTCCTCCGCGGCGGGGGATGGGCCCGCGGCCCGCCCTGGGCGTGGCGGGAAGGCCCAGTCCCTCCCCGCTGCCCACCCTCCGCCCTGGGCCGGCCGGGGTACCCGGGAGGCGGCCGCGGCCGGGAGCCGGCCTGGCGCCTCCTCCCTCCCCAGAGGCCGGACGGGGCGGGCCGCGCCTCCCGACCCCCCTCCCTGCCTCCCTCCCCAGCAGGCGGAGGCTTCTCTCCAGGCCTGCCGGGCCCGGTGGCTTCGCCGATGGTTTCATTTCCCCAGGCCCGGCCTCTCCTCTTCTCCCTTCCCCCAGCCTTTGAATTCCTGGCTCCGTCTCCATTTTCTGGCCCCAGCTCCAATGTCAACGCCTCGAAGAATCTCTCTCTAGGACCACCCTGGTTACAGGCGATTATCCCGTCTTATTTTGTTTTCTTCAAGTCACTGAACGGAAACGGAAATTATTTTTCTCATCGATTCATCTTCCAGGGTCTTCTCATCCCGCTCGGAGTAAAAAACAAAGGTCCACAGAGTAGGCTAAAAGGCCTCACTTCTCGGACCTCCTTCCCGGCAGCTCCCAGTCCAGCTGCCCTGGCCTTGTCTCCTGACAGGCAGCACTTCAGAGCCTTTGCACTGGCTCTCGCCTCTGCCTGGAATGCTCTTCCTCTAGTTTTCCTACCTCTCTCATTTGTTTTGGTTTGTTTGTTTTTTGAGACAGAGTCGTTCTCTGTCGCCCAGGCTGGAGTACAGTGGGGCGATCATAGCTCACTGCAGCTTCAAACTCCAGGTTCAAGTGATTCTCCTACCTCAGCCTTCCAAGTACCTGGAACTACAGGCACGCCCGGCTAATTTTTTTGTTTGTTTTTGTTTTTGTTTTTTGAGATGGCAGTGGCACCGTCTCGGCTCACCGCAACCTCCGTCTCCCGGGTTCAAGCAATTCTCCTGTCTCAGCCTCCCGAGTAGCTGGGACTACAGGCGCCTGCCATCACGCCGGGCTACTTTCAAAACAAAACAAAACAAAAAAACCACACAAATTATCTAGTACCTTAGGAGCAGGTAATTGCAAAGGAAAAGAAAAAAGCAGACCGGGTGCAGTGGCTCATGCCTGTGATCCCAACACTTTGAGAGGCCCAGGCGGGTGGATCACTTGAGGTCAGGAGTTCGAGACTAGTCTGGCCAACATGATGAAACCCTCGTCTCTATTAAAAAAAAAAAAAATTAGCCGGGCATGGTGGCAGGCGCCTGTAATCCCAGCTACTCGGGAGGCTGAGGTAGGAGAATTGCTTGAATTCAGGAGATTGGAGGTTGCAGTGAGCTGAGAGATGTGCAGCTTTGGGGAGGAGGATGTGTTATGTCTGAAGAGGTGACAATTCAGCAGAGACCTGATGAAACAAAAGAAGTAGACCCGGCGGCCAGGTGGCTCACTCCTGTAATCCCAGCACTTTGGGAATCGGAGGCATGAGGATCACTCGAGCCCAGGAGTTCAAGACCAGCTTGGGCAACATGGGGATACTCTGCTTCTACAAATAAAAAATTAAAAAAAAACTGGCCAGACGTGGTGGCTCATGCCTGTAATCCCAGCACTTTGGGAGGCCGAGGCGGGCGGATCACCTGAGGTCAGGAGTTCGAGACCAGCCTGATCAACATGGCGAAACCCCATCTCTACTAAAAATGCAAATTAAATTGATTTAATTTGCTGTCTTTTTTTCAATTTTTGTTGTTGTTGTTGTTTAGATTGTTTTCTTTTCTTTTTTCGGACAGAGTCTTGCTCTGTCACCCAGGCTGGAGCGCAGTGGCACGATCTCGGCTCACTGCAATCTCTGCCTCCCGGGTTCAAACAATTCTCTTGCCTCAACCTCCCAAGTAGCTGGGAGTACAGGTACTTGCCACCACACCCGGCTAACTTTTGTATCTTTAGTAGAGATGGGGTTTCACCATGTTGGTCAGGCTGGTCTCGAACTTCTGACCTCAAGTGATCGGCCTGCCTCGACCTCCCAAAGTGCTGGGATTACAGGCGTGAGCCACGGCGCCCGGCCAAGGTAATTTGTTTATTGTTCATCTGCTCCCATAAGAGATTTTCATCTATAATTTCACTGCCCTTTCTTCAGTGCCTATAACAGTGTCTGGCACACAAAAGGGGCTCAAGACATAAATGTTTGCAAATCAATGAATGCATTCGTTTTCATATATATTTTCTCTCTTCACCTCCTACCCTGTTCCATGAGAGGGGAGACTCTGTGAAATTTACCCAGTGCTGTATCCTCACCATCTACAACAGTGGCCACCACATAGTAGGTGCTTAATAAATATATATTAATCAGATGATTCCTCTGAGCTCTTGTTCTTGTTTTTTGTTTTTTGTTTTTTGTTTTTTTTTTTTTTACAGAGTCTTGCTCTGTCGCCCAGGATGGAGTACAGCGCAGCAGCAGCCTGATCCTGGCTCACTGCAACCTCTGTCTCCCAGGTTCAAGCGATCCTCCCACCTCAGCCTCTGAAGCAGCTGAAACTACAAGCATGAAGGAAAATTTCCTTTTCCTTCAGTGTATGACCTGGAGTAAGCCACTGGGAGACTCCAGGTCCAGGCGTCCCTTTTGCCAGCCATAAAAATGGATTCTGGAGGGCAGAAAATGTGAATTTGCCTAGTGGGGGCCTGGTTCTAATTAGCATCTTACCTTAATTTTATTATTAAAAATTCAAGCACATAGAAAAGATGGGGAAAAAAAGTATTCTGAGCATCTGAATACTATCTCACCTAGATTTATTTGATAGTTGTTGGACAGGGAACAACTATAATCCCAGTACTTTGTGAGGCCAAGGCAAGAGGGTCACTTGAGTCCAGGAGTTCAAGATCAGCCTGGGCAACATGGTAAGATCTCATCACTACAAAAAAATTTAAGAGCCAGGCGTGGACCGGGCATGGTGGCTTATGCCTGTAATCCCAGCACTTTGGGAGGCCGAGGCAGGCGGATCACCTGAGGTCAGAAGTTCAAGACCAGCCTGACCAACAGGGAGAAACCCCGTCTCTACTAAAAATACAAAATTGGTCAGGCGTGGTGGTGCATGCCTGTAATCGCAGCTACTCGGGAGGCTGAGGCAGGACAATTTCTTGAACCCAGGAGACAGAGGCTGTGGTGAGCCAAAACTGTGCCATTGCACTCCAGCCTGGGCAACAAGAGCGAAACTCCGTCTCAAAAAAAAAAAAAAAAATACTCGTCCCATAAACTGGCAATGAGACTTAACCTTCTTCAAGTAGCTCATTTGTTAATTCCTGAGCTGTGGGAAGAGCTTTTAGTTTTGAATAAAGCTCCTGGCCAAAGTAAGTTCTCAAAAATGCTAACTATGGTAGTTAATTCAGGCAGCAATTGTCAATGAATGCTCAAACAGTTGGGTGAAAAGTTAGTGGAAAACAGGATCTTTTGGGGTCTCACTCTTTCACCCAGGCTGGCGTGCACTAGTGCAATCATGGCTCACTGCAGCCTCAAACTCCTGGGCTCAAGTGATCCACCTCAACCTCCCAAGAAGCTGGGACTGCAGGTGCATGCCACCATGCTAGGATAAGTTTTTAAAAACAGTATTCTGTAGATAGTGCCACTGCACTCTAGCCTGGCGACAGAGCGAGACTCCGTCTCAAAAACAAACAAAACATAAACAAAAACCAGTATTTTGTGGAGATTGGGTCTTGCTGTGTTGCCCAGGCTAGTCTCAAACTCCTGGGCTCTGGCCAGGCACAGTGGCTCATGCCTGTAATCCCAGCACTTTGGGAGGGCGAGGTGGGTGGAGTTCGATACCAGCCTGACCAACATGTTGAAACCCCGTCTCTACTGAAAATACAAAAATTAGCCAGGCATGGTGGTGCACGCCTATAATCCCAGCTACCCAGGAGGCTGAGGCAGGAGAATAGTTCAACGCGGGAGGCGGAGGTTGCAGTGAGCTGAGATTGTGCTACTGCACTCCAGCCTGGGTGACAGAGACTCCATCCCCCCCCCCAAAAAAAAAAAGCCAGATGTGGTGGCTCACGCCTGTAATCCCAGCACTTTGGGAGGCCAAGGTGGCTCATGCCTGTAATCCCAGCACTTTGGGAGGCCAAAGTGGGCAGATCACCTGAGGTCAGGAGTTTGAGGCCAGCCTGGCTAACATGGTGAAACCCTGTCTCTACTAAACATACAAAAATTAGCCAGGCATAGTGGCATGCACCTGTATCCTAGCTACTCAGGAGGCTGAGGCAGGAGAATCCTTGAACCCGGGAGGCGGAAGTTGAAGTGAGCCAAGACCACGCCATTACACACCAGCCTGGGCGACAGAGCAAGACTCCATCTCAAAAAAAAAAAAAAAAAAAAAAAAAACTGGCCAAGTGCGGTGGCTCACGCCTGTAATCCCAGCACTTTGGGAGGCAAAGGCGGGCGGATCACGAGGTCAGGAGATTGAGACCATCCTGGCTAACATGGTGAAACCCCGTCTCTACTAAAAATACAAAAAAAAAAAAAAGGAAAAAAAATTAGCCGGGCGAGGTGGCGGGCACCTGTAGTCCCAGCTATTCAGGAGGCTGAGGCAGGAGAATGGCATGAACCCAGGAGGCGGAGCTTGCAGTGAGCCGAGATCGTGCCACTGCACTCCAGCCTGGGCGACAAAGTGAGACTCCGTCTCAAAAAAAAAAAAAAAAAAATCACAAAACCTCCTGGGCTTAAGTTCCCGCCTTGGCCTCCCAAAGTGCCAGCATTACAGGCATGAGCCACCACATACATCTTGGAGATAGGATCTTCACAGGCTCTAAAGCATCATCCCAAAGGTTATTTGCTAACTAGAAAGGATAAATTTATTTTACGATGTAACCCTCACAATCTTAATCACGTGATGAAACTCTGCATTACCAATGGTGGGACATCCTGACACTGGTGCCAACTACTATAATGCGTTAGGATTAGGAAGTACATTAATAAGGATTAGGACACACCCTGTGGAGTCTCCCTGTTCACTGCATAAGCAGAATCTCACCAGGCCCCTAGACCCAACCTCCAGCTTATTGGAAAAAGAGAGGAACAAATTAAACACAGTCAGACAAATCCAGAATGTGGGACACTATGCAGCATGACTAGTCTGTTTTGCCAGAAATTCAATGTCAACAAAACATCAAAAAGGATTTGAGGCTGAGTGTGGTGGCTCATGCCTGTAATCCCAGCACTTTGGGAGGCCAAAGCGGGTGGATCACCTGAGGTCAGGAGTTTGAGACCAGCCTGGCCAACATGGCGAAACCCTGTCTCTACTAAAAACACAAGAAAATTAGCCAGGCGTGGTGGCGCACGCCAATAATCCCAGCTACTCGGGAGGCTGAGGCAGGAGAATCACTTTAACCCGGAAATGGAGGTTGCAGTGAGCCAAGATCATGCCACTGCACTCCAGCCTGGGCGACAGAGCAAGACTCTGTCTCAAAAAAAAAAAAAAAAAAAAAAGGGATTTGGGTGGGGGAATATTCGAGAATAAAATATAGTATGTAATTTCTTCATTACAACCAAATTAGCATGTGAACCTTCATTGGATCCTGATTTTGGAGAAAAGAAAGCAACTATAAAGGATATTCTTGGGTCAGTTGGAGAGATTTGATTAGGTGATATTGTGGAATTCTTGATTCTATTAGATGTGAAATAGTATTTTTGTGGCTTGTACATGAATGTCCTTATTCTTTTTTTTTTTTAGGTGGAGTTTGCTCTTGTTGCCCAGGCTGGAGTGCAATGACGCAATCTCAGCTCACTGCAACCTCCACCTCCTGGGTTCAAGCAATTCTCCTGTCTCAGCCTCCTGAGTAGCTGGGATTACAGGCACATGCCACCATGCCCGGCTAATTTTTGTATTATTAGTAGAGACGGGGTTTCATCATATTGGTTAGCCTGGTCTCGAACTCCTGACCTCCGGTGATCCACTCGCCTTAGCCTCCCAAAGTGCTGGGATTACAGGTGTGAGCCAACGCACAGGGCCTAATGTCCTTATTCTTAAGAGATGCCTCCTGAGCTGTTAAGGGTAGAATATCAAGATGCTTGCAATTACTCTCCAAAGGTTTAGCAAAAGAAACAATATATACACATATGTAGATAAAGGGAACTTAGCACAATGTTACCAACTACTACTTTTTTCTTTTTTTTTTTTTTTGATACAGGGTCTTGTTCTGTTACTCAGACTAGAGTGCAGCGGCATGAACATGGCTCACTGCAGCCTTGACCTCCTGGGCTCAAGGAATCCTCCCACCTTAGCCCCACAAGCAGCTGGGACCACAAGAACATGCTACCACGCCTGGCTAATCCTTTTTTTTTTTTTTTTTTGAGACAGAGTCTTGCTCTGTTGCCCAGTCTGGAGTGCAGTGGCGCTGTCTTGGATCACTGCAACCTCTGCCTCCTGGGTTCAAGCTATTCTCCTGCCTCAGCCTCCTGAGTAGCTGGGATTACAGGCGCCTGCCACCACACCTGGCTGATTTTTTGTATTTTTAGTAGAGACAGGGTTTTACCATGTTGGCCAGGCTGGTCTCGAACTCCTGACCTCGTGATCTGCCCACCTCGGCCTCCCAAAATGCTGAGATTACAGGCGTGAGCCACCACGCCCGGCCCACGCCTGGCTAATTCTTAAATTTTTTTGTAGTGATGAGATCTCACTGTGTTGCCCAGGCTGGACTCAAGTGAACTCCTGGACTCAAGTGACCCTCCTGCCTTGGCCTCCCAAAGTACTGGATTACAGTTGTTGCCTAGCTAACAACTATCAATTAAATCTAGGTGAGAGAGTATTCAGGCGTGAGCCACTGCATCCGGCCATGGGAGGAGTATTATACCCTGTCTACCTCTAGCCCCATCCTGCATGTCTATCCACCTTGAACTAAGAGCTTGTCTTATTACAACAGCTATTACTACTAACAAAGAAACAACGTTGCTAACCAGGCATGGTGGTGTGCGCCTGTAGTCCCAGCTGCTTGGGGGTCTGAGGCAGGAGGATGGCTTGAACCTGGGAGGCTGCAGTGAGCCGAGATGGCACCCCTGCACTTCAGCCTGGGTGACAGAGCGAGACCCTGTCTCAAAAGCAAAATAAAATAAAATAAAAAGTAAAGAAAAAAATAATAAGCAGCTGGGCGCGGTAGCTCACGCCTGTAATCCCAACACTCAGGGGCCGAGGAGGGCGGATCACCTGAGGTGAGGAGTTTGAGACCTGCCTGGCTAACATGGTGAAACCCCATCTCTACTAAAAATACAAAAATTAACCGGGCGTGGTGGCGCACGCCTGTAGTCCCAGCTACTCGGGAGGCTGAGGCAGGATAATTGCTTGAACCTGGGAGGCGGAGGTTACAGTGAACCGAGATCGTGCCCCTGCACTCCAGCCTGGGCGACGGAGTGAGAATCTGTCTCAAATAAATAAATAAATAAATAAATAAAATGAAAAAAAAAAAAAAAACACAAAACATGTTGCACCCCACTCTGAAGATTTTTCATGAATTAATTTAATCCTTAAAAACAATCCTGTAAACTAGGCGCTATTTTCTCTCATTTTAAAGGAGAAACAGACCAGAAGGGATTAAAACACTTGCCGCAGGTCACACAGCTGCTTAGGGAATGGAGCCCGGGATGTGATTCCGTTGGTATCGCACTCCCACCTCACTCCCGCCTTTAACCACAATTAAGTCCAACTGTCCAGCATTGCTTGAGTGTGGTATTGTGTTCTTATAGATACGATCCTACTTAAAGTATCCTGTCAAGAGGTAGGCAAGACGATCCCCATTTAACTTTGTGTAGCTTGAAGAGGTTGATCATTTTTCCAAGGTCACGCATCCAGTGAGTGGGGAATCCGGAGTCGGAATTTGAACCCGGGCATTATCTGTAGTGTAGACCCCTGTCGGGGCTGGATGTGTAAGAAGCTTAATTGCCGGGTTTGGCAGGTGCATGGGTAGTTGTGAGGGGCTCGTATTTTGAGAGGCAAAAGCCCCCACTCGCCACCGTTCCCCGGAGTAAAAAGCCACCTCTTTCCACCCCTCACTCGCGCAGCTGCCCGGGCATGCGCCCTGAAGCCCCTCCTTCAGAATCCGCCCCCTACAAGCTCCGCCCATCACCATGCAGGGCCAATCCCTGGGGCGGAGGGCGGGGCAGCCACGAGAGTGGGCGGTCGCTAAGGGTAGTTAGGAGTCTGGAGTCGTGAGCCGGAGTCAGAACTGCGTCTCGCGACCCAGGCGCGGGTTTCCGGAGGACAGCCAACAAGCGATGCTGCCGCCGCCGTTTCCTGATTGGTTGTGGGTGGCTACCTCTTCGTTCTGATTGGCCGCTAGTGAGCAAGGTATGTAAATGAAGGGGCCTGGGAACAGAAGGGCTACCAGCGGCCGGGTCCTTCACAGAGTTCGATCCCTGGGTCCGACAGGTGCCCGCCGGGGCTGCCCGGGATCGAGACGCACGGACCTCTACGTGCTGTCTGCCCCGGCCGGGCCGGGTGAATCACGCCGCAGTCCGAGAAGGGGGCGGAGGCGCCGGCTTCTTGGCTCCGGCTGCGTGACTCACCCGCCCCCGCCGCCGCCGCTTCGGGAGGAGCCGCCTCCACTGCCGGAAGCGAGCGGAGGCCGGGCGCAGAGAACAGCCCGCCAGGGGTCCCGGCTCGCACGGCGCCGGGAGGCCGGCAGGAATCACAGCCGGGAATCGGGGCAGTAGAAGGGGTCCTGGGGTCAGAGGGGCCAGAATCCCCGGGGGAAAGCCGGCCTGGGCACCGCTAGGGGGCGCCGGGACCCGGGGGCGGAGTCGGGGGTGGGGGCGGAATTCCTGCGGTTCCGGACTCCCCGGACTGCGGGGAAGGGGACGAAGACCCTGTTTTGAGTAGTGTGGTGGGCCATTCTTAAAATCTTGCTAGGCAGGGTTCCGAAACTGGACTCTACAGTCTTCCTGGCCCAAAAAAGTAGGTAGCGCCAGGAGTCCAAAACTCCAGCCCTACCCCCGCCACTCCAAGAACAGTGGACCCTCAAACTTATCTCAGTGACTGAACCCGGTGCCGATCACGATTTCCCGACAAGCCCTGTCTATTCTGCCTCCCAAATAAGTCCTGACTCGACCGACTTCCTTCCATGCCACTACCAGCTCCTACTCCAGGCCATCACCATCGTCCGTCCCAAACGAGTACAGCCTACCAGTGGGTCTCAGATCCCCCCTCTTTTTGCCCCCCACAGTCTTCCTCGAAGCAGCCATGGGGGGGATCTTCCGGAAACCTAATCAGCTCACAGCACCATTCCCTCCCTGCTCAAATTCCTTTAATGACTGCCCACCACACTCAGGATAAAATCCAAACTCCCTACTTCTGCATATGTGGCTTTCTGTGACCTGGCTTGTGCCCGTTCCCCTAGCTGCTCCCCAATCTGGTCTCCTACCATGTCACTCTCTGTGTGCCACCCATGCTGGTCTCTTTCCAGTTCAAGCCCATCCAGCCTCTGGGCTTTTCTCTGCCTTTTTTTGTTGTTCCCTCCTCCCGGAATGCTTTTCCCAGGGTCTCCCATGGCTGACTTCTCTGGCCTGAGGGCTCCATTCAAATGTCACCTCCTTACAGGAGCCTTCTCTGATGATCTAAAAGGTCTCTAGGAACTTTTAGTGTCTTCCTGTAATTCTCTGTACATTTCCTGTGTTTCCTTATTTATTTACTGTTTGAAACATAGTCATAGTAGACAATAAATATTAAACTACGTGAAACTAGTTTAGTATTTATAATATTATAACTTATTTAGATATAATTATGTTATTATAATAAAATATGTGAAACAGCTGCTTTTGTAGGGGAAAAAGTTGAATATTGGCCATTCCACATGGTTCACTGAAGAAATAATAATGTTATCATTAAGTGTACTTATTGGCAGGGTGAGGCAGCTCACACTTGTAATCTCAGTACTTTGGGAGGCTGAGGAAGGAGGATGGCTTGAGGCAAGGAGTTTGAGACCACCCTGGGCAACATAGTGAGACCATGTCTCTACAAAAAAATAAAAGGGAAAAAAAAAAGTACTTATTGACTGAGGGGGGAGGATCGCTTCAGGCCAGGAGTTTGAGACCAGCCTGGGCAATATAGTGAGACCCCATCTTTATTTTTTCAGATAAAAAAGTCTATAAATATACTTAAATATAAAATTTAAAATTTAAGAAGTCTATAGGCCAGGCGCGGTGGCTCACGCATGTAATCCCAGCACTTTGTGAGGCAGAGGTGGGCGGATCACTTGAGGTCCAGGAGGTCGAGACCAGCCTGGCCAACATGGTGAAACCATGCTTCTTCTAAAAATATAAAAATTAGCCGGGTGTGGTGGCATGTGCCTGTAATCCTAGCTTTTGGGGAGGCTGAGGCACGAGAATCATTTGAACCTGTGAGGCAGAGGTTGCAATGAGCTGAGATCACGGCATTACACTCCAGCCTGGGCAACAGAGCGAGACTCCATCTCAAAAAAAATCTATAAATATACATATACAGTTAAATAAAAATTGTCTATATCTTTAAAGTTCCCTAAGAAAAGCTAGGCACAGAGAGGTTAAGTGACTTCCCCAAGATCCTACCTGCAGCAACTGTCAGATCCAGGCTTTGAACTTAACATTTGTTTTCTATAACTGACTATAACTCCATAACTCCCTGCCCTCTGCAGATGCTGAGCAAGGGTCTGAAGCGGAAACGGGAGGAGGAGGAGGAGAAGGAACCTCTGGCAGTCGACTCCTGGTGGCTAGATCCTGGCCACACAGCGGTGGCACAGGCACCCCCGGCCGTGGCCTCTAGCTCCCTCTTTGACCTCTCAGTGCTCAAGCTCCACCACAGCCTGCAGCAGAGTGAGCCGGACCTGCGGCACCTGGTGCTGGTCGTGAACACTCTGCGGCGCATCCAGGCGTCCATGGCACCCGCGGCTGCCCTGCCACCTGTGCCTAGCCCACCTGCAGCCCCCAGTGTGGCTGACAACTTACTGGCAAGCTCGGACGCTGCCCTTTCAGCCTCCATGGCCAGCCTCCTGGAGGACCTCAGCCACATTGAGGGCCTGAGTCAGGCTCCCCAACCCTTGGCAGACGAGGGGCCACCAGGCCGTAGCATCGGGGGAGCAGCGCCCAGCCTGGGTGCCTTGGACCTGCTGGGCCCAGCCACTGGCTGTCTACTGGACGATGGGCTTGAGGGCCTGTTTGAGGATATTGACACCTCTATGTATGACAATGAACTTTGGGCACCAGCCTCTGAGGGCCTCAAACCAGGCCCTGAGGATGGGCCGGGCAAGGAGGAAGCTCCGGAGCTGGACGAGGCCGAATTGGACTACCTCATGGATGTGCTGGTGGGCACACAGGCACTGGAGCGACCGCCGGGGCCAGGGCGCTGAGCCCTCGTGCTGGAATGGTTGTCTGGTATCTGAACTGAGCCTGCTGGCTGGACCAACTGTCCTCGAAAAGACACAGCTGGCTTCCCTAGTACAGAGAACAGGGCTTGGGCCACTTTGGAGAGACAGAATCTAGTCCTGGGCAACTTCACATCCGTCCTCCTGTCTCAGGGCTGGCAGGGGGAGCCTGGAATTACCCCCTAGTGATGGAATGACAGGGTCTGGTGGGGACTGAATTCCCTGGCCCTGGGGTCATAGCTTGGGCTGTTCCTTCTCTGATACGGGAAGAGACCCCAATCAGATTTTTCAAATTAAAGCCAGTCCTGGGAAATCTCAAATCCGTGTGCTGCTTTGTCTCTGGGCAAATGTGAAGGCGAGATAAAAACATCAAACATTTTATTGGGCGTAGGCTGTGTACGAGGCACAGTTTCTAAGCACGTCACTGTGTTAACTCATTTAATCCTATAACAGCCCTACAAGATCGGTAGTATTATCATCCCTATTTTACAGGTGAGAAAACCAAGGTTCCAAGATTATCACTTGAGGTGGGTTTTAAATTATGAACTTTTTTTTTTTTTTTTTTGAGATAGGGTCTCGCTCTGTCACCCAGGTTGAAGTACAGTGGTCTGATCATGGCTCACTACAGCCTCAAACTCCTGGGCTCAAGCGATCCTCCTACCAGGCCACTTTTTTTTTTTCTTTCTTTTTTTTTTAAGACAGATTCTTACTCTGTCGCCCAGGCTGGAGTGCAGTGGCGTGACTTCGGCTCACTGCAACCTCCACCTCCCAGGTTCAAACGATTCTCCTGCCTCGGCCTCCCAATTAGCTGGGACCGACTAATTTTTTATATTTTTTGTAGAGACAGGGTTTCACCGTGTTAGCCAGGATGGTCTTCATCTTCTGACCTCGTGATCTGCCTGCCTCAGCCTCCCAAAGTGCTGGGATTACAGGCGTGAGCCACTGTGCCTGGCCTTTTTTTTTTTTTCTTAAATTTTATTTCTTTTCTTTGCTAGCAGGAAGTCAAGGCAACTTTTTAAAAATGAAAGCAAGTCCTCGCCTGGAGTCTACCTGTATTTATTGAGGAGCGAAGGGGAGATTGCTTTCAGAATGGTCCCGAAATAAAAACACAAAACCTGGACCCTGGACAGATCCTCTCCAAGGAGCCCTGAGAGTCGGCTCTCCAGGAAAATGGGGGAGGAAAGGGGGACAACAGCCCATTTTTAAAAATAAAATTCACTCCTGGTCTTAAATCTCTGGGCAAAGGATAGGGACGCTTGGAGCTGTGTCTGAAATAAAGCCACTAGGCTTGGTAGCTGGACTGCAGAGAGGGAGCTCAGGGCAGGCAGCTGTGCCTTCCTTCTAGAAGAAACCCAGACCCGGACGAGCTGGGGCCACCTGCCCGTGTGCTGGGCCTGGCTGGAGCGCCGGGTGTCAGCGGCCGCCCCCGCGGTCCAGCCGCATTCCAGGCCTGGCTGGGAGGGGCCGCACACTCAGCGGCCTGGCACGGGACCCAGGCTGCGTCCTTCCTGACGGCCGCAGGGACAGGGCGGAGCCTGAGGGGGGGTGCACGGAGGGGAGGGAGTGTCACCGTGAAAACTGCGGGTGCGCATGGAGAGAGGCGCAGGGGGCTGGACGGTGACCCGAGGGGCCAGCGGGGCCTTGAGTGAGGGAAACGCCGCCATCGTGGGGTCCCAGAGCCTCGCTTCTGGCCAGAAGCCTCGGGGAGGCAGAGGCAGGAGTGGAGCTGGGCCAGATGGGGAGCCTGGGTCGGCCCCAGGGGCCGGGAAGGGGCGGGCAGAGTGGCGCTTCCTGGAGGAGCAGAGGAAGTTGTGCCCATTTCTGGAAGTGGATGAGGCGGGCCGCGGAAGCGGGTGAAAATGGCCTGCGGGGAGCTGTCGTCCAGGCTGAGGGTCTTCCAGGCGCCTGACTCCAACCCCGAGTGACTCCAGCCCCGGGCAAATGGGACTCGGACTGCTTTGCCGCAGACTCAAAACTTGGGCGCCTGGGCTGAGCTCAGCACCGCCCCCTGGTGCCCAGTCGGGCTCTGCGGTGCCGCCGTCTTGGGTTCCCCGGACATCTGTCCAGTGGTCGAGGGATCATGAACGCCCTCTGTTTACAACACTCTGCGGGCCTGTTTCTTTCTTTTCTTTTTCTTTTTTTTTTTTTTTTAGAGACGGGGTCTCGCTTTGTCGCCCAGGCTGGAGAGTGCAGTGGCGCGATCATAGCTCACTATAGCCTCGAATTCCTGGGCTTCAGCAATCCTCCCGCGTCAGCCTCCCAATTAGCTGGGGTTACAGGTGCACGCCACCACGCCCAACTGATTTTATTTTTATTCTTATTTTTATTTATTTATTTATTTATTATTTTTTGAGATGGATTCTCGCTCTGTCGCCCAGGCTGGAGTGCAATGGTGCAATCTCGGCTCACTGCAGCCCCTGCCTCCTGGGTTCAAGCAATTCTGCCTCAGCCTCCCGAGTAGCTGGGATTACAGGCGCCTGCCACCATGCCCGGCTAATTTTTTGTATTTTTAGTAGAGACAGAGTTTCACCATGTTCGCCAGGCTAGTCTTGAACTCCTGATATCAAGTGATCCGCCCTGCCTCAGCCTCCCAAAGTGCTGGGATTACAGGCGTGAGCCACCATGCCCGGCCGATTTTTTAAATTTTTTGTAGAGACAGTGTTGCCCTATGTTGTCCAGGCTGGTCTCGAACCCCCAGGCTCAAGCAATCCTTCCACCTCAGCCTCCCAAAGTGCTGGGATTCCCGTGGGCCTGTTTCTTATTCTTTCCTTTCCCCGCTTTTTCAAAGAGATTGGGTCTCACTGTGTTGTCCAGGCTGGAGAGCACTGTCTGTACAGAGGAGTGATCATAGTGCTGTACAGCCTTGAACTCCTAGGCTCAAAGGATCCTCTGGCTTCAGCCCTCAGAGTGGCTGGGACTATAGGCACAAACCACTGTGCCCAGCTAAGGACCTGTTTCTGATGTCTCCGAGGCCCAATATGGGGTGAGCTGATCCTTCCGTCTGCCCCTGTGCCTGCTTTGCCACTGATGGCCCCTCTCCCCAGAGCCTCTAGGTACAGTTGCATAGGTTGTGCACTGCATATAGGCTCCGTATGTAAGGGGCTGCCACTGGTGTTCCAGGTACCCTGCATTTACATATTTATTACAAGTTTCCCAGCAGATGGAGGTCAAGTACCTCCAGGAAGGGGCATGTCTTTTACACAAAAGCACCATATGGGCTACATCAGCCCTGGTCCCGTCTGCCCGGTGCCCTCAGGTTTATGAATGGCTCATGTGTGAGGACCTGCCCCTCTCTCCCCATGTGTCACCCCCAGATGGGTTGTGCAGGCTCCCTGGCTCTGGTGTGCTGCTCCACCCTCAGGCTCAACCCCAGGAGGCCACACCACCTTGGCCAGCAGACTCCAGGGCCCACACCATTCCTAGCTGAGCCGCCAGCCCTGGCACAACTGCCACCTTTCACAGAGCCTCTGTGTATGCTCGCCATGACGCCCCCTAGGCCAGCTTTCCTCCATGGCATTCACAGACCACCCCCAAAACACACACACACACACACACACACACACACACTCTCTCTCTCTCTCTCACACCTGGAAGAGCTGTGACCAGCTATCTTGTCTCTTTTTCCTCCCTCCCTTCTTCCTGTCCTTCATTCAGCAAAAATTTATGAGCACACACCTACTGTGTGCCTATCCCTATGTAAAGGGTAAATCTGACCACATCTCTCCCCTGCCCCTGGGCCCTTATTACCCCACTTCTCTGGGGTCTGAATTCTGTACTTTCCAAGGCTCACCTTCTACCTCTGTCCCTATTCATTAGACACTTATTGAGTGGCCGGGCATGGTGGTTCACGCCTGTAATCCCAGCATTTTGGGAGGCCGAGGCAGGTGGATCACAAGGTCAAGAGATTGAGACCATCCTGGCCAACATGGTGAAACCCCATTTCTACTAAAAATACAAAAATTATCTGGGCAAGGTGGCGGGCCTGTAATCCCAGCTACTCAGGAGGCTGAGGCAGGAGAATCACTTGAACCCGGGAGGCGGAGGTTGCAGTGAGCCGAGATTGTGCTGCTGCACTCCAGCCTGGCGACAGAGCGAGACTCCATCTCAAAAAAACCAAACCAAACAAAATTAAAAAACACTTATTGAGCACCTATGGTATGCAGTCCCGGCACACTTTAGAAATCTAACAGAGATATTATTGAAGCAGTAAGCTGGAGAGAAGAGACTGTTCCTGAAAGCCAGACTGCCTGGGTTTGAACCCCAGCTTTGGCCAGATGCGACGGCTCACGCCTGTAGTCCCAGCTACTCAGGAGGTTGAGGTGAGAAGATCACTTGAGGCCAGGAGTTTGAGGCTGCAATGAGCCATGATTGCA
This sequence comes from Homo sapiens, assembly GCF_000001405.40. NCBI lineage: Eukaryota > Metazoa > Chordata > Mammalia > Primates > Hominidae > Homo > Homo sapiens. The sequence goes on along the minus strand of NC_000019.10, from coordinate 40,418,447 downwards.
CCACTGCACTCCAGCCTGGGTGACAGAACAAGACCCTGTCAGAAAGAAAGAAGGAAGGACGGAAGGAAGGAAGGCAGGAGGGAAGGAAGGAGGGAGGGAAGGAAGGGAGAGAGAGGAAGGAAGGAAGAAAGAAAGGAAAGAGAGAGAAGAAAAAAGGAAGGAAGGGAAAGAAAGAAAGGAAGAAAGAAAAGAAAGAAAGGAAGAAAGAAAGAAAAGAAAGGAAGAAAGAAAAGAAAAGAAAAGAAAAGAAAAGAAAAAAGAGTTACCGCTCTGTGGCTGTGTGACTCTAGGCAAGGTACTTAACTTCTCTGAGCCTCGGGGTCCTCACCTGTAAACTGGAACAGTAACAGTATCTGCCCCAAAGAACTATTGTTCTGGTGGGCAAGGAAACAGCAAGGGTCACTGAGAGAGAGACCCTACAACATTTTCAGGGATCTCTAAGCTGCTGGGTTTGGCTGGAAGGAGGAGGAAAGCAGTAAGGTAAATGACAAGACTGGAAGGGTCCGCAGGGGCCAGGGCATATAGGACCCTGGATGGGGGACTTAACTCTGAAGATGCTGGGGAGTCATGAAGTAAAAGGATCCCTTCACTAGGTGGGTGGCATCGTCGGGGAGGTGACACTGGAGGCCAGGAGCCCAGGATCCCAGGGGTGGAGAATCTGGGGAGGGACGGAGCAGCTGTTGGGAGGGAAGAGGCACTCAGGAGGCCCAGCAGACAGGCTGTGGGACTGACAAGGCCTGGAGGAGGGGTCTCAGACCAGGCTCAGGGCTCTAATCAGGGGACTGGGAGACACTGGGGCCATCCCTGAGATGGCAACTGGGGAGAGAAGCAAGTCTGGGGTTGGGGCTGAGGCCAAGGAGGGACCCAGGGGGTGCAAGAGGCTGGGGAGACACCCAGGGGAAGGCATGGAGCTGCCCGGGCCCTGGGCCGGGAGCTCAGGAGAGAGGACTGGGGTGTGGGGGTGGGCGTGAACGGTGGGATCGAGGGAGACACCAGTGTCCCTTGGCTGGACTGGGTGGGGCGGAGTGGCTAGGCCACGCAGGGCAGGCCAAGGCTCCTGCTTGGCTCAGACTGAGTCTGGAGAGGGTGGTCCCTGAGAAGAAGCGTCCACCTCCTTCCCTAGCCTCACAGGATGTCCTGTGTTTACTGCGGTGGCCACAGCCGGAACCAGGACACTGGGGCCACCCCCAACTTAGCTTCCCGTGGCCACACCCCCTTGGGTGAGGGAAAGCATGACAGAGAGAGAGGGAGAGAGAAACGCACAGACAGAATGAGACAGAAAGAAACTAGGAAAGAGAGACAAAGAATAAGGACAGAGAGAAACAGAAGAACAGAGAGACACAAAGATAGAGACACACAGAGAGACACACCATTCGTGATAAGAATTCACAACAGTCCAGGTGTGGTGACTCATGCCTGTAACCGCAACAGTTTGAGAGGCCAAGGCGGGTGGATTACCTGAGGTCAGGAGTTCAAGACCAGCCTGGCCAACATGGCGAAACCCCCATCTCTGCTAAAAATACAAAATTATTGCTTCTTGGCCTTTTGGCTAAGATCAAGTGTAAAATACAAAAATTAGCTGGGTGTGGTGGTAGGCGCCTGTAATCCCAGCTACTCGGGAGGCTGAGGCAGGAGAATCTCTTGAACCCAGGGGGCGAAGGTTGCAGTGAGCCGAGATTGTGCCACTTTGCTCCAGCCTGGGTGAAAGAGCGAAAACTCTGCCTAAAAAAAAAAAAACAAAAGAAAAATTAAAAAAAAGAAAGAAAATAACTCACAGCAGGCCAGGCACAGTGGCTCATGCCTGTAATGTCAGCACTTTGGGAGGCCAAGGCAGGAGGATCGCTTGAGGCCAGGAGTTTGAGGCCAGCCTGGGCAACATAGTGAGACCCGCATCTCTCAAAAACAAGAAAACAAAAAACTCACAGCAAACTAGGGAAAGAAGCTTCCTTAACCTGATAAAGCGTATCTACAAAACATGGACCGCTAACTTCCTACTTTATGGCAAAAGGTTAAATGCTTTCCCCTAAGACTGAGAACAAGCAAAGATCTCTGCTCTCTGCGACAAGGGAAGAGAGGGGATGTTGTGTACCAGCCTCCCTTTTCTGTTTGACCCTGAGCAGAGAGAGGGGGATTTTCTTCCCTATGCTAGCCTGGCTGATAGCTCAGCCTCTTTCTGCCTTCAGGTACCTAAAAGCTCAGTGCTATTCATACTTTGTCCCTCTGATAGCTCTTCAGGGCCCACAGGACAAAGTCTGAGGCCCTCCTCATGGCCCTGCTGACCCCTGGACCTCCTCTTACCTTTCCCTCACACTCTCACCTTAACCGTTTTCTCAAAGGGCCTTTGCACAGGGTGTTCCCGCTACCTGAAACACACTGTCATTCCTTCACCACCCATGGCTTTGGGTTAACTTCTATATATCCTCCAGGTGCAAGCTCAAATGCCACTTCCTCCAGGAAGCCCTCCTTGATTTCTCTTCCTAGGCTGGGGCAGCCACCTTTTCTGGACTTCCCCATCAAGGCTTTGACCTCTCTGCCTATGATTGCCCCATCACAACCCTCCTCTTTCTGGGTTTGTTCCCTGCTGGACTGTGAATGGTGTGGATGCAGGCCTGAGCTGTCCCAGTCACACTGTGTCCCCAGCACCATCCAGCCTGGGACTGGACAGAAGACCAGGTGCTCACTGAATGTTTGCTGATGGTGAATGAAGACCCGCTCCATTTCTCACCTCTGGTCCTTTGCCCACATTTGTCCCTCTGCCTGGAACCCCCTTCCCTCCTTTTTTCCTTAGCTCCCTCCTCCTCAATCTTCCATTTTGACTTCCTTTTATTATTTATTATTATTTTCTTTTTGAGACAGAGTCTCGCTCTGTCACCCAGGCTGGAGTGCAATGGCGCAATCTTGCCTCACTGTAACCTCTGCCTCCTGGGTTTAAGCAATTCTCCTGCTCAGCCTCCCGAGTAGCTGGGATCACAGGTGCCCGCCACCACGCCTGGCTAATTCAGTTTGACTGCCGATATCACCTCCTGCAGGATCCTTTCCTGAGTTTGCCGCCTCCTCCCTGGGGTGGAGTTAGATCTGTTGATGTCCCCTGTGCCCAGCAAAAGACCTACCACTAAACAGGGCTTGTGAGTGTTTGTTGAATGAATATAGGAACAAAAGAATGTTTGCGTGAATCAATGAAGGAGAGAGACTGCAATGAAGTGAGGGTCTCCTCAGGCCCATCGGGAGCCCCGACCATACCATCCCTTCTACCCCTCCTGGGAGGAGGGCTCTGGCTGGCTTCTGGCCACACCCCAATGCTTGGTTGCTGCCAGGCCTGGAAGGCATTTCCCAGAGCTCAGCACATTCCTGCCTTCCCCGGTGGCTGAGAGTGGGCAGGGGGCATTTCAGAGAGAAGGGAGGGAGGCCCCCAGCATTCCGGGATCCTGCCATCCTGGCCTGGTCCCCCACGCCCTCTGAAGTAGGCCCCAACCCTCTGGTGTGAGATGGGGGACAGGTCTGCAGAGGGGCCACCCAGGCTGGTGTGAGGGGCGAGGGTGCCGACAGAGGCCAGGGCTTGGTGTCTGTGCCTGGCTGGACAATGGGGCAGAAGCTGCTGACATGCGCTTTGGGGGTAATCCCCCAGCCTCAGCCCAGCCCAGGCCTGGGGCCTGGGTTCAGAGAGCGACGAGCTTCCGAGGCAGCAGCCGGGTGGGTTCAAGTGGCATGTGGGGGTACCTGTGCTCCCTGTGCCGCCCCCCGGGGTCTGGTGAGTCAGGGCAGGCTGGGGGCTGGACCAGGGTCCAGGGGTTGGGGGTGAGGCCTGGTAGCTTTGGCTTGGGAGTCGGGCAGGTCTGGGTTCAACTCTGGACCCCTGCCAATGACCTGCTATGGTGATATTGGGAGAGTCACTTACCTTCTCTGAGCCTTCTGGTCTGCAAAGTGGAAGGGGCAGAAGAGTGTAGCAGGGTTTTTGTGGTCCAGGAGAACAGGGGTTGGACCTCAGCTTCACCACCTCCTGGCCACATAGCTATAAATTGGGCATAGCTGGACGCGGTGGCTCACGCCTGTAATCCCAGAACTTTGGGAGGCCGAAGTGGGAAGATCGCTTGAGCCCAGGAGTTCGAGACCAGCCTGGGCAACATGGTGAAACTTTGCCATTACAAAAAATACAAAAATTAGCTGGGCATGATGATGCATACCTGTGGTCCCAGCTATTTGAGGGGGCTCAGTCGGGAGGATTGCTTGAGCCCAGGAGGTGGAGGCTGCAGTGAGCCATGATCACACCACTGCACTCCAGCCTGGGCAACAGAGTGAGACCTTGTCTCAAAAAAAAGGGTGGGGAGCATAAGGAGCCCATTTTACACCCTTGATTCAAAAGCAGGGCTTCAGCACTGAGCATGGTACTTAGTATGTGATAGGTGTCCCCCTAAACAGTAACTCCATTAGACAGAGAACTGGGGGTCCCCTGTGCCCAGCCTTACTGAAAAGGGGCCAAAACCCCCCAGCAAGATGAGCCAGCCACCTAATTTGTGTGAAAAATAATACCAAATACTTATTAGTAACCCTCATTATGTGCCCGGCATTGTCTTACATTTTCAGTCTCTTTTAACTCGTTTAATCTTCACCACAGCCCCATAAGGTGGGTACTCTTACTATCCGCAAAGAGAAGCTGTGACTGGCAGCAGGTCACCCAGCGAGGAAGTGGTCGCGCTGCGATTTGAACCCAAGTTGACAGGGAGAGGGAGTGAAAGGAGTTTACAGTAGAGGCAGTTGGCCAGGCCCGGGTCCTGGAGCCAGGAAACAGTGGGGCTGGGGTGGGGTCCTGATTCTCCAAGTCGAGGAAGCCAACGTGCAAATCCTTGAAGCTGAGCTCATGGCAGAGATCTCGGCCCAGGCAAGAGAGAGGCGGCTGGTGGCTGTCCCGTGGCCCCCACCCCTTGGGGATAGATGTAGCTGGAGGAGGGGGATGTTTGTTTCTCCACCACCCACCCTCTGGTGACGTCACACCCCCGCAGCCAATGGCTGGGGTCTCTCTCTCCTCCCCCCTCCCCATTCCTTTTCCCCCCCAGCCTAGGGCTAGGGCTGACAGACGGGACCAGGAGCTCTCGAGGTGTCTGGAGGCTCAGCGGTAAGAGATCAGCCGGCCGGTCCCTTCCCTGGCCAGGCTGAGACACTGTGGGAATGAGGTTCAGGGTCCCGGGAGGTGCTGGGAGGGGGCCTGGGGGCTCAGGAAGCCGTGTGGTGTAGGTGTTAAAGGTATAGACTTTGGAGCTGGTGGTTCAAATCCCCTTTCCTCTCCTTTCTGGCTGTGCAGCCTTGGGCAAGATACTTCATCCTTTGTGCCTCTGTTTCCCCATCTCTAAAATGGGCTGATGTCTGGAGGCCACCTCACAGGGCTGGTGCCGAGTAAATGAGTTGCTGCTTTTAAAGAGCTAGGGCAGCCAGGCATGGTGGCTCATGCCTATAATCCCAGCACTTTGGGAGGCTGAGGCGGCAGGACTGCTTAAGCCCAGGAGTTCGAGACCAGCCTGGGCCACATAGAGAGGCCCCCATCTCTACAAAACAAAAAAAAATTTTTTTTAATTAGCTGGGCATGGTGGTGCATGCCTGTGGTTCCAGCTACTCTGGAGGCTGAGATGGGAGATTGGGTTGGGCCCAGGAGGTTGGGGCTGCAGTGAGCCGTGATCACACCTCTGCACTCCAGTCTCAGTGACAGAGGGAGACCCTGTCTCCAAAAAACAAACTAACAAACACCAGAGCTGGGGCAGGAGGCCTGGGGTGGGTCCCTGGAGTAGGGTGCTAGGGAGGCAGCATGGATCCTGTTGGGAGGCTGGTGCCTGAGCTGGGTTTTGTCTCTCAGCCAAAGCTCCCCTTTGGTAGCAGAGAAAGTGGGGGCCACTGAGGAGCAAAGGTTGGATGTGCAACACTGTGAGAAGCACAGCTCCCTCCCTCCATACTCTCCCTGTTGCTGTCAGAGACGAGTTTATATTAATCAAGCATTTACTATACAGGAGGGATATTCTAAGCACCTGCTGTTCTCTCACAAATCTTCAAAGCCTTTCTTATTGGCTCCATTTTACAGATGGAGAAACTGAGGCCCCAGAGATGAAGGATCTTGCCCAAGTCCTCACACCTGGGAAGTGCTGGAGCAGGGACTAACCGAGGCAGCCAGAGGCCACTGCCTTAACTCCCCCTGACCCCCTAGGTGGCCTCAGATAATGTTTAGAGGTCTGGATGAGTCAGCCCAACCCCTGACCCCCATTGCTATGAGAGATCACGCTGGTGGCGGGGGAAAGCTGAGGCTCTGAGCAGGCAGGGTTCCCAAGTGAAGTTGGTGGCAGTCACCAGGGAAAGAGGGCCAGAAGGGCAATGCCCTCAGCCGATCCCTCAGCAGCCTCCGAATGACAACCCCTCGCTCCCAGCTGCTCTGAAGGGCATAAGTCGCATCTGAAATGGATATCTCAGTTGTACCCACTCCAGGGAGATGTTACAAAGATTTAAGGAGCCAAGACAGGAAGGATCTTAGCACACAGTAGGTGCTCAAGAAATGGGGACCCTGGGGATTCTGAAAGTTCTGGCATATGCCAGGGTCATGCCACAGTAACTACCCAAGAAATAGGCTGCTGGCATCTGGAGTGTCTGCCTGGTCCCAGTGGATCTGCCTCTAACACAAGGCAGGGACCCTCCCCAGGAGCCTCCCCACCCCTCTTTCCCCTGCCTAGTGGGATAGGCAGAGCTGGGAACACAGAGTCCTCTCTGTGGGTTTCCTTCCGAAGCTGCCCCCACCTTACCCCAGGGGCTGGGTACGTGGCTCAGGAAGAGCACAGTTGGGCTAAATATAACCTGGGCTGGGTGCCTGTCCAGGCAGGGACGAAGAAGGAGGGCACTCTCTCTTGTCCCTGCCCCGCCTGAACTTCCTGTGCCAGGCTCCGGGCATGACCCTCACAGCCACGGGCCTGGGACAGAGAGCTGATGACCCAGGAGACCCCCTCTACTACCACCTACAAGGTTCAGGCTTCTCGTGTCCCCAGCTCAGGACTCTGTGCTGTGTATCAGTCCTGGGTAAGGGAACTGAGTTCGCTTTCACACCTGGGCTCAAGTCTCGACTCTGTCACTGTGATCACCGGTCTCTTAACTCTCATTGACTCATCAGTTAAATGGGGTCCCACAAGGTCAAGTATGTAAAGCGCCTGCCCGGTCCAGGCCCGGCACCTGGCCTGGGTGTGTTTCTAGCACCGTTGGCCCCCTCCTGCCCAACCCAGCTCCTGCCCCAGTGCGCAGAGCCACCAATGCAAATTAAGGTGAAGCAGGGGTGAAGGGCAGGCACGGGTCCTAGCTCTGCCCCTTTCTGGCTGGGTGACCCCTCTGTGAGCCTCAGTTTCCACCCCATAACAGCCACAACATCTAGGGTGATTTTGAGGCCTGTGGGTGCTAGCACAGGGCCCAATTCAGAGGAAATGCCCCAGACATGGCAGACAAGGTCTTAGTGCAGGGACCAGCTAATATTAATACTAACCACTCAATACCCATCAGTTGTTATTATGATTGTCCAGCTAAAGCGCTGGAGCTTTTTTTATTTTTATTTTTATTTTTTTGAGATGGAGTCTCGCTCTATCGCACAGGCTGGAGTGCAGTGGTGCATTCTCAGCTCACCACAACCTCCGCTTCCCAGGCTGAAGCGATTCTCCTGCCTCAGCCTCCCGAGTAGCTGGGATTACAGGCGCGCGCTGCCACGCCTGGCTAATTTTAGTATTTTTAGTAGAAACGGGGTTTCACCATATTGGCCAGACTGGTCTCGAACCCCTGACCTCGTGATCCACCCACCTCGGCCTCCTAAAGTGTTGGGATTACAGGCCTAAGCCACGCGCCCAGCCCGTGCTGGAGTTTTTAGACAAGTTCAAGTCCTGGCACAGCCTGGAAGGTGTAGGGGGCTCACAGGGGATCCCAGGGAAGGCCACAGAGACCAGGACCCCCTAGGAGATGCAGAGAGAAGCCCTCTTACACTGTGGGGGGCGTGGGTGCTGTGGGAGTGTTAAGGGGTCCCCATGTCCTCTCTCCTGGCCACTGATGGGCTATGAAAGGCCATTGTGTGGCCAGGGTGGGTGGGCAGGGGCGGAATGCAACTGAGCACAGCAGACGGGCCATTGTGTGAGGGAATGTGCCGCGTGAGGCCTGACCTTTCCCTGTGCAATAGGGGTTGGCGGGTTGGCATGCCAGGTGGGGGCTGTGAGGACAAGCCCAGAGTCGGGGGTTGGGGGAGAGAGTATTCATCTCCATTTCCCCAGATGGGCCTGGCGGGTGGCTGCATGTGAATTTCAGCTTTGCCTCCTTCTGGCTGTGCTATGAGGCCTTGAGCAAGTTCTTTTGGCCTCTCAGGAAATGGGGTTTTCCGAGGTGAAGTAGAAGGTGAAGGTCTTAGCACGGGGGCCAGCAAATACTAATCACTCAGTACCCATCAGGTATTATTACTACCCAGATAAAGGGCTGGAGCCTTCAGACAAATTCAAGTCCTGGCTCGACCATTTGTGACCTGGGCTAGTGACATCCCTTCCCCCAGCCTCAGGTGTCTCCTCTGTAATGGGCTCAGTAGTAGCTGATTGCACAAGGCTGTGCTGAGGGCCATGTGCAGTGGAGCATGTGGGGCGCTCGACACAAGGTCAGGGCCATAGGAAGTTCTTAGTAATAATAATGGCCTGACAGGTGCAGTGGCTCATGCCTGTAATCCCAGCACTTTGGGAGGCTGAGGCAGGTGGATCACCTGAGGTCAGGAGTTCCAGACCAGCCTGCCAACATGGTGAAACCCCATCTCTACTAAAAATACAAAAAGTAGCCAGGCGTGGTGGTGGGCACCTGTAATCCCAGCTACTTGGGAGGCTGAGGCAGGAGAATCACTTGAACCCAGGAGGCAGAGGTTGTAGTAAGCCGAATTCGCACCACTTCACTCCAGCTTGGACAACAGAGCGAGACTCTGTCTCAAAATAATAATAATAATAATAATAATAATAATAATAATAGCAAGTATTTATAAAGCACCTGCCAGGTGCCTGGCACTTTACACTTATTAACTCATTTGAGCCTCGGAACAGCCCTGCGAGGTAAAAGCTCTTATTCTCCACATTTTATAGACAACATAACTGAAGCACAGAGAGGAGCTGTGATTTGCTCACTGGGAGTACATGGGAGTGGCTATAATTATTTTATAGCATCAAGAGGCTGAGGCAGGAGGATAGCATGAGCCCAGGAGTTGGAGCTCAGTTTGGGCAACCTAGGGAGACTCCATCTCTACAAATTAATTTAAAAAATTAACCTGGTGTTGCCAGGTGTGGAGGCTCATGCCTGTAATTCCAGCACTTTGGGAGGCCAAGGTGGGCTGATCACTTGCAGTCAGGAGTTCAAGACCAGCCTGGCCAGCATGGTGAAACTCCGTCTCTACTAAAAATACAAGAAATAGCCGGGTATGGCGGTGCGTACCTGTAGTCCCAAGGTGCGTGCCTGTAGTCCCAACTACTCGGGAGGCTGAGGCGGGAGAATCACTTGAACCCAGGAGTTGGAGGCTGCAGTGAGCCAAGATCGCGCCATTGCACTCCAGCCTAGGTGACAGAGCAAAACTCTCTCTCTCACACACACACACACACACACACACACACACCACCAACAACAACAAAAACGTAGCCGGGTGTTGTGGCATGCACCTGTGGTCCCAGCTACTCGGGAGGCCAAGGTGGGAGGATCGCCTGAGCCCAGAGACCGAGGCAGCAGTGTGCCGTGATTGCACCACTGCACTCCAGCCTGGGCAATAGAGCTAGACCCTGTCTCAAATAGCAATTATTTTTTAGTGAATTTGGCCCCCTCAGTTGGCCAAGATCTTTGGCACGGGGGCTCTGCTGCCAGACAGGCCTCGGAGTCAGTTTTGGCTTTACCGTGTGTTGTCCAGCTGAGTCATCCTGGGTAAAGGTCTTCTGAGGCTCAGTTTCCCACCTGCACGACGGGGATAGGGTATCAGCAGAACGCAGCAGGGTCAGGCACTCAGGAAGTCATCGGTGGCTGTTAGCCAATAACACTGCTCACATTATTCTTCTTAGAGCGCCGGACCCAGGAGGCCCAAGGAGCTGGAGGTGACCCTCAGGTGAGCGCAGGCTGGTGCCATATGCCCCTCCCCACCCCTTCCTCGCCTGCCTGGAGCTTCACATCCTGGCCTTTCCCTGGCAGGCAGCAAGAACCCCACGGAAGGGCGTGAGCCCTGCAGACAGCTGTGCGGCACCTCGGGCTGGGCTCCTGTTAGGAGGAAGTGCCTGCACCCAGGCAGCGGTGAGAGGACAGCTGGGGTGGGGGCCCTTCTCCCCTTCTAATACCCACCCTGCTTTCTCCCTGTAAGCATGGCCTCCACCTCTCGTCCCCTACTGGCCTCAAGCCTCCACTGCTGTCCTCCCACAGGCTCAGAGGCAGCTGCTCCATGCAGAACTGAAGCTGGTTCTGCAGCAGAAAGGGGAGAGGACACAGGAGCCTGGGGTGCAGGTGCCTCCCAGCAACGCCATGGAGGCCAGGAGCCGGAGTGCCGAGGTGAGTGCCCACGTGTCCTGCAAGGCGCACTTGAGGGCAATGGGGAGGCACAGACTAGGGCAGCAAGGAGACACTTTCTGGCCTCTCTGTGCCTCATTCTCTCCATCTGTGAAATGGAAATAATAACAGGGTCTATTTTATGGGTCACTGTGAGGAGAAGAAAATTAACATATGTAATGTCCTTAGTGCAGCATCTGGCACAGGCTAAGACTCAAGGCAGTGAAATCACTGGCGCACAAAGGAGCTAAATTAATAAGGAGCTGAAGAAAATCCGGCAGAAACCCTTCATCAGAAGAGGCAGCATATGCCAGGTGCAGTGGCGCAGGCCTGGAATTCCAGCACTTTGGGAGGCCGAGGCAGGAGGATCGCTAAAGCCTAGGAGTTTGAGACAAGCCTGGGCAACATAGGAAGACCCTGTCTCTACCGGAAAAAAAAATGAGCCGGGTTTGGTGGTGCATTCCTGTAGTCCCAGCTACTCAGGAGGCTGAGGTGGGAGGATCACCTGAACCCAGGAGGTTGAGGTTGCAGTGAGATATGATTGAACCACTGCACGCCAGCCTGGGTGAAAGAGCAAGATCCTGTCTCATTAAGTCTCCTGTGTGGAAAGAATAAATGAGAAAAACAAAGAAAAAAAAAAAAAGACCCTGTCTAAACACACACACACACACACACACACACACACACACACACACAAGGGCATATAATGTAGGAGTTAAGGACATGGGCTTGGACCCATGGCTCAAATCCCAACCCTACCACTTCAGCTGTGTGGCCCTGGGCAGATGATCTCACCTCTTTCAGCCTCAGTTTCCCACTGAAATGGAGGTAATGGGGCTGGGCGCAGTGGCTCACACCTATAATCCCAGCACTTCGGGAGGCCAAGGCGGGCGGATCACTTGAGGTTAGGAGTTCGGGACCAGCCTGGCCAATACGGTGAAACCCCATCTCTGCTAAAAATACAAAAATTAGCCGGGCATGATGGTGCACACCTGTAGTCCCAGCTACTCGGGAGGCTGAGGCAGAAGAATTGCTTGAACCCAGGAAGCGGAGGTGGCAGTGAGCCGAGATCACACCATTGCATGCCAGCCTGAGGGTCACAGTGAGACTCTGTCTCAAAAAAAAAAAAAAAAAAAAGAAATGGAGGTAATGATCTCCACCTCTGAGAACTCCCGCTTGAGCCATTTGCACAGAGTCTGGTGCTGAGGAAGCCTCTTTGAATGACAGCTGCTGTCACTGTTACTGAGATGGTGGATTGGCATTGACCATGTCTTACTGTATACCAGGCACAGAGCGGGTCTACTGTTACAGGGGCCAAGCTGCTACTGGGGGCGAGAGGCAGTGGGTACAGCGCCAGGAGTTCTCTGCCCACAGGATGGCCTATGAGTTCTGGGGTCACAGACCTAAGGTTGAGGCCCAGCCGCTTAACTTGCTACAGGGCATTAGGCAAGTCACTTTACCTCTCTGGGCCTTAGTGTCCTCCTCTGTGACTGCCCAAGGCTATAGGGAGAGGATGAAATGAGATCCTGCAGACTGCATTCGATGGCTCACACCTGTAATCCCAACACTCTGGGAGGCTGAGGCCAGAGGATCCCTTGAGCCCAGGAGCTGGAGACCAGCCTGGGCAAAACAAGACTCCGACTCTTTTTTTTTTTTTTTTTGAGACGGATTCTTGGTCTTGTCACCCAGGCTGGAGTGCAGTGGTGCGATCTCAGCTCACTGCAACCTCCGCCTCCCAGGTTCAAGCAATTCTCCTGCCTCAGTCTCCCGAGTAGCTGGGATTACAGGCGCCCACCACCACGCCTGGCTAATTTTAGGACTTTTAGTAGAGATGGAGTTTCGCCATGTTGGCCAGGCTGGTCTTGAACTCCTGACCTCAGGTGATCCTCCCGCCTTGGCCTCCCAAAGTGCTGGGATTATAGGTGTGAGCTACCGCGCCTGGCCTGACTCCGACTCTTAAAAAAAAAAAAGAGGCCGGGCGCGGTGGCTCATGCCTGTCATCTCAGCACTCTGGGAAGCTGAGGCGGGTGGATCATGAAGTCAAGAGATCGAGACCATCCTGGCCAACATGGTGAAACTCTATCTCTACTAAGAATACAAAAATTAGCTGGGCGTGGTGGCGTGCACCTGTAATCCCAGCTACTCGGGAGGCTGAGGCAGGAGAATCGCTTGACCCGGGAGGTGGAGGTTGCAGTGAGCCAAGATTGTGCCACTGCACTCCCAGCCTGGGTGACAGAGCGAGACTCCGCCTCAAAAAAAAAAAAAAAAAAAAAAAAAAAAAAGAGATTCTGCACATAAAATGCTGAGCCCAGGGCCTGCTGAGCCAAAGGGCGGTACTGGTGGTCATGCTGTTCCCTACAGTCCCAGCCACAACTCTCCTTACCCAGACTGCCCTGCTCAGCCCCCTAGTCCCTTGGGGCCACTGCTGTGGGGCATCTGGCCTAGACCTGCTCTCCCTCCAAGTCCTGGGCTCAATTCCAGTCCGTGCTGGCCCCAGTGCGTTGGCCATGACAGTGTCCTCTCAGATCCCTACTGCAACCTCCTTCCAGTATGCCTATGTTACCCTATTTTGCAGCAGGGAAGTGGGTCCAGAGAGGGCAAGATTCTTCCTAAGACACACAGCAGATTGGATTCCTAGACAGGATCCAGGTTTGTCACTGCCTCTTCTGGGAAGCCCTATTGTGAATCCCATAGTGGCTTCTGGGCCAGGTCCAATCTGCATCATTTACAGTAAATACCGGGAATGCCATGTCTCCCAGTCCCATTCATTACCCACGCAGACCCCCTTCACTGGATTCCCTCTCCTGTGGGCGTTTCACAGGTCTTCGGGTCATTGAATTTACAATAGAGCACATTCTCACACACATTCAAGCCTGCAGGGAGGCAAATCCCACTCCCTGTCCCCCCAATCCCAGAGGGCTTGAAGGTCCAGCCAGCCCCTTCCTCAGAATCCCATCCTCAACTATTCTCTTGTTCTGCTGTAATTAAAGCCCCTCCCCCATAGTTAAATTCAGTTTGTAGAATATGGGTCTCCGGGCCAGATGCAGTGGCTCATGCCTGTAATCCCAGTGCTTTGGGAGGCTGAGACAGGAGGATCTCTTGAGGCCAGGAGTTTGAGACCAGCCTGGGCAACACAGTGATACCCCTGTCTCTTAAAAAAAAAATTAAAAATTAGCTGGGCGTGGTGGCGCGTGCCTATGTTCCCAACTACTTGGGAGACCGGAGCGGAAGGTCTGCTTGAGTTTAAGGAGGTGGAGGCTGCAGTGAGCCATGATCACACCACTGCACTCAAGCCTGGGGACAGAGTGAGAGACCCTGTCTCCCCCAACAAAAAAATAATAAGGGTCTCCGCCCCAGCTCCAAATAACCTCCCATAAACTCTGGCCACATTCCTCTCCTATCTTTTGCACCCTTCTATACCCCATTTGGCTCTTCCTCTCAGGCCTGTGTTGTCTTACCCCTCCTACCCGCACCAACCCCCCCCAGCCCCGCCCTCCCGACCTGACCACGCCCCCACGATCCTGGTCCCGCCTCTCAATCACAACTCAAGTTATCTCCAGCCCACTCCGACGCAGTCCCTCCCCTTACAACCCCGTCTCCTCCCCTAACCCCTTTCGGCTGCCGCTCCAGGGCCTCGGAGAGGCCAGCCGGCCCGCGGAGCTGTTTAACCGTTCCGCGGGTCCTAGAAAGCCAGCTGCCCTCAGGCTTGCTTAAAGGGGAGACGCCGGAGTGGGTGTGCCCCGACGTCCTGCGAGGGCAGCGCCGAGGGGCGTGTGCCCTGAAGGCCCGCTGAACAGCCGCTTTTGGCCGGGCGCGGTGGCTCACGCCTGTAATCCCAGCACTTTGGGAGGCCGAGGCGGGAGGATCCCTTGGGCCCAGGAGGAGTTCGAGACCAGCCTGGGCAGTGTGGCGAGACCGTCCCCCACCCCCGTCTCTAAATATATATAAACATATATATGTATATGAGCCACTGTTGAGCGCAATGGCGGGCTCTGGGCGAGGTCCGGCCCTAGAGCCCCAACGCGACACCTCGCCGCCCTCTGCAGGAGCTGAGGCGGGCGGAGTTGGTGGAAATTATCGTGGAGACGGAGGCGCAGACCGGGGTCAGCGGCATCAACGTAGCGGGCGGCGGCAAAGAGGGAATCTTCGTTCGGGAGCTGCGCGAGGACTCACCCGCCGCCAGGAGCCTCAGCCTGCAGGAAGGTGGGCGGGCCCGGGGTGTGGGGCGGGGTCGAACTGCGGGGGCGGGGTTAGGAATCTGCCTTGGGTCCAAAGAGAGGCTGAAACTGACCGGGGGATGGGGGCGTGACCGGCGACCAGGAGGGGTTAAGGGCTTGGGGCGGGGCTTTGCTGACTGTTCACAGCAAATTCCGGAGGTTCACTGTCTGGGTGCGAATTTCACATCCCCCGTTTACTAGCTTGTGATCTTTCTGTGCCTCAGTTTTCTCATCTCTGAAATGGGACTTATTCTAGTATGGGGTTATTATGTATTGAGGATTTAACGAGTCAGTATGTGAAAACACTTAGCACATAGCTAAGTGGCACATAGTGCTTAACTATGTGAGTGCTAGTAAATGTTTTTGTTGTTGGGGCAGGAGAAAAGGGTGGAGTGAGCCACTTAGAGGGGTTGGGAAGAGTAAAGGATGTTTTAGGATATGGATGAAGCTGACGTGATTTATTCATGCAACAACTATTTATTAGTGCCTTCTATTTCAGACTTTATTTATTTATGTATTTTGATACGGAGTTTCTCTCTTGTTGCCCAGGCTGGAGTGCAATGGCACGATCTCGGCTCACTGCCACCTCCGCCTCCCTGGTTCAAGCGATTCTCCTGCCTCAGCCTCCTGAGTAGCTGGGATTACAGGTCCCCTCCACCACGCCCGGCTAATTTTTGTATTTTTAGTAGAGACGGGGTTTCACTATGTTGGCCAGGCTGGTATCGAACTCCCGACCTCAGGTGATCCATCCGCCTCAGTCTCCCAAAGTGCTGGGATTACAGGCGTGAGCCACCGTGCCCCACCCTATGTCAGACATTATCTTAGCTGCTTGGGCTTCAGCCGTGAACAAAACTGAACAACAGTCCCTGCACTTATGGAGCTTACATTCCAGTGGGGAGAGATTTTTTTTTTTTTTTGAGACGGAGTCTCGCTCTGTTGCCCAGGCTGGAGTGCAGTGGCGCAATCTCGGCTCACTGCAAGCTCCGCCTCCCGGGTTCACACCATTCTCCTGCCTCAGCCTCCCTAGTAGCTGGGAGGGACTACAGGCGCCCACAACCACGCCCGGCTAATTTTTTGTATTTTTAGTAGAGACGAGGTTTCACCGTGTTAGCCAGGATGGTCTCGATCTCCTGACCTCGTGATCTGCCCGCCTCGGCCTCCCAAAGTGCTGGGATTACAGGTGTGAGCCACCGCGCCCAGCCGGGAGAGACATATTTAAGCAAATTAAGTAAAATACCTAGTAAATTAGAAAGCAGTAAGTGCTACAGTTGCCAGGAGGACAATGTGCTACAGCTGCATTTTTATTATTTTATTTTATTTTATTTATTTATTTATTTTGAGACGGAGTCTTGCTCTGTCTCCCAGGCTGGAGTGCAGTGGCACGATCTCGGCTCACTGCAAGCTCCGCCTCCCGTGTTCACGCCATTCTCCTGCCTCAGCCTCCCTAGTAACTGGGACTACAGGCACCCGCCACCATGCCCGGCTAATTTTTTTTGTATTTTTAGTAGAGACGGGGTTTCACCGTGTTAGCCAGGATGGTCTCCATCTTCTGACCTCGTGATCCGCCCTCCTCGGCCTCCCAAAGTGCTGGGATTACAGGCGTGAGCCACCGAGGCCGGCCTACAGCTGCATTTTTAAATGGGGGTGGGCTTGGCTGGGTGCATAATCCTAGCACTTTGGGAGGCTGAGGTGGGCTGATCACCTGAGGTCAGGAGTTCGAGGCCAGCCTGGCCAATATGGCGAAACTCTGTCTCTACTAAAAATTCAAAAATTAGCCGGGTGTGGTGGTAGGCGCCTATAATCCCAGCTACTCAGGAGACTGAGGCAGGAGAATTGCTTAAGGTTGCAGTAAGCCGAGTTCGCGCCACTTCACTCCAGCCTGGGCGAAAGAGCAAAACTCCGCCTAAAAAAAAAAAAAAAAAGGGGTGGGCTGGAAAGGGTGAAAAGGCTAAAGGAGGTAAGGGAACAAGCTATGAGGCCATCTGGAAGAGGGAACAGACAGCAAAAATGCCCCAAGGTGGGACCATGCCTAGCTTGTGGTAGAAACAGTGAGGAAGCCAGTGTCTACGCAATTGAGTTAGTGAAGAGGAGAGTAAGAGAGAAGGCCAGAGAGGTAAGGGGAGGACACTTTTTAGAGGGCTTTATAAGACTTTGGCTTTTATTCTGTGAGGGCTGTGAGCAGGGAGAAACGTGAATTGACTGTGCTGAACTGCTGCATTAACAGTAGAGTATGGCCAAGCATTGGGTGGCTCACACCTGTAATCCCAGCACTCGGGGAAGCCAAGGCGGGAGGATCGCTTGAGCCCAGGAGACTGAAGCTGCAATGAGCCATGATCACACCACTGCACTCCAGCTTGGGCAACAGAGCAAGATTCTGTTTCAAAAACAAGGCCAACAACAACAAACAGTAGAATATATGAAGGCAGGTTTAGGAGCAGGGAGATCAACAAACTGGCTACTGTGATTATCCAGGTAAGAGATGAGGATGCTCAGGACCAAAGGGTTTTGGAGGTATATATATATTTGGATTCTGAATATATTTTGAAGGAGGAGCTTTGAGGACTGGATATTGGGTATGATGGAAAGAGGGTTGTCCAGGATGGATCTGGGGATTTTTGACCTGAGGATGGAGTTGCTGGTCCCTCAAAAGGAGCACACTGAGGCTAGTACTAAGAAAGACCAGGAGTACAGTTTGGATCTGTTAAAGGAGAGGTGTGGTGTGGGACACCCAGGTGGAGATATGATGGAGATGTTGGATGTGAGTCTAGGGTGGAGGGGAGAGTGCTGGACTGGAGAGATATACTTGGGAATTGTTAGCAGATTTATGGTCTTTTAACTTCTCAATCTGGATGAACTTCCCAAGAATTCCCAAGGGGTGACTTGAGCATGTAGACAGAGAGGAGGTCCAAGTCCTGAGGTCTGGGGTAGTGTGTCTTTAAGAGGCCAGAGAGGCTGGGTGTGGTGGCACGGGCCTGCATTTGCAGGAGGATCGCTGGAGCCTGGAAGTTCAAGGCTGCAGTGATTTGTCATTGCACCAGTGTACCACAGCCTGGGTGAAGAGTGAGATCTTGTCTTTTTTTTTTTTTTTTTTTTTTTTTTGAGATGGAATTTCGCTCTTGTTGCCCAGGCTGGAGTGCAATGGCACGATCTCAGCTCACCGCAACCTCCGCCTCCCGGGTTCAAGTGATTCTCCTGCCTCGGCCTCCCTAGTAGCTGGGATTACAGACATGTGCCAACATGCCTGGCCAATTTTGTATTTTTAGTAGAGACAGGGTTTCTCCATATTGGTCAGGCTGGTCTCGAACTCCCGACCTCAGGTGATCCACCTGCCTCGGCCTCCCAAAGTGCTGGGATTACAGGCATGAGCCACCGCACCTGGCGAGATCTTGTCTTAAAAAAAAAAGAGGAGGGGCTGGGCACGGTGGCTCACGCCTGTAATGCCAGCACTTTAGGAGGCCAAGGCGGGCAGATCACCTGACGTCGGGAGTTCGAGACCAGCCTGACCAACATGGAGAAACCCCGTCTCTACTAAAAATACAAAATTAGCTGGGTGTGGTGGTGCATGCCTGTGGTCCCAGCTACTCAGGAGGCTGAGGCAGGAGGGTCGCTTGAACCCGGGAGGCAGAGGTTGCAGTGAGCCAAGATCGCGCCATTGCACTCCAGCCTGGGCAACAAGAGCAAAACTCCATCTAAAAAAGAAAAGAAAAGAAAAGAAAGACAGACAGACAGAAAGAAAGAAAGAGAAAGAAAGGAAAGAAAGCTGGGTGAAAGAAAGAAAGAAAGAAAAAGAAAGAAAGAAAGAAAGAAAGAAAGAAAGAAAGAAAGAAAGAAAGAAAGAAAGGAAAGAAAGCTGGGTGTAGTGGCTCACGCCTGTAATATCAGCATTTTGGGAGGCTGGGGTGGGAGGATCAGTTGAGCCTAGGAATTTGAGATTGGACTGGGCAACATAGTGAGACTGTTTAGAAAAGAAAGAAAGAAATCAGGGAGAGGGAAAGCAAACATCTATGGAGACTGACAAGGAACTCCCAGAGACGCTCCAGAGGGTGTAGCACCTTGGAAGCCAAGGGAAGCAAGGATATGACAGAGAGTGAGGTTAGATCAGATGCTGAGTGGTTTAAGCAGATGAGGCCTGGGACTTGACCCTTGGACTTACTATACAGAGGTCACTGCCTGGAACCTTGAGAGGAGCAGTTCAGATGTGCGTGTTGGAAAGCAGGGTCAGAGGTGTGACTGGAGAACTGGTAACAATGCCACTGGAGAACTCAATACCTTTTGCCTATTAAGGTGAACAGATAAATGGGGCAGGAGCTCCGGGGGAGTGAGGCCATGACAACCTTTCTTATGCGAGAAATAATAATATGTTTGTATGCTGATGGGAATAATGTAGACGAGAAGGACAACTGATGACGTGGGAAGAGGAGAGAATTGCTGGAGGATGTCCCTGAGAAGGCGGTGGAGAGATTGCCCTGAGCTAGGAGTGGGGTTAGTTCATCCCCAGGAACAGGAAGGCGAATGGAGTAAGTCGCCGCAGGAGAAAGGGGGTGAACACACAGTGTGGGAGATTCTGGAAGTTCCCTTCTGATTCTGTTCTCTCGGTAAAAGAAGCAAAGTCAGTATCTGAAACGTAAGGATGGGTAGGGGAGCGACAAGGTGCGGGCGTGGCCTGAGTGGGCGCGGCTTTGTTCATTGCAGGGGGCGGGGATAAGGTCATGGGGCGGGGACTAGCGTAACTGCGACTTAATCCTGCGCTGGGGATTGGAGAAACTAAAATTTGGGGCGGGTCCTCACCGCGAGGGCTCCGTGCAAGTGGGCAGAACTAGGCCCGGGCGGAGCCGGGAGATGCCCACGTGCTGCGCACCTCCACCTCGCCCGCAGGGGACCAGCTGCTGAGTGCCCGAGTGTTCTTCGAGAACTTCAAGTACGAGGACGCACTACGCCTGCTGCAATGCGCCGAGCCTTACAAAGTCTCCTTCTGCCTGAAGCGCACTGTGCCCACCGGGGACCTGGCTCTGCGGCCCGGGACCGTGTCTGGCTACGAGATCAAGGGCCCGCGGGCCAAGGTGGCCAAGCTGGTACGCGTGCTTAGCCCGGCCCCGGCCCTGGACTGCCCCAGCGATCCGGTCTCTGCGCCGTGAGCCCCATTCCCCGCCATCGTGGGCCAGCCTTGCCCTCTGTCTTGTCACTAACCCAAGCTAATTCCACCCTCTGCCCCTTCCTCTCTGCCCCAAACTCTTCCCCGGGAAGGGGGACAGACCCACCCCAGCCCAGGGCCCTCACCCACCTCGGAGAGGCGTCCCCACCATCGGATCCAGGCTTGCTAGGGGTCCTGAACCAGGCTACTTCGAACCAGGAAAGCCAGATTCCAGCCTGAGTGCTGGCCCAATTACTGCTGAGTGGCCCTGGACAAAGTTGTTTCTCTCCCTGGGCCTCAGTTTCCCCATCTCTAGAATGAGGATGTTGGGGAAAATCCCGGATCAGGATCTAGAAGTCTTGGGTCCCCGTCCCTACACTCCTGTTGACTCATTTGGAGATCCTAGATGGCTGCCTGCTTTCCTGGGCACTCATGGTGAAATGACAGGCAAGAAGTGGGGATGATGTTTGGGGAACAAGATACTTGACCCAGCACATCCCCCGCCTGGTCCAATACCAGGTGGGGCTCTTCCTGTCCACTCCCAGCCTCCCACTGTCCCACCGCCTCCTGCCTCTCTCCTCTCTCCCCAGAACATCCAGAGTCTGTCCCCTGTGAAGAAGAAGAAGATGGTGCCTGGGGCTCTGGGGGTCCCCGCTGACCTGGCCCCTGTTGACGTCGAGTTCTCCTTTCCCAAGTTCTCCCGCCTGCGTCGGGGCCTCAAAGCCGAGGCTGTCAAGGGTCCTGTCCCGGCTGCCCCTGCCCGCCGGCGCCTCCAGCTGCCTCGGCTGCGTGTACGAGAAGTGGCCGAAGAGGCTCAGGCAGCCCGGCTGGCCGCCGCCGCTCCTCCCCCCAGGAAAGCCAAGGTGGAGGCTGAGGTGGCTGCAGGAGCTCGTTTCACAGCCCCTCAGGTGGAGCTGGTTGGGCCGCGGCTGCCAGGGGCGGAGGTGGGTGTCCCCCAGGTCTCAGCCCCCAAGGCTGCCCCCTCAGCAGAGGCAGCTGGTGGCTTTGCCCTCCACCTGCCAACCCTTGGGCTCGGAGCCCCGGCTCCGCCTGCTGTGGAGGCCCCAGCCGTGGGAATCCAGGTCCCCCAGGTGGAGCTGCCTGCCTTGCCCTCACTGCCCACTCTGCCCACACTTCCCTGCCTAGAGACCCGGGAAGGGGCTGTGTCGGTAGTGGTGCCCACCCTGGATGTGGCAGCACCGACTGTGGGGGTGGACCTGGCCTTGCCGGGTGCAGAGGTGGAGGCCCGGGGAGAGGCACCTGAGGTGGCCCTGAAGATGCCCCGCCTTAGTTTTCCCCGATTTGGGGCTCGAGCAAAGGAAGTTGCTGAGGCCAAGGTAGCCAAGGTCAGCCCTGAGGCCAGGGTGAAAGGTCCCAGACTTCGAATGCCCACCTTTGGGCTTTCCCTCTTGGAGCCCCGGCCCGCTGCTCCTGAAGTTGTAGAGAGCAAGCTGAAGCTGCCCACCATCAAGATGCCCTCCCTTGGCATCGGAGTGTCAGGGCCCGAGGTCAAGGTGCCCAAGGGACCTGAAGTGAAGCTCCCCAAGGCTCCTGAGGTCAAGCTTCCAAAAGTGCCCGAGGCAGCCCTTCCAGAGGTTCGACTCCCAGAGGTGGAGCTCCCCAAGGTGTCAGAGATGAAACTCCCAAAGGTGCCAGAGATGGCTGTGCCGGAGGTGCGGCTTCCAGAGGTAGAGCTGCCCAAAGTGTCAGAGATGAAACTCCCAAAGGTGCCAGAGATGGCTGTGCCGGAGGTGCGGCTTCCAGAGGTACAGCTGCTGAAAGTGTCGGAGATGAAACTCCCAAAGGTGCCAGAGATGGCTGTGCCGGAGGTGCGGCTTCCAGAGGTACAGCTGCCGAAAGTGTCAGAGATGAAACTCCCAGAGGTGTCAGAGGTGGCTGTGCCAGAGGTGCGGCTTCCAGAGGTGCAGCTGCCGAAAGTGCCAGAGATGAAAGTCCCTGAGATGAAGCTTCCAAAGGTGCCTGAGATGAAACTTCCTGAGATGAAACTCCCTGAAGTGCAACTCCCGAAGGTGCCCGAGATGGCCGTGCCCGATGTGCACCTCCCAGAAGTGCAGCTTCCAAAAGTCCCAGAGATGAAGCTCCCTGAGATGAAACTCCCTGAGGTGAAACTCCCGAAGGTGCCCGAGATGGCTGTGCCCGATGTGCACCTCCCGGAAGTGCAGCTCCCGAAAGTCCCAGAGATGAAACTCCCTAAAATGCCTGAGATGGCTGTGCCAGAGGTTCGACTCCCCGAGGTGCAGCTGCCAAAAGTCTCAGAGATGAAACTCCCCAAGGTGCCTGAAATGGCCGTGCCCGATGTGCACCTCCCAGAGGTGCAGCTGCCCAAAGTCTGTGAAATGAAAGTCCCTGACATGAAGCTCCCAGAGATAAAACTCCCCAAGGTGCCTGAGATGGCTGTGCCCGATGTGCACCTCCCCGAGGTGCAGCTGCCGAAAGTGTCAGAGATTCGGCTGCCGGAAATGCAAGTGCCGAAGGTTCCCGACGTGCATCTTCCGAAGGCACCAGAGGTGAAGCTGCCCAGGGCTCCGGAGGTGCAGCTAAAGGCCACCAAGGCAGAACAGGCAGAAGGGATGGAATTTGGCTTCAAGATGCCCAAGATGACCATGCCCAAGCTAGGGAGGGCAGAGTCCCCATCACGTGGCAAGCCAGGCGAGGCGGGTGCTGAGGTCTCAGGGAAGCTGGTAACACTTCCCTGTCTGCAGCCAGAGGTGGATGGTGAGGCTCATGTGGGTGTCCCCTCTCTCACTCTGCCTTCAGTGGAGCTAGACCTGCCAGGAGCACTTGGCCTGCAGGGGCAGGTCCCAGCCGCTAAAATGGGCAAGGGAGAGCGGGTGGAGGGCCCTGAGGTGGCAGCAGGGGTCAGGGAAGTGGGCTTCCGAGTGCCCTCTGTTGAAATTGTCACCCCACAGCTGCCCGCCGTGGAAATTGAGGAAGGGCGGCTGGAGATGATAGAGACAAAAGTCAAGCCCTCTTCCAAGTTCTCCTTACCTAAGTTTGGACTCTCGGGGCCAAAGGTGGCTAAGGCAGAGGCTGAGGGGGCTGGGCGAGCTACCAAGCTGAAGGTATCCAAATTTGCCATCTCACTCCCCAAGGCTCGGGTGGGGGCTGAGGCTGAGGCCAAAGGGGCTGGGGAGGCAGGCCTGCTGCCTGCCCTCGATCTGTCCATCCCACAGCTCAGCCTGGATGCCCACCTGCCCTCAGGCAAGGTAGAGGTGGCAGGGGCCGACCTCAAGTTCAAGGGGCCCAGGTTTGCTCTCCCCAAGTTTGGGGTCAGAGGCCGGGACACTGAGGCAGCAGAACTAGTGCCAGGGGTGGCTGAGTTGGAGGGCAAGGGCTGGGGCTGGGATGGGAGGGTGAAGATGCCCAAGCTGAAGATGCCTTCCTTTGGGCTGGCTCGAGGGAAGGAAGCAGAAGTTCAAGGTGATCGTGCCAGCCCGGGGGAAAAGGCTGAGTCCACCGCTGTGCAGCTTAAGATCCCCGAGGTGGAGCTGGTCACGCTGGGCGCCCAGGAGGAAGGGAGGGCAGAGGGGGCTGTGGCCGTCAGTGGAATGCAGCTGTCAGGCCTGAAGGTGTCCACAGCCGGGCAGGTGGTCACTGAGGGCCATGACGCGGGGCTGAGGATGCCTCCGCTGGGCATCTCCCTGCCACAGGTGGAGCTGACCGGCTTTGGGGAGGCAGGTACCCCAGGGCAGCAGGCTCAGAGTACAGTCCCTTCAGCAGAGGGCACAGCAGGCTACAGGGTTCAGGTGCCCCAGGTGACCCTGTCTCTGCCTGGAGCCCAGGTTGCAGGTGGTGAGCTGCTGGTGGGTGAGGGTGTCTTTAAGATGCCCACCGTGACAGTGCCCCAGCTTGAGCTGGACGTGGGGCTAAGCCGAGAGGCACAGGCGGGCGAGGCGGCCACAGGCGAGGGTGGGCTGAGGCTGAAGTTGCCCACACTGGGGGCCAGAGCTAGGGTGGGGGGCGAGGGTGCTGAGGAGCAGCCCCCAGGGGCCGAGCGTACCTTCTGCCTCTCACTGCCCGACGTGGAGCTCTCGCCATCCGGGGGCAACCATGCCGAGTACCAGGTGGCAGAGGGGGAGGGAGAGGCCGGACACAAGCTCAAGGTACGGCTGCCCCGGTTTGGCCTGGTGCGGGCCAAGGAGGGGGCCGAGGAGGGTGAGAAGGCCAAGAGCCCCAAACTCAGGCTGCCCCGAGTGGGCTTCAGCCAAAGTGAGATGGTCACTGGGGAAGGGTCCCCCAGCCCCGAGGAGGAGGAGGAGGAGGAGGAAGAGGGCAGTGGGGAAGGGGCCTCGGGTCGCCGGGGCCGGGTCCGGGTCCGCTTGCCACGTGTAGGCCTGGCGGCCCCTTCTAAAGCCTCTCGGGGGCAGGAGGGCGATGCAGCCCCCAAGTCCCCCGTCAGAGAGAAGTCACCCAAGTTCCGCTTCCCCAGGGTGTCCCTAAGCCCCAAGGCCCGGAGTGGGAGTGGGGACCAGGAAGAGGGTGGATTGCGGGTGCGGCTGCCCAGCGTGGGGTTTTCAGAGACAGGGGCTCCAGGCCCGGCCAGGATGGAGGGGGCTCAGGCTGCGGCTGTCTGAAGCCCCTAGTCAGATGGGGATCCCTTCTTGCCTTCCTTTCTCTACCCCCTCGCTGTTGTGTGTGTGATAACTAGCACTAACCCTAAGAGGGCCGGGAGGTGGGTGACTGACCAGGGCTGGCAGGGAGGCCTGCTCCTGTCTCTCTGGCAGGAGTGCCTGTACCCCACCAAGCCATGTGAATAAAATAATCTGGAAGTAGCCATGTATTTGTCTCCTCTGTGTGCATAGGGGGCAGGGAGGGGCAGGAGTGGGTATAGGGGAGATGCAGAGAAGGCAGTCTCCAAAGAGGAGGTTCTAGGGGTCGCCTGAGCCTGGCCTGAGGGGAACCTCTGGTGTGAGGGGAGAAACCGGTCATACCTGGTCTGAGAAGAGTCAGGGCGGGTTGGGCGCAGTGGCTCATGCCTGTAAGCCCAGCACTTGGGAGGCCAAAGCAGGAGGACTGCTTGAGCCCAGGAGTTTAAGACCAGCCTGGGAAACATAGGGAAACCTCATCCCTACAAAAAATACAAAAAATATCCAGGCATGGTGGCCCGTGCCTGTAATCCCAGCTACTCGGGGGGCTGAGGTGGGAGGATCACTTGAGCCCGGGAGGTCGAGGCTGCAGTGAGCCTTGATGGTGCCCCTGCACTCCAGCCTAGGCAACAGAGCCAGACTGTTTCAACAAAAACAAAAACAAAGACTCAGGATGGCCTTGGGACAGGCCGTGGTGGGAAGGGAGACGTCCCTAGCCCTTGAGAATTCCCAGGGGTTGTTAAAGAGGACTCTGGGATGTTCCCTGGCAGAGCACAGCTTCGGGACCCCTCTGCCAGGAAGCCTGCCTGTCCTGGGGGACCCACTCCTACCAGGCTGGTTGCTCCCCACCTGCCCTCTGCCGGTGAGGGCACTTCTGCACATCCTGGCCTTCTCTTTCCTGTCTGGCTGGTTTGACTGCCCTGTCCACTCTGGCCCCACCCAGGAAGGCTGCTCCTGGTCCCCTCAAAGCCTCTACCCCAGAAACACAGCCGCCTCTTGGAACTAGGTCCCAGGGTCCTCAGCACCTGTCAGTGCTGGTCTCAGCTCCCAGGGGCCATGGGCCATCCATCCCTGCCATCCCAATTCAGGATCTAAGTCCTGAGGCTCCCAGCAGGGCCTCCAGCCTCCTCCATGTCTCTCTGTGATGTCCCACACTGGACTAAGGAGACTCAATATCCAGTCCCAAGTCTCGCCCCGACAGCCCCCCACTCTCCTCACATCTCCCTATCCTGTCTCAGTGGATGAGGGGCCTGGCAGAATCCCCCACTCACTTGAGTACCTTGTCCCTTCCAGCCAGCCCTCCTCAGGTCACTGTCTCACCACACACTTTTTCTTTGCCCCCACCAAACATGGCAGGAGTTATCTACACTCACAGTGCACCCCCATTTCCAAGACCCCAGCATTTGGGGTTTTCCTCCTACCTTGTCTGTGTCAGCAGTGACCTCCCCGTGGCCACGCCTGAGGGTTTCCTTTGTCTCTCTTGTCCTGACTCTTCAAGGCCCCTTCGATCTTCCTGACACTTGCTCCTCTTCCCCACACCTCTCTCTCCCCGTGCTCCTTGGGCACCGGAGGTTCCTCCCGGGCCCTTGTCCACCCCCACACCCTCCCTAGGGTGCATCACCCTCCCCCATGGCTTCCACGCCTCCTCTCTGTGCTGACAACTCCCAAACTCTCTCCTGCATCCCCTTGGGGACCCAGCAGCTTCTGCACCCCTTCTCCAGAGGTCTCCTGGTTTTTAGGAGGTTGTGTGGGTGGTGGTTCAGAGTTTGGCGCTGGAGCCAGGCTGCTTAGGGTCAGAGGCTGTCTCTGGCAGTCACTTGAGTGACCTTAGGCATTTTATTTTATCATTTATTTATTTATTTTTATTTTTTGAGACAGAGTCTCACTCTGTTGCCCATGCTGGAGTGCAGTGGTGCAATCTTGGCTCACAGCAACCTCCGCCTTCCAGGTTCAAGCGATTCTCATACCTCAGCCTCCCGATCTCAGCCTCCCAAGTAGCTGGAACTACAGGTGTATACCACCATGCCCAGCTAATTTTTGTATTTTTAGTGGAGTTGAGGTTTTGTCATGTTGGCAAGGCTGGTCTCAAACTCCTGACCTCAGGTGATCCGCCCACCTTGGCCTCTCAAAGTGCTGGGATTACAGGCGTAAGCCACCACTCCTGGCCAGGCACTTTAAAAACTTCTTTGTGCCTTGATTTTCTCTTCCATAAAATCCCTACTTTGTATGTTGTAAGGATCAGATAAGACTTCTAAAGAACTTCATCCTTGTTTAAATGTTTTGATGTTACATTTTCTTTTACTTTTTTTTTTTTTTTTGAGACGGAGTTTCACTCTTGTTGCCCAGGCTGGAGTGCAATGGCGCAATCTTGGCTCACTGCAACCCCACCTCCCGCGTTCAAGCAGTTCTCATACCTCAGCCTGCCGACCTCAGCCTCTTGAGTAGCTGGGACTACAGGCATGTGCTAACACACCCGGCTAATTTTGTATTTTTAGTAGAGACGGGGTTTCTCCATGTTGGTCAGGCTGGTCTCGAACTCCCGACCTCAGGTGATCCACCTGCCTCAGCCTCCCAAAGTGCTGGGATTACAGGCATGAGCCACCGAGCCCGGCCCGCTGTTAAATATTCTAATCTGGCTGGAGTGGTGGCTCATGTCTACAATCCCAGCACTTTGGAAGGTTGAGGCAGGAGGATCACTTGAGGCCAGGAGGATCACTTGAGACCAGCCTGGACAACATAGTGAGACCCCATTTCTACAAAAAATTAAAAAGATAAATAAAAATGAACACTTTTTTTTTTTTTTTGAGATGGAGTCTCGCTCTGTCACCCAGGCTGGAGTGCAGTGGTGCAATCTCGGCTCACTGCAACCTCCACCTCCCGGGTTCAAGCTATTCTTCTGCCTTAGCCTCCCGAGTAGCTGGGACTACAGGCGCCCTCCACTATGCCTGGCTAATTTTTAGTATTTTTAGTAGAGACAGAGTTTCACCGTGTTAGCCAGGATGGTCTCGATCTCCTGACCTTATGATCTGCCTTCCTTGGCCTCCCAAAGTGCTGGGATTACAGGCGTGACCCACCGCACCCAGCCAAAAATAAATACATTTTCTAATTTGGCCTCAACATCTCCCCCAAGCTGCTTCTTATCCATGTCCATTTCTCGGGGACTGCCCCTTCATCCCAGAGCCCTAGGCCCGTTCTTAGACAGCTCCCGCCTTTCCCTCAAACCGTCGGTCTCACGGCTGCTTCTCCTGGCCTTTTGAGTGTCTCATCCATTGGCCTCGCCCTCTCCTCCCCAACCTCTCCCATCTGTGCCCTGTCCTGGACTCTTTCCCTGGCTTGGGGCTTCCACTCTTACCCGCTCCAACCTATCCCTTTTCATACAGTAACTTTCTGACACTCATATCTGACCCTGCCCTCCCCTGCTCAAAGCCCTTCTGTGGCTCCCCAGTGCCCTCAGAACAGAATCCAAACTCCTTAGCCTGGCATTCAGGGCCTTTTACAACCTCACCCCACAGTAGCCACAGACTGGGACAGGAGTTTTCTGAACACAGACACACACACATCACATCTCCCAAGCTCAAGAAGCCCACCTTTCCTCACTCCTGCCTTATCCCCATTCCTGTATGCCCAAGGCCCACGATTAGACCCCCCTCTGTCAACACTTCACCTGTTTGGTCTTTGCAAGATTCCGCCACTGGGCGGGGGAGGGGGCCCAGCCTGGTACCCCACCCCCACTCCAGCCAGGGCTCAGGTCTCCAACAACAGAACCAGAGCCACTCAACAGCGCTGGAACCCATTCGGTGGGGCCTGGGGCCCCTCATCCCAAGCCAGGAGGGTTTCTGGGGAGGGGTGCAGCCCCTGGCAGACTGACAGTGTGGCCTGGGGGTTTGGGGGTGCCAGGGAAGCAGGGGCCAACCTCATAGGAGGAGACACGAGTGCGGTTCTCTTTCCCCCACTGGGGGGCCTGCTGTGTCAGCAGCCAGGCGGGAGGCCTGGGCGGCAGAGCCAGTGGTACAGGGGCCTGGGCAGGGCGGTGTCTGGCAGCAGCGGCACCATGTCCACCATCCAGTCGGAGACTGACTGCTACGACATCATCGAGGTCTTGGGCAAGGGGACCTTCGGGGAGGTAGCCAAGGGCTGGCGGCGGAGCACGGGCGAGATGGTGGCCATCAAGATCCTCAAGAATGACGCCTACCGCAACCGCATCATCAAGAACGAGCTGAAGCTGCTGCACTGCATGCGAGGCCTAGACCCTGAAGAGGCCCACGTCATCCGCTTCCTTGAGTTCTTCCATGACGCCCTCAAGTTCTACCTGGTCTTTGAGCTGCTGGAGCAAAACCTTTTCGAGTTCCAGAAGGAGAACAACTTCGCGCCCCTCCCCGCCCGCCACATCCGTACAGTCACCCTGCAGGTGCTCACAGCCCTGGCCCGGCTCAAGGAGCTGGCTATCATCCACGCTGATCTCAAGCCTGAGAACATCATGCTGGTGGACCAGACCCGCTGCCCCTTCAGGGTCAAGGTGAGTAGGGGTCGTCTAGGGTGGCTGCGTCCCTAGTTCCTTGTCTTTTTCCCAGCTTCTTCCAGCCCTAGATTTTTTTTTTAATTTTTTAAAATTATTATTATTATTATTTTTGAGACGGAGTTTCATTCTGTTACCCAGGCTTGAGTGCAGTGGCACAATCTCAGCTCACTGCAACTCCGCCTCCTGGGTTCAAGTGATTATCCTGCCTCAGCCTCCCGAGTTGCTGGGATTACAGGGATGCGCCACCACGCCCAGCTAATTTTTTTTTTGTACTTATCAGAGACGGGGTGATGATGGCATGATCTTGGTTCACTGCCTCCGCCTCCCGGGTTCAAGCGATTCTCCTGCCTCAGCCTCCTGAGTAGCTGGGAATACAGGTGCCCGCCACCCATGCCCGGCTAATTTTTGTATTTTTAGTAGAGATGGAGTTTCGCCATGTTGGCCAGGCTGGTCTCAAACTCCTGACCTTGTGATCCACCTGCCTCAGCCTCCCAAAGTGCTGGGATTACAGGCGTGAGCCACCACGCCCAGCCAATTTTTGTGTTTTTTGGTAGAAACAGGATTTCATCATGTTGCCCAGGCTGGTCTCAAAGTCCTGAGTTCAAGCAATCTGCCCACCTTGGCCTCAACAAAGTGCTGGAATTACAAGTGTGAGCCACCATGCCCAGTCCTCTGTCTGCTTTTGAGTTTGATACTGTCTGGATGCTTCTGAACCAGGGGCACCCTGAGGGCAAGGCTGGGGCTGACTTAATCATCGCTGTGTCCCTGACATCTCCCAGCACTGCAGTCATGGAGCCAGTGCTAAATGAATGCTTGCCAGAGACACAGAGACAGAAAAAGGTGGATTATTCTGCCCCAAGAGGTGGAAGGACAGAGACCCAGGGAAGCAGGGACTTCCACAAACACAGCAGGGGACAGACAGGACGGATCCACAGCACCTGGCCGGCATTATCACCCCCACTGTCTCTGTGGAAGGAATGAATTCATTCCACAAACATAGACTAAGTGCCCAGGGTCACTCAGCCTCTTGGGTACTGAAGCCCTGGCACTCTGGGATCAGAATAGCAATTAATAACCATTTCATGATACTGCTTTCTGCAAGTGAAAGGTGAGGGATGGCCAGGTGCGGTGGCTCACGCCTGTAATCCCAGCACTTTGGGAGGCCGAGGCGGGTGGATCACCTGAGGTCAGGAGTTCAAGACCAGCCTGACCAATATGGTGAAACCTCGTCTCTGCTAAAAGTATAAAAATTAGCCGGGTGTGGTGGCGGGCACCTGTAATCCTAGCTACTCCAGAGGCTGAAGCAGATAAATCGCTTAGAACCCGGGAGGCAGAGGTTGCAGTGAGCTGAGATTACGCCACTGCACTCCAGCCTGGGCGACAGAGGAAGTCCCTCTGTCTCAGAAAAAAAAAAAAAAAAACTAAACTAAAATTAGCTAGGCGTGGTGGCACATACCTGGAATCCCAGTTAGTTGGGGGGCAGAGGCAGGAGACTCACTTGAACTTGGGAGGCAGAGGTTTTGCAGTGAGCTGAGATCACGCCACTGCACTCCAGCCTGGGCGACAGAGCTCGACTCTGTCTCAACACAAAACAAAAACAAAAAACTGAGAAATGGCTGAATGAAAAGCAGAAAAACTCAGAGAAGGAAACAGGCTGGCCAGGTGTGGTGGCCCAAGCCTGTAATCCCAGCACTTTGGGAGGCTGAGGCAGGTGGATCACCTGAGGTCAGAAGCTCAAGACCAGCCTGGCCAACATGGTGAAATCCTGTCTCTATTAAAAATACAAAACTTAGCCAGATGTGGTGGGGTGCACCTGTAATCCCAGCTACTTGGGAGGCTGATGCAGGAGAATCGCTTGAACCCATATGGGGGCGGAGGTTGCAGTGAGCCGAGATCATGCCGCTGCACTCCAGCTTGGACAAAAGAGTGAAGCCACCTGAAAAAGAAAAAGAAAAAGAAACAGGCCAAGAGAGAGTCACGGAGATTCAGGGTGAAAATGGCAGACAGCTCCACCAGAGGCATGGGGAGAGACAAAGGCTTTCGGCCATTCGCAATGTTGGTTCCGCAGCTGTTGGCCAAGCACCTGTCATGTGTCAAAGGCCTGTGACGAGTGTGAACAGTGCCTGAAGAGGAAGACAGAAGAGGACCGGGACTTCAGGGAGGTGTCTTCCTAGTGGACGACACAGAGACAGAGATGGAAAGAGAGAGAGAGACACTGAGAGACAAGAGACAGGCAAGTGATGGAGAGGCAGTTGCAAAGAAAGAACGAGAGGTACAAATGGCCAGGCACAGTGGCTCATGCCTAGAATCTCAGGACTTTGGGAGGCCGAGGTGGGAGGATTACTAGAGCCCAGGAGTTCAAGACCAGCCTGGGTAACATGGTGAAAACCCATCTCTACTAAAAATACAAAAATTAGCTGGGCATGGTGGCATGTGACTGTAGTCCCAGCTACTTGGGAGGCTGAGGCAGGAGAATCGCTTGAACGTGGAAGGTGGAGGTTGCCTTGAGCCGAGATTGCGCCACTGCATTCCAGCCTGGGTGACAGGGTGAGCCACTGTCTCAAATGAGAGACAGAGAGAGAGAGATACAAGCAAGAGATGGAAAGAGAATGAAGGAACTCAAAGCCCATACATACATTCATTCATTCACTCATTATTTACTGAGCCCCTGCTGTGTGCCAAGCCCTGTTCTAGGCATCTAGGGATACAGTATTGAACAAAATGGATAAATTCTTTGCCCTCGTGGGACTGACATCCTCGCTGGGGAGAGAAATGCTGAGAGAGGCCAGGTGCAGGGCCTCATGCCTATAATCCCAGCATGTTGGGAGGCTGAGGCAGGAGGATCACTTGAGCCCAGGAGCCATCCTGGGCAACATAGTGAGACCCATCTCTATCTCTACAAAAAGTTAAAAAATTAGCTGGGTATGGAGGTGCATGCCTGTGGTCCCAGCTACTCAGGAGGCTGAGGCGGGAGGATCTTGTGAGCCCTGGAGTTCGCGGCTACAGTGAGCTACGATGGTGCCACTGTACTCCAGCCTGGGTGATAGAGCAAGACCCTGTCTCTAAAAAGGAAAAAAGGGCTGGGCGCCGTGGCTCACGCCTGTAATCCCAACACTTTGGGAGGCTGAGGCGGGCAGATCATCTGAGTCAGGAGTTTGAGACCAGCCTGGCTAACATGGTGAAACCCCGCCTGTCTCTACCAAAAATGCAAAAGATTAGCGCTTGTAATCCCAGCTACTCAGGAGGCTGAGGCAGGAGAATCACTTGAATCCAGTAGGTGGAGGTTGCAGTGAGCCAAGATCACACCACTGCTCTCCAGCCTGGCCAACAGAGCGAGACTCCGTCACAAAAAAATAAATAATTAAAAAATAAAATTAAAATAAAAAATTAAGAGATATAGTGTGTGAAATGGCATTAAGAGCAATGGTGGACCTGGGTGCGGTGGCTCACGCCTGTCCTAGCACTTTGGGAGGCCGAGGCGAGTGGATCACCTGCGGTCAGGAGTTCGAGACCAGCCTGGCCATCATCGTGAAACCCCGTCTCTACTAAAAATATAAAAATTAGCTGCGCATGGTGGTGTGCACCTGTAATCCCAGCTACTTGGGAGGCTGAAGCAGGAGAATCACTGGAACCTGGGAGGAGGAGGTTGCAGTGAGCCAAGATTGCACCATTGCACTCCAGCCTGGGTGACAAGAGCAAAACTCTGTCTCAAAAACCTCCGACTCAAAAAAAAAAAAAAAAAAAAAAAAAAGAAAAGAAAAGAAAAAGAAAAACAGGGGCCTGGCGGGGGATAGAAAGGATGGGGACTGATGGCTGATGCTTTCACAGAATGATTAGGGAAGGTCTCACTGAGAAGGTGATCATTTTTTTTTGTCCTGCCTTTCACCTTTTGATAGAAAGGTGACATTTGAGTAAAGACCTGAAGGAGGTGAGGCAGGGAGCCCTGTGCTCATGCAGGGAAGAGCATTCCAGGCAGAGGGAACAGCGAGTGCAAAAGCCCTGAGCTGGGAATGTCTGACTTGTTCAAGGAATAGTGAGGAGACCCTTGTGGCTGGAGGAGGGTGAGTGATGGGGAGAGTGGGAGATGTGGCAGAGAGGTGACAGAGCAGACATTGGAGACCTGTGGGCCACGGTGAGGACTTTGGCTTTTGTCACAGGATGTGGCTATGAGCAGGGGAGGACCCAATCTATCCCGGGCGGCCACAGGATCCCTCTGGATGCTTGTGACAGACAGACTAGGGGGCAGAGGAGAGGAGCAGGGAGACCAGCGAGGAGACCCCCGCGTTGGTCTAGGTTGGAAAGGATGCAGGATAGGACCAGGGTCGGGGCTGTGGATGGCATGCAGAGGGAGCAGATTCTAGATCTGTTGGCTGATGGACAAGGTGTGGGGTGCAAGAGGAAGAATAGGGTCCTAACCCTCCTTTGCATAGTTCTAGTGGAGAGAAACAGAGACAGAGTCAGTCACTCGAACCAGACACAAAGGCTGGAAGAGACAGAGATAGGGACTTAACAACTACGGCCACAGCTGGGTGCGGTGGCTCATGCCTGTAATTCCAGCACTTAGGGAGGCTGAGGAGGGCAGATCATCTGAGGTCAGAAGTTTAAGACCAGCCTGGCCAACAGGGTGAAACCCCGTCTCTACTAAAAATACAAAAATTAGCAGGGCATGGTGGTGTGCACCTGTAGACCCAGCTATTCAGGAGACTGAGGCTGGAGAATCACTTGAACCCAGGAGGCAGAGGTTGCAATGAGCCAAGATTGCGCCACTGCACTTTAGCCTGGGCGACAGAGTGAGACTCGGTCTCAAAAAAAAAAAAAAAAACCAACAAAGGCTGGGTGCGGTGGCTCACGCCTGTAATCCCAGCACTTTGGGAGGCCGAGGCGGGTGGGTCACATGAGGTCAGGAGTTCGAGACCAGCCTGGCCAACATAGTGAAACCCCATCTCTACTAAAAATACAAAAAATTAGCCGGGTGTGGTGGTGGGCGCCTGCAATCCCAGCTACTCAGGAGGCTAAGGCAGGAGAATCGCTTGAACCGGGGAGGTGGAGGTTGCAGTGTGCTGAGATCGTGCCATTGCACTCCAGACTGGGCAACAAGAGTGAGACTCTGTCTCAAACAAACAAACAAACAAACAAACAAAAACCAACAAAGCAACTAAAGAATCACAGACCCAGAGATGGCCAGAGTCAAATAGCAGATGCAGGAAGATGCCAGGTGAAAGATGCCGGGGTGGCCCAGCTCGGCTGTCCCTGCTGCTTGACCTGCCCACTCGCCCTCTTCCCCACCCCCGACAGGTGATTGACTTCGGATCCGCCAGCATTTTCAGCGAGGTGCGCTACGTGAAGGAGCCATACATCCAGTCGCGCTTCTACCGGGCCCCTGAGATCCTGCTGGGGCTGCCCTTCTGCGAGAAGGTGGACGTGTGGTCCCTGGGCTGCGTCATGGCTGAGCTGCACCTGGGCTGGCCTCTCTACCCCGGCAACAACGAGTACGACCAGGTGCGCTACATCTGCGAAACCCAGGGCCTGCCCAAGCCACACCTGTTGCACGCCGCCTGCAAGGCCCACCACTTCTTCAAGCGCAACCCCCACCCTGACGCTGCCAACCCCTGGCAGCTCAAGTCCTCGGCTGACTACCTGGCCGAGACGAAGGTAAGGGAAAAGTTGGGTGAGGGCAGTCAGTGTGGGGGCTGTTACATGAAAAAAAATTCTAGGGTGGGCAACGTGGCTCACACCTGTAATTCCAGCACTTTGGGAGGCTGTGGTGGGAGGATCCCTTGAGCCTAGGGGTTTGAGACCAGCCTGGGGAACATAGTGAGACCTCCTCTTTATAAAACATGGAAAAAAAAATCAGCTGGGCACGGTGGTATGGGCCTATTGTCCCAGATACATGGGAGGCTGAGGCAGGAGAATTCCTTGAGCCTGGGAGGTCCAGGCTACAGTGAACTATGATCATGCCACTACACTTGAGCCTGGGTGACAGAGCAAGACTCTGTTTCAAAAAGAAAAATCTATCAGACCAGAAGAATGGAGTGAAAAGAACAAAAAACAGAGGCTGGGTGTGGTGGCTTACGCCTGTAATCCCAGCACTTTGGGAGTCCGAGGTGGGTGGATCACGAGGTCAGGAGTTCAAGACCAGCCTGGCCAAGATGATGAAACCCAGTCTCTACTAAAAACACAAAAAATTAGCTGGGCGCAGTGGCAGACGCCTGTAATTCCAGCTACTCGGCGGGCTGAGGCAGGAGAATCGCTTGAACCCAGAGGGCGGAGGTTGCAGTGAGCCGAGATCCCACCACTGCACTCCAGCCTGGGCAACAGAGTGAGACTCCGTCTCAAAAAAAAAAAAAAAAAAAGAAAGAAAAGAAAAATATTTTTTTCTTTTTTTTTTAAGACGGAGTCTTGATCTGTTGCTCAGGCTGGAGTGCAGTGGTGCGGTCTCAGCTCACTGCAACCTCTGCCTCCCAGGTTCAAGAGATTCTCCTGCCTCAGCCTCCTGAGTAGCTGGGCTTACAGGCACCCACCATCACACCCGGCAATTTTTTTGTATTTTTACTAGAGACGGGGTTTTACCATGTTGGCCAGGCTGGTCTCAGACACCCGACCTCGTGATCCACCCACCTCGACCTCCCAAAGCAGTGAGATTACAGGCATGAGCCACCGCGCTCGGCCAAAAAAATATTTTTTTAATAATTGAAAAAAAAAATTTCTGGGCTAAACCTCAATGAGGACTGGAACTTGGGGGTCAGCCTAGGGCATTTTCACAGCAAGAAAGAGCTGCATGAGATCAAATGTGGGACTGGTCAGCAACTGCAGCAAGATAGATCTGGGGGAGAAACTGCAGGGAGAATTAGATGTTTGGAAGTCAGATGTGGGGGCTGCTCTAGCAAGAGAGATCTGGGTCATACTATAAGTGTGACAGGACGATTGGGGCAGCTTCTCTGCCAGCTTCAGCTCCGGGGTCAGCAACTTGTGTGGCAAGAGGGATTAGACCACAGAGAATATATGAGGTCTGAGATTGGCTATGAGAATTGCGAGAGAGGCCAGGTGCAGTGGCTTATGCCTGTAGTCCACGCACTTTGGTGGGGGCCAAGGCAGGAGGATCACTTGAAGTCATTGTGGGCGACATAGCAAGACCGTGTCTCTAGAAAAAATTTTTTTTAAAATTTAGCCAGGCATGGTGGCACACACCGGTAGTTCCAAGCTACTTGGGAGGCTGAGGTGGGAAGATCACTTGAACCCAGGAGTTGGCAGTTGCAGTGAGCTATGATTGCACCACTACACCCCAGTCTGGGCGACACAGCAAGACCCTGTTTAAAAAAAAGGATCTAAGGCCAGGCACAGTGGCTCACACCTGTAATCCCAGCACTTTGGGAGGCCGAGGTGGGTGGATCACCTGAGGTCAGGAGTTCGAGAACAGCCTGGCCAACATGGTGAAACCCCATCTCTACTAAAAATACAAAAATTAGCTGGGCATGGTGGTGGACACCTGTAATTCCAGCTGCTCAGGAGGCTGAGGCAGGAGAATCGCTTGAACCTGGGAGGTGGAGGTTGCAGTGAGCCGAGATTGTACCACTGCACTCCAGCCTGGGCAACAAGAGTGAAACTCTGTCTCACACACATACAAAAAAAAAAAAAAAAAAAAAAAAAAAAGGATCTGAGTGAGACCTCAGGTGAGTCTAGAGGTTTGGGGCAGCAGCCAGTCTGCTACCTCTGTGGCTTTGCCCCTCCCATCTGTGCAGCAAGAGCCTGGGTTAGACAGCAGAGGGGACTAGGAGTTTGAGGTCATAGGTCTTGATTTCACAGCAAGAAGGGTCTGGATGGGACCACAGGTGAGACTAAAAGTCAATGGCAGTTTAATAGCAGGGGGTGACAAACTACTATAGCAAGAAGGGTCTGGGTTTGACCACCAGGAGGCCTGGGATCAAGTGTGGAGCTGTGGCAGTAAGAGGGACCTGGATTTGATTCCAGGGAGGACTAGAGATTCCGGGCAGCCCTTCTGCTAGCTGCTGGTAGGGGCTGCACCCATGGTGCTGAAGGGGACTGGAGGTCTGGGGCAAGGGGTGGAACTTGGGCCAGTGATTTGGGTTCGATTAGAGGGGCTTGGGTGTGACGGATCCAGGGTGGCCCTCCTAGCAGCCAGAGAGCTCCAAGGCAGATCATGGGCAGACCTGGAAGTCGGGGCTACATGTGGGTGCCACAGCAGGAGTGCCCAGGGCCCTAGCCCTGCACAATGGTCAACCCTGCCCCCTTCTCCATGCCCCGCCAGGTGCGCCCATTGGAGCGCCGCAAGTATATGCTCAAGTCGTTGGACCAGATTGAGACAGTGAATGGTGGCAGTGTGGCCAGTCGGCTAACCTTCCCTGACCGGGAGGCGCTGGCGGAGCACGCCGACCTCAAGAGCATGGTGGAGCTGATCAAGCGCATGCTGACCTGGGAGTCACACGAACGCATCAGCCCCAGTGCTGCCCTGCGCCACCCCTTCGTGTCCATGCAGCAGCTGCGCAGTGCCCACGAGACCACCCACTACTACCAGCTCTCGCTGCGCAGCTACCGCCTCTCGCTGCAAGTGGAGGGGAAGCCCCCCACGCCCGTCGTGGCCGCAGAAGATGGGACCCCCTACTACTGTCTGGCTGAGGAGAAGGAGGCTGCGGGTATGGGCAGTGTGGCCGGCAGCAGCCCCTTCTTCCGAGAGGAGAAGGCACCAGGTATGCAAAGAGCCATCGACCAGCTGGATGACCTGAGTCTGCAGGAGGCTGGGCATGGGCTGTGGGGTGAGACCTGCACCAATGCGGTCTCCGACATGATGGTCCCCCTCAAGGCAGCCATCACTGGCCACCATGTGCCCGACTCGGGCCCTGAGCCCATCCTGGCCTTCTACAGCAGCCGCCTGGCAGGCCGCCACAAGGCCCGCAAGCCACCTGCGGGTTCCAAGTCCGACTCCAACTTCAGCAACCTCATTCGGCTGAGCCAGGTCTCGCCTGAGGATGACAGGCCCTGCCGGGGCAGCAGCTGGGAGGAAGGAGAGCATCTCGGGGCCTCTGCTGAGCCACTGGCCATCCTGCAGCGAGATGAGGATGGGCCCAACATTGACAACATGACCATGGAAGCTGAGGTGAGCCGGGTGCGTTCAGGATACGATTAGGGTGGGAGGAGGCTCAGCACACACTCACCCGTGCTCAGGATATGATTAGTGTGTGAGGAGGCTCAACACACACTCACCCATGTTCAGGATACAATTAGGGACTTAGGAGGCTCAGCACACACCTAATACCGTCAAGATATGATAAGGCTCAGCACTTACTCAGCTACTTCCAGGCTGTGACAAAAACTCAGGGCACAGTAATCTACTTATAAGAAGCTTGATAAAGAGCCTGGGCAACATAGTGAGATCCCGTCTGCACCAAAAAATTAGAAATATTAGCTGGTTTTGGTGGCATGCACCTGTAGTCCCAGCTACTCAGGAGGCTGAGGTGGGAGGATCACTTGAGCCAGGGAGGTCGAGGCTGCAGTGAGCTGTCATCACATCACTACAAAGGGGCAATAAAGGCCCAGCACTGGTAAGACCCTAGCACATGCTCACCCTCATCAGGAGGAGGTGACAGAGGCTCAGCAGACACTAATACACTAACACTGCTTGGCTGATGCCCCTCTCTCTTCCCCCACAGAGGCCAGACCCTGAGCTCTTCGACCCCAGCAGCTGTCCTGGAGAATGGCTGAGTGAGCCAGACTGCACCCTGGAGAGCGTCAGGGGCCCACGGGCTCAGGGGCTCCCACCCCGCCGCTCCCACCAGCATGGTCCACCCCGGGGGGCCACCAGCTTCCTCCAGCATGTCACCGGGCACCACTGATGGTGATTCCACCCCTGCCCATCACTGGGGGCTGCGCTAGCTGGGCTGGCATTCCCTCCCAACCTGAACTGCTCCTCAGAGCCATCTCCTGAACCCACAAATTATTCTTACAGAAAGATAGTTATCCAGAAATTCTCATTCCCCGTCTGCGGTGCGGTGCGTGCCTGCACACCTCTCCTAAACACAGCAGGGCTTTGGAGTCTGGCCCATGCTCCTTGGCCAGAAGGACAGCAGGAAAGGGGGCTGCACCCCGCTGGCCCTGCGCTCGCCCTTGGCCCTGCTGCCTCTGTCTATTTCAATATAGAACTGTTCAGCAGTCCTGCTTCAAGCCTGCTCTCACTGCCTGGGGCTTGGACTGGCCCTGGGGGGAATGGGGGCTCCAGGCTGGCACCCAGTGACTTGCTCTGCGATGCTGGGCCCAGTTGACCACTGGCTTAGGCGGGAGCCTGGGCTGCTGTCACACTAGGAGGGAAAAGCTGTGCTTGGTTGACTAACCCTTGTCCTAAATACGCTATGTGCTTGGCGTGTTGGGAATCCACCCTCAGAACATGCTGTGTTCAGTATGTGTTAATCAAGTTTGCCGGATGCTGGGGTCTCCTTGTCTGTTGACCTGTCCTTCCTACATGTTTACAGGGTTGGCATGCACTCACCCACATTTGGGACGTGCTGGGTGTAAATCCACTTGGCAGGCCTAAATTCACACTTGGTGCACACTCTGGTGCTCAGCCATGCTTGTTCACCCTTGGGATGTGGCAATGGTTTGGTCCCTGCTGATCAATCTGGGAACATGCTTCTCTGCAGCACATACCCATGCTGGCTACATGAGTGCTAAGTCCATGCCGGGCCACAGGGTGGCACGCTGCATGCTCAGCACAGGTCAGCCCATGTACACTACATGTTAAGGGCTCAGCACATGCCAACCCATGCCAGCACATGCTGAGGGCTCAGTACATGCTAACCCACACTGGTCACACACTGAGGGCTCAGCACATGCCAGTGACATGTTGAGGGCTCAGCACAAAAAGATGTCCCCACCAGAGGCCCATGCCAGCTGTCCCCTACCCCTGCACCCCATCTCACACCACTCAGTCAGGCACAGGCTGTACAGACAAGTTATTTACTTATTATAACCCTGGGCCCTTTTTGCCCTGGAAAGTGGGGGTGGGCCAGGGGGCCAGGCCCAGCATGCACCCCCATTTCTTTGGGGGCTGATCCCTCCCCCAGCTCTGCTGGGTCCCGGGGCCACAGCGTCAGGCCGGTGGGGGTGGAGGTAGAGGTGGGAGAGCAGGGGAGAGAGCCTGAGGAGCCACAATGGGGCAGACAGAAGCGGGGGCGCGGGGACAGGGACCGTGACCCAGAGCACCTGGGTCCGCGGGGGCCCAGCAGGCCTTGGCCTGCCCACTGGATCGGGCCTCAGAGCAGGCGGCAGGCGTTGCCCACGCTGTCAGCTGAGGTGTCAAGGTCATGGCTGTAAGGGGAGTCCCAGTCCCTCAGGAAAATGGCCTCCAGCTGGCTCCGCAGGCCGCCCCTCCCATTCTGCGTCACCAGCAGCGAGGTGCCCGCCGTCTCCGTGAAGTAGTTGCCAGACCAGTTGGAGGTTCCTAGAGAGGAATGGGTGGAGCATAAGGGCACCCTCGGGGGGCCGCCCCTGGTGTCTGAACCCCCTCTTCTTCAGCGCCCCGTGGTGCTCAAGACACTCACCGATGTAGGTGGCGCGTTCAGTCACCATGTACTTGTTGTGGTTGACACGGGCATATGGGATTCGAGCCTGGGCCTCATCCGCGGGGACCACAAAGAGTTTCTGAGTGGGAGGGGAGGATGGGAAGGAGTGTGAGAGGCAGGGGGAGTCGGAGGAGCCCCGGGATCAGGGAGCAGAGTGTGGAGCGAGATCTGTGGGACTCCACTGCTTCCCACAGAATCCTCGGGGGCCAGAACAGGGCCAGGTGGAGGGGCCCTCTGAGAACGAAAGCTGAAAGGGAGGCCCCGGTGGTCTCATTTGCAAAACACTGTTCCCGGCAGAATGGCTCCTGTTCATTCCTGAGGTCTCATCTCAGATGCCCCCATTTCCAGAACATCTTCCTTGGCCCTTCCCGCTAGGGCAGAGGCTTCCTCTGGGCATCCCCACCCCAGCCCTGACCCCTCTGCCTGTGCCCCCCGACCCTGGCCCTGACCCCTCTGCCTGGGCCTCCTCCATCCCAGCCCTGACCCCTCTGCCTGTGCCCCCCCATCCCAGCCCTGACCCCTCTGCCTGTACCTCCTCCATCCCAGCCCTGACCCCTCTGCCTGTGCCCCCAACCCCAGCCCCGACCCCTCTACCTGCCCACTCCCCCAGTCCTGGTCCCAAACCCTCTCTCTGTGCCCCCCACCCCAGCCCTCACCCCTCTGCCTGGGCCTCCTCCATCCTGGCCCCGACCCCTCTGCCTGTGCCCCCAACCCTGGCCCTAACCCCTCTCTCTGTGCCCTCCAACCCGGCCCCGACCCTTCTGCCTGTGCCTCCCCATCCCAGCCCTGACCCCTCTGCCTGTGCTCCCAATCCCAGCCCTGACCCCTCTACCTGCCCATGTCCCCATTCCTGGTCCCAACACCTCTCTCTGCACCCCC
This sequence comes from Homo sapiens, assembly GCF_000001405.40. Taxonomy (NCBI): domain Eukaryota; kingdom Metazoa; phylum Chordata; class Mammalia; order Primates; family Hominidae; genus Homo; species Homo sapiens. The sequence continues at coordinate 40,376,985 of NC_000019.10, read as the reverse complement.
ATCCCGGTCCCAACCCCTCTGCCTGTGCCCCCTCATCCCGGTCCTGGCCCCTCTCCCTGTGCCCCATGACCCTGGCCCTGACCCATGGTTTCCCCACAGTGACAGGGCTCACTCTGGGCTGCCCTTGTCATTGACAGACGAGTCCCATGAGGGCTGTGTCCCTAGGACTGCCCCACACAGGGGCCAAGGGGTGGCTTGGGGCAGTACTTACCACCTGGATGTCAGAGTGGGTATGGTTGTCACGCAGGGCAGCCAGAGAGAGCAGGAAGGCCCGCATGGATGGCTCCGAGTGTCCCCAGCAGCTGATGAGCAGGCGCACCTTGACGCCACGCTCGTAGGTGGCCCGCCGCAGCCCATCGTCAATGGCAGGCCAGAACCTGAGGACGGGTGTATAGGAGGTGGGGCAGGATGCAGAGGGCGGCTGTGTCCACAGGCTTTGCCCTCAGCTTTGGGGAACCAAGCCTGGGCCCTGCTTTAGCTATTGAGAGGACTTCCTCATCGCTGGCTCCCAGACCCTGTTCCTGTCTCCATAAATCCCACATCCCTATTTCCTCTTCCTGGCTGTGGCTCCCATTCCTGCTCCCCAAAACCCAGTGTTGTCATCCTCTTTTATTCTTTCTTTTTTTTTTTGAGGTGGAATTTCGCTCTTGTTGCCCACGCTGGAGTGCAATGGCACAATCTCGGCTCACTGCAACCTCTGCCTCCTGGGTTCAAGCGATTCTCCTGCCTCAGCCTCCCGGGTAGCTAGGATTACAGGCATGCGCTACCACGCCTGGCTAATTTTGTATTTTTAGTAGAGACGGGGTTTCTCCATGTTTGTCAGGCTGGTCTCGAACTCCCGACCTCAGGTGATCTGCCCGCCTTGGCCTCCCAAAGTGCTGGGATTACAGGCGTGAGCCACTGTGCCCGGTCCATCCTCTTTTTTTTCTTTTTGAGACAGGTTCTTGCTCTATCACCCAGGCTGGAGTGTAGTGGCACGACCATAGCTCAATGCAGCCTCCAACTCCTGGGCTCAAGTGATCCTCCTGCCTCAGTCTCCTGAGTAGCTGGGACTGCAGGTGAGTGCCACCGCACTGGGCTAATCTTCCAATTTTTCTATAGAGACGGGGTCTCATTATGTTGCCCAGGCTGGTCTCAAACTCCTAGGGATCCTTCCGCCTCGGCCTCCCAAAGTGTTGGGATTACAGGCGTGAGCCACCATGCCTGGACCCACTGTCTTATCTACTGCCCCTAGAATACCTTCTTTGAGCCCCACAAGTGCCATCATCCACCTGGATGTTGCAGTGGGTATGGTTGTTATCCTTCTTTTTTTTTTTCTTTTCTTTTTTTTTTTTTTGAGAAGGTGTCTCGCTCCGTCGCCCAGGCTGGAGTGCAGTGGCATGATCTTGGCTCACTGCAACCTCCGACTCCCGGGTTCAAGCGATTCTCCTGCCTCAGCCTCCCAAGTAGCTGGGACTACAGGCGCCTGCCACCACACCTGGCTAATTTTTTGTATTTTTAGTAGAGACGGGGCTTCACCATGTTGGCCAGGATGGTCTCGATCTCCTGACCTCGTGATCCACCCGCCTCAGCCTCCCAAAGTGCTGGGATTACAGGTGTGAGCCACCACGTCCGGCCGGTTGTTATCCTTCTTATCCCAGGATCACAAATCCCCAAGCTTGCTACCCTAAACCCAAATACTTTTAGTCCCCATCCCCCAAGCCCCTCATCCTGTTTCCAGCCCATGCCTCCTACCTCCCCAAATCCCACATCCTGCACCCCTGCCTCAGGCTTCCTGCCCTCAACCCCAATATTCTGAGCCTTCTCTTTTTTTTTGTTGTTTTTTTGAGACAGAGTCTTGCTCTGTCTGTCGCACAGGCTGGAGAGCAGTGGCGCGATCTCAACTCACTGCAACCTTCACCTCCCAGGTTCAAGCAATTCTCCTGCCTCAGCCTCTCAAGTAGCTGGGATTACAAGCACGTGCCACCACGCCCGGCTAATTTTTGTATTTTTAGGAGAGATGGGATTTCACCATGTTAGCCAGGCTGGTCTTGAACTCCTGACCTCAAGTGATCCACCCACCTCAGCCCCGCAAAATGTTGGGATTACAGGCGTGAGCCACCACGCCCGGCCCTCTCATCCTTTTCTCTGTTCCCTCAAACCTTGTCCTGAAACCTCATCCCTGTCTCCTCTGTAATCTCTCTTTCTCCTGTCTCAAGTGCCTAGATACCTTCTTCCGGTCACCTCCTGGTGACTGTCTCTCCCTGCAGCTTCTCTTCCATCTGTCCCCTTGCCTGGAGCCCCCACCAGCTTTCTGGTCTCCATGATTCCCTCTCCCGTCTCCTGGCCAACTGCAGCGGCTCCCTATCTCCACACCCAGCAGTACCTGTGAGGGTGGGAGAACTCCAGAGTGGGCAGGTAGTTCATGACAGCGACGTAGATGAAACTCCGGGCATTGTCCACCACGTTGAGTAGAGCCTTCAGGTCTGGAGTGCGGCCACTTGGACACAGGGGTGGGGGCGCACTCTGAGGGCGAGGGGACAGTTAAGACATGTGCCCTGCCAGGGTCATCGTCACAACGGACCCCACATACGGACAGCTCACCACAAGCCAGGTACTGTGGATCTCACCAAATCCTCAGCCTCCATGAAGAAGAGGGTCAATCACCACATCCATTTCACATGTGAGGAAACTGAGGCTCAGAGAGGGTAAGTGACTTACTTAAAGTCACACAGCAGATAAATGGAGCCAGGATTCGAACCCAGGCTGTCTGGTTCCAGAATTTATGCTCTAACCCAGTGCTTCTCAACGTAAGGTCCCTGATCCAGCGGCAACAGCATCACCTGGGAACTTGTTAGAAATGCAAATTCCTGGGCCTCACTGCACATGGCCTACTGAATCAGAGTGCTGGGGTGGGGTCCAGGAATCTGGGTTTTAACAAGCCCGCCCAGCTGATTCTGGGGCATGCTCAGTTTGAGGACCTCTGCTCAAGTCTTTTTTTTTTTTTTTTTTTTTGAGATGGAGTCTTGCTCTGTCTCCTAGGCTGGAGTGCAGTGGCATGATCTCAGCTCATTGCAACCTCTGCTGCCTCTTGGGTTCAAGCGATTCTCCTGCCTCAGCCTCCCAAGTAGCTGGGACTACAGGCGTACATCACCATAGCCAGCTAATTTTTTTGTATTTTTAGTGGAGATGGGATTTCACCATGTTGGCCAGGCAGGTCTCGAACTCCTGACCTCAGGCAATCCACCTGCCTAGGCCTCCCAAAGTGCTGGGATTACAGGCGTGAGCCACTGTGCCCAGCCTCGAGTCACTTTCTTCCCTGATTTGCTCACAGCCTGCCTTGACTGGGAACCCCTCGGGTGCCCAGTGCCTCACCAGGCCCTCTTCCCAGTTCCCCCGCTCCCCCGCTTCCCCCCCTTTTTTTTTTTTTGAAGTGGAGTCTCACTCTGTCACCCAGCCTGGAGGGCAATGGTGCAATCTCGGCTCCCTGCAACCTCTACCTCCTGGGTTCAAGTGATTCTCCTGCCTCAGCCTCCCGAGTAGCTGGGATTACAGGTGCCCGCCACCCCTCCAGGCTAATTTTTGTATTTTTGGTAGAGATGGGGTTTCATCACGTTTCCCAGGCTGGTCTCCAACCCCTGAGCTCAAGTGATCCGCCCATCCTGGACTCCCAAAATGCTAGGATTACAGGCATGAGCCACTGTGCCTGGCCCCCCATCTTCCTTAATGCTCAAGAGACAAGGAAACTGAGGCTCTAAAAGGGGAAGTGGTAATGAGGAGAGCCTTGATCCCCTGCGGGAGGCCCTTGTAGTGAAAGACCCCAATGAGTCACACTTCCCTACGTCCACGCCTTAGGGTTGTGCCTTCCACGATGACTCTGGGCTTGGACAGGTAACTTGCTCAGGGGGACCTAGGGAGACCTGGGTTGCCTGCCTCAACTAGTGAAACTATCAAGAGCTAGAAACATCAGTGCCTTGTCCAGAGTGATCAGTATCTGCCATGGCGAGAGCCAGTGTTGTCCAACAGAGCCTGTCACAGTGATGGAAATGTCCAATATGGTGGTCACTTGCTACAGGTGCTACTGAGCATATGAAATGTGGCTACTGCATGAGGAACTGAATTTTTTCTTTTTTTGGAGACAGGGCAACAGCCTCTTGCCCAGGCTGGAGTGCAGTGGTACAATCAGCTCACGCAGCCTCAAACTCCTGGGCTCAAGTGATCCCCCTGTCTTAGCCTCCCCAGGGACTACAGGTGCACACAACCACACCCGGCTAATTTTAATTAATATTATGTTTTTGTAGAAATGGTGTCTCCCTAGTTCTTGGGTATCCTATCTAGAACAATAAATAATAAGACCAAAAAAAAAAAAAAAATAGAAAGAAATGATGTCTCCCTATGTTGCCCAGGCTGGTCATGAACTCCTGGCCTCAAGTGATCCTCCCATCTTGGCCTTGGCCTCCCAAAGTGCTGGGATTACAGGGATGAGAAACCATGCCTGGCTTGAAACAATTTTTTTTTGAAACAGGCTGTCACCCAGGCTGGAGTACAGTGGTGTGATCATGGCTCACTGCAGCCTAGATTTCCTGGGCTCAAGTGATCCCCCTGCCTCAGCCTCCTGCGTAGCTGTGACTACATGCATGCACAACCCAACCCAGCTAGTTTTGTTTGTTTGTTTGTTTGTTTGTAAAGATGGAGTCTTGCTATGTTGTCCAGGCTGGTCTCAAACTCCTGGCCTCAAGTGATCCTGTCACCTCAACCTCCCAAAGTATTGGGATTACAGGCATAAGCCACCCCACTTGGCCTGAATTGTTAATTGCATTTAATTAACTTAAACTGAAAGAGCCACCTGTGGCTATACTGGATGATATAGAGCACCAAAGGTTTGGTGTGCATGAACCCAGGGTACCTCTCCCAGCAGCCCTAACAGGTTGGAAACAATACCCATTTTCTAACTGAAATAGAGGCCGAGGGATGTTGGGAACTACTCCAGGCCCCTGACCAAGCAGAATGAGCTGGGGTGAGAACTGATGGTCAGGATACGCCCTCCCTGTCATCACCAAACAGGGACAGATGGAGGCTGTGAGTGACGGCATGGGGCTGGGACATGACAGGCCCCACTTGCCCCAGACTCACCGCCAGGTAGGCCAGAGCAGGGGTTCCATTGAGGCAGATCTCCATTGGTGTCTCTTGGTTGTAGCGGGTGTCATAGAACCGGGGCCAAGTTGATGGGATGGAGCTGCCTGCCTGGCCCAGGAACCAGTAGGCCTCAAAGATCTTGGTCAGGTCTCGAGCCAGGCAGCTGCAGTTGTACATGACCACGCCCAGCTCCTTGACCTGTAGGAGGGCAGTGCTGAGCTCAGCGATAGCGGCCTAGTGCTCACAGATGACAGGGACACTCCCCAGTCTGGTCTCTGTCTTTCCCCCTGTCCCACAGTACCCCCTCCACCCCAGCTCCAATAGCTAAAGTCCTAGAATGATTATCAACTTAAGTTTTGATGAAAATCAGTTATTCCAAAGCTCCAGGTTTCCTGAACGTTTGCAATCTGCTGTTGCTTCTACCCTCCACTGAGCTAGCTTCTACTCATTCTTAGGTCTAGGCTGACATGTTGCCTCCTTCAGGAAGCCTCCCATGACTACCCAGCCTGCACCAGGCATTCCTCTGGGCTCTCACAGTCCCTTGGGATTCCCTCCTCATTCTTTCTGGTGACAAACTGGTCTTCCCATTGGGCTGGGAGGACAGGCACTAGGGATGTCTCAGTCACAGCTATATCTACAGCATCTCCCTGCATAATTGCTGAGATTAAAGGTTAGGGGAACTATCTGTTGAGGAAATGAATTCATGAGTTATTGTCCTGTCTTATCTTCACCTCATTGCCCAAGCTGTTTCCTGTTCCATCTTGCGCTAATTCCTCCCTATCCTTCAGGGATCAGATTAGTTATACCTCCTTTGGGAAACCCTCCAATGCCCCAGGTTGGGGTCTCTGAGCTTCCACAGCCCTCTGTTCCCTCCATCCTGGCCCTGACCCTCTGCCTGTGTCTCCCCAACCCCGGCCCTGACCCCTCTGGGCTGTCACTGTCAGGTGACAGGCCAGTCTGCATTGGGCTGGGAGTTCCATGAGGTCCATCTGTTACCACCATGTTCCCAACATTACCCAGGATAGGGCTGGACTTAGAGCAGGCACACAGAGATGTACAATGAAGATCAAATGGGTGCGCAGGTTCTTGAATGCCATGTAGAGGGGCTGGTAGCTGCAATTGGGGATCAGAGGGAGCCCCAGGCTTCCAGGAGCAGGGGGAGGGCAGTAGAGGGCTCCATTTAGGGATTCTTTGTTTTGTAACAGGGTCTCACTCTGTCACTCAGGCTGGAGTGCAGTGGCATGAATACAACCCACTGTAGCCTCAAACTCCTGGGCTCAAGTGATCCTCCCACCTCAGTCTCCCAAGGAGCTGGGACCAGAGGTGTGTGCCACCACACCGGGCTTATTTTTTTTTTTTTGGTAGAGATGGGGTCTCACTATGTTGCCCAGGCTGGTCTCCAACTCCTGGGCTCAAGCAATCCTCCCACCTTGGCCTCCCAAAGTGTTGAGATTATAGGTGTGAGCCACCGTGCATGGCTTGGATTAGGGAGGCCTGGTAGGAGGCAAGAAGGAAGCCATTACAGAGAATGGGTGGAGAGGACTCTGGATTGAGTGAGGGATGCAGTCGGAGGCTGGGTGCCCTGTGGGGCAGGGAGTGGCCTGGAAGGAAGGTAGACAGGGTGCAGACAGACCTGGGTCAGTGAACGCCAGTCCATGTTGGCACTGCCCAGGTAGAAGTGGGTCTGGTCCACCACCCAGAACTTGGTATGCAGGACGCCATGGGTCAGCTTCTGCATGTCCACCATGCGGACCTGGGCACCTGTGACCAGCAGGGGCAGAGATCAGGGGCCAGGCTGGGTACCCCCAGGCCCAGACCAGCCCCAGTTGGGCCCCAGCTCACCGCTCTGCAGCAGAGCCTGCAGGTCCGCCTGTGGCTGGGGCCCGCTGGGCTTGCTCACAGCGATGCGGACGTTCACGCCCTTTGGTGCCAGGGTCTGCAGCTGCCGGAGGACCTCCTCACCCTGCGGGGAGGGGAGAGCTTCTGAGGGGCTGGACCAGCCAGCTCTCCAACCCCACAAGGTAATGCCCGGTGGAGTTATTTTGAGACATGATTAGGAGTAAACAGACTTTACATTAGCCTGCATAGATTAAAGACTTTACAGATTAAAATATTAAAAGACTTCCTTATCTGTTTTAAACATCTTTATCTGCTTTAATAATTAGTTGCCCTGTGATCCCCCTCCAAGTCCTCCTGACCCCTCCTGCCCCTCCAGGGACTTTCTCAAAATTCAGCATCAAGGCAGGGCCTCCAGGCATCTCCCAGTATGGTGGGGGCGAGGCTCAGGCAGGGGGTCCTGGAAGGTATCGGGTGAGGCACGATGATGCCAACAACAGCAACAGTCAAGGATGCCCTGGAACCTACTGTGTGCCAGGCCCTGTTCTAGGCCTCTTCTCAGCGAACTCACTGAATTCTCACAACCCAGTGAGGCTGGTTTAATTATAATCCCCACAGAGAACTCAGTAGTGGAGTGGGATTTTGTTTTTGTTTTTTTGTTTGTTTGTTTGTTGAGACAGGGACTTGCTATGTTGCCCAGGCTGATCTTCAATCCCTGGGCTCAAGCATTCCGCCTGCCTCAGTCTCCCAAGTAGCTAGTACCTCAGGAGTGCACCACCACATCCAGCTATGGAGCAGGATTTGAACCCAGACCATCTGCCTCCTACATCTGTGTTTTAAACCACTTTAGAGGGAGCCAGCAGGGAGTGGGAGCTCATACGGTTTTTTAACATAAAAAAATTTTTTTTTAGAGACAGGGTTTCACTATGTTGCCCAGGCTAGAGTGCAGTGGCATGATCACAGCTCACTGCAGCCTCCAATTCCTAGGCTCAAGTCATTCTCCTGCTTCAGCCTCCCAAGTAGCTGGGACCACAGGTGTGTACCACTATGCCTGGCTTTGGTTTTTAACTTTTGTAATTATTATTATTACTTTTTCTTTTTCTTTTTTTTGAGACAGGGTCTTGCTATGTTGCCTGGGCTGGAGTGTAGTGGCATGATCACGGCTCGCTGCAGCCTCCAACTCCTGGGCTCAAGCCATCCTCCTCCTTCCATCTCCTGAGTATCTGAGACTGCAGGCATGCACCACAACACCCTCCTAATTTTTTTTTATTTTTAGTAGAGATGGTTGAGGGGAGGTGGGGGGCGGGTCTCACTATGTTGCTCAGGCTAGTCTCGAACTCTTGGGCTCCAGTGATCCTCCTGTCTAGGCCTCCCAAAGTGCTGGGATTACAGGTGTGAATCACCACACTTGGCCATAATTATTTTTTTCAGGCAGTTCTTAAGGAGCCTTGTAATTTTAGTTAAGTTTTAAGACAACTTCTCACAAAAAGAGCCAGTAGGGAGAAGAAAACAGAAGGAACAAATTCATGGTTTTTCAATGGAAGAGGTTATCCATGTAGGCTGTTCCTTTTCAAATTGTGAAGCTTTTATGTTCTTTAAGTTTGTCTGCAGACCATACCAGGATATATAGTAACAGCAGACTCACAAAGGCTGACTCTGTGCCAGGCACTGTGCTAAAATTTGCATGGATTAGTCCATTTCATCCTCACAAGAGCCCTAAGAAGCAGGTGCTATAAATTGGCCCCATTTTACAGATAAAGAAACTGAAGCTGGAGAGAAGAGGTGGCCTGCCTGGGGTCACACAGCTGGGAGGTGGCCCCTGTCTTGAGGCTGGGCTGTTAATTACTCCACTCTTCCCTTTCTTTGTGTGACTGGGTCAGGACAGCTTGTGGGTGAGTGACATCTGCCAGCCTAATAATCCCTTGTAACCAAACCCGCACCCTGACATTCAGAGGCCTACAGATGACCGTGACAAACGCCCCCAGTCCAGAGAGCCACGTGACGACAGCTGCTTGCAAACACCTGTGTCCAATCTGCTGTGTGAGACACACCCCTCTGTCTCCTGGGCTGCAGGAGAAACCCCTTCATTCCCCACAGCCCCCGCTGCCTCCCACCCCCTGCCCCTGCTGCCGGCCAGGGCCAAGGTTGCAGGTACCTGCTGGGCAGAGGGCTCCTGCGTGTGGGTGTCATTGTTGGTGAGGGTCCAGTAGAAGGAGGCGATGTCCAGGCTGCTGTGCGCACCGGCGAGCAGGCCCAGCCAGGCCTGGCTGGTGGAAGGGTTCCCCGTGGAGGCATTGGGGAAGTCCAGGCCCTCAGGAATGCTTTCCACCAGCACTGCTCTGGGGGGTGGGGGATGCTATCAGCCATACGGTGCCGGAGAGCAAGGGCTGGGAGGTGAGTGCTCAGCTGTCCGTCCATGGGTGTGTTGGATAGACTGTATTTTTTTTTTTTTAGAGACAGAGTCTTGCCCTGTCCCCCAGGCTGGAAGCGCAGTGGCGCCATCTCAGCTCACTGCAGCCTCGAACCCCTGGGCTCAAGCGATCCTCCCGCCTCAACCTCTTGAGTAGCTGGGACTACAGGTGTGCACCAGTATGCCTGGTTACTTTTTTTACTTTTAGTAGAGATGGAGCCGCACTACATTGCCCAGGCTGGTCTGGAACTCCTGGGCTCAAGCAATCCTCCCGCCTCAGCCCCGCAAAGTGTTGCAATTACAGGCGTGAGCCACCAAGCCCAGCTAAACTGTATTTGAGTTTTTCTTTTCTTTTAAAAAAAATTTTTTAAAACTGTGTGTATTTGAATGCGTGCCTGGACTCATGATCCTCTGCGTGTCTGTCTAGAGGTGTGGAAGGAAGGTCGTGTATTGAGATGTGTGTGTGGGTCCACAGATGTGGGTGGAAGATGCTGTGTCTGTTCACAGGCCTGACAGAAGATGACGCTGTGGCTGCCATAGAAACTATGTGTGTGGAGGAGGAGGGGGCGGGCGAGCACTTGGGAGCCTGCAACCTCCTCACTTGTCGCAAGCGCTGGGTAGGGCTGAGTGCAGGCCCTGTTTAGTGTGTGCTTAAGTGTACCTGGTCTGGCAGGCCCCTCCCCCACCAACTGCAGCACCCCCCACTTACTCGCAAGGGTCATAGCAGGGGGCTGGGCGCTGGTTGGGCCCAAAGAGATGCAAGTCGCCGTATTCCCATAGAAACAGCTGAGTCATCAGGGCTCCGAAGCCCACAACCGCCAGAATGAGGACCAGCAGGACCCAGCGGGCTTTCTGTGGGGAGGAGGAGGTGGTCAGCCAGCCCGAGGGGGGCAGCCCAGCCTGTCTCTGAGACAGAGCGAGGGTGGCGGAGGGCTCCTACCTTTTCCGCAGCCTTCCACGCCTCAATCTCATTCATGGGCAGCTCATTGGCGGGCTCCTCTGCAGGCACCTTCAGCTGGGGATGGGGACAACAACGGGGGTGACAGGTGGCTCTTGGGAACCCCCACCCCCACTGTACCCAGTTCCACCCTGCTGAGCCCCCCAATCCACCTACCTCCTGGTACATCAGTTTAGGCTTCATCTTCCCTCAAGGCTGGGGGATACGCAGAGCCCAGGTGAGAAGGTGGGTGTGTCAGGGTCTCCAAACTGGCAGAACAAAAGTGGGCACTGTGTGGGGTGTTCTACGCTTTCCAGGGACAGACATCACAGAAGAGTGATTAGTCTTGGGGCTATTCATAATCATGGGGGCCACTGGCACACTGCCCACCACCCCAAAAAGAGGAAGCTGGTCACTGGTCAGCAGGATTTCGAAATCCCTCAAAATCCAACGCTCTGCTGCCTGCTCTTCACTCTGCAGTGCCCACCCTGCCCCCATCAGCACCCACGCAGCTCCCCTCTAGCAGCCCCCTTCTCCCTCCTCCAACCTGTAGACACCCCAAGAAAGGCAGCGCTGGATGAGGTCAGCGGAGCCCCAGGTCTTTGTGCCTGGCTTTTCTCAGCCCTGGGACAGGGGGTATATTCTAGGTGGCTCCTCCGCCCTCAGGTGCCCCCACACCACACAGCTCAGCCAGGGATCATCGGGGCCTCCCTGCCACCCCGCTGCCCATCCCCCCAGCCAGCCTCCCCCCACCTACCCCTGAGGGGCCTCGGCCTCGCTCTCAGGCGTCTGCAGCTACCTCCGGTGGGCCCCAGCTTCTGTCTGGACAGGCTGAACGAGGGTGGGAGGAGGGGGCGGGGCCTGTGGGAGCTCCGCCCACTGCAGCGGGGAGTCTGCGCAGTGCGTGCCCCAGTCCGGGCTCACCGCAGCGAGAAGCGGGGCTCGGCTCCCCAGACACGGTCGCTCCAGCCTGGCCGGGTTGGGGGGTAGTACATGGCTGGTGGATGGGCTTTGCTACATTCCACCCTAGAGTCCCCGTGTAGGGCAGGGAGGCCACAGGTAAAGAACAAAAGGAACCTCACGTCTTTTCTCATTTACAAACCTTGTGAATTTGTGTACCATGGACATGCATTACCTAGTCAAAAATAAATACATAAATGAAATTAATAAAACGCTTATAAAATGAAACGGAGAGATCATGGTTGAATAACAGAATGAAGAAAGGTAGCGATAAAGTCAACAGAAGACAGTTCACAGCATGAGATGGGAAGAAAAGGTCAGAGGAGATGGTGAATTTTCTGTTGGAGTCTATTTAGATTTTGGTATTTGATTTTTTAAAAAAAGCCAGCTGATATTTTGGTAGGGATTTAAAAAAATTTATTTTCCGATCCACCCCATCCCATATCTCCCAAGAGGGATTTAAGGCCCCGGCTGGAGAAATACACTGGAGACCCCTTTCCTCTCTCATCCCTCCTCTCCTAATTGACAGAGGGTGGCACCTCTTTTCACGGCAGGGTGGCACCTCTCTCAATGAGACAGGGACACCCTCTTCCCTCAAGCTCCCCCAAACACACATGGCAGGAAGTCAAGAGATAACTGCAGAAAAGGAGTATTACTGAGAGAAGCAACAGGGCAGAAGTGGTTGTCTTCAAGGGAGTGGGATTTTGGGGTAGGTCAAGATTGCTTTTTATTGTAAGCCTATTTTCTTTTCTTTTCTTTTCTTTTTTTAGTGCCAGAGTTCTGTTCCCTAGGCTGGAGTGCAGCAGCATGATCATAGCTCACTGCGGCCTCAACTTCCCAGGCTCAAGCAATCCTCCTGCCTCAGCCTCCCAAGCAGCTGGGACTACAGGCACGTGCCACCATGCCCAGCTGCTTTTTTTTTTTTTTTTGGAGACGCAGTCTCGCTCTGTCTCTCCCACGCTGGAGTGCAGTGGCGCCATCTCGGCTCACTGCAACCTCCACCTCCCTGGTTCGAGCAATTCGCCCACCTCAGCTTCCCGAGTAGCTGGGACTACAGGCGCCCGCCACCATGCCCGGCTAATTTTTTTTTTGTATTTTTTAGTAGAGATGGGGTTTCACCATGTTAGCCAGGATGGTCTCGATCTCCTGACCTCGTGATCCGCCCGTCTAGGCCCCCAAAAGTGCTGGGATTACAGGCATGAGCCACCGCGCCCAGCCGCAGCTAATTTTTTTTTTTTTAATTTTGTATAGACGGGGTCTTGCTTATTGCCCAGGCTGAACTCCTGGACTCAAGTGATCCTCCTACCTTGGCCTCCCAAAGTTCTGAGATTACAGGCATGAGCCACCACATCTGGCCCCTATTTTCTTTTTTCTGAGACGGAGTTTCGCTCTTTTGCCCAGGCTGGAGTGCAGTGGCACAATCTTGGTTCACTGCAACCTCCGCCTTGTGGTTTCAAGCGATTCTCCTGCCTCAGCCTCCCGAGTAGCTGGGATTACAGGCGCCTGCCACCACGACCAGCTAATTTTTGTATTTTTAGTAGAGACAGGGTTTCACCAAGTTGGCCAGGCTGGTCTCGAACTCCTGACCTCGTGATCCGCCTGCCTTGGCCTCCCAAAGTGCTGGGATTACAGGCATGAGCCACTGTGCCCAGCCTATTTTCTTTTTTAAAATTGTGAAACATAAGCTATTTTCAGAGAAGTATAGAAAATATCTCGGTGTAGGTTGAGAAATAATTATAAAGCAAACACAGGCGTCACCAGTTTCATTACCTTTTAAAAAATCAGGGGCGCGCATTACTCTTTTTTGAAAAAGAAGAAAAAGAAAACTCTCAGAGCTAGGTGCTCCCCTTACTCCAAGATCCAACCTAGATTTGTAGGGATAACTTGCAAACTCCTCCCTACCAATGTCAGATCCCAGACTGGCGAGGGTAGAACATGCTAGATCCCCTCTTTTCATGGCAGGAAGACAAATGGGGATGCCTAAAAAGGATCTAGCAGGTCGGGTGTGGTGGCTCACGCCTGTAATCCCAGCACTTTGGGAGGCCGAGGTGGGTGGATCACCTGAGGTTAGGAGTTCAAGACCAGCCTGGCCAATGTGGTGAAACCCTCTCTCTACCAAAAATGTAAAAATTAGCTGGGCGTGGTGGCGGGCGCTTGTAATCCCAGCTACTCGGGAGACTGAGGCAGGAGAATTGCTTGAACCTGGGAGGCAGAGGTTGCAGTGAGCTGAGATTGCGCCACTGCACTCCAGCCTGGGTTAAAACAGAGCGAGACTCCGTCTCAAACAAACAAACAAACAAACAAACAAACAAATCTAGCAAGAAACAGCAACAGACTAAGGTTATTTGAAACTCCAGAGGTCACTAGGAGAAGCAGAAGATAACATCAGTCTTAGAGGCGGTTGACCACAACATTGTGGGTGGAGGAGGCAGGAGGGAGTGCAGGAAATGCTTGTCTTCAATTTTCTTTGAAGGCCTTGGTGAGACATATTTTTATTGAAGAATATGGAGTTGGAACAGCAGGCAATGTGAAATTAGGGAAGCCAAGATGAAGAAAAACAAAACCGAAGGCAAGGTGGGGCATGGAGATCTGAAGTAACAGGGCTGGCAGCGTCAGGGCTGGAGAACTGGGATGGTCACTAATAAACCAAAAATAAGGAGAAAGGCCTGGCACCGTGGCTCACACCTGTAATCTCAGCACTTTGGGAGGCTGAGGTGAGAGGACTGCTTGAGCCCAGGAGTTCCAGACTAGCCTTGGCAACATAGCAAGGCCCAGTCTCTACAAGAACATAAAAAATAAAAACAAAAACAAAATAAAAATAGGAAGAAAATAGATGGACTTCGTTCAAATTGTCAGTGATGTTTTGGCTTCCAAATTGTACAGTGATTACAGGTCTGTAATGATTAGTTTAATTTTAACTTTTGATGTTTTAATTGTATTATTTTTCTTATTGTGTTAACTTTTGATTAAAAAGTAAACTAATATTGGAGGGCCAGGCACGGTGGTTTACACGTGTAATCCCAGCACTTTGGGAGGCCAAGGTGGGAGGATTGCTTGAGCCCAGGAGTTTGAGACCAGCCTGGGCAACATAGTGAGACCTAATCTCTACAACAAATGAAAGAAAATTAGCCTGGTATGATGGTGTGGACGTGTAGTTCCAACTATGTGGAAGGCTGAGGCAGGAGAATTGCTTGAATCTGGGAGGTGGAGACTGCAGTGAGCAGTGATCGCACCACCTCACTCCAGCCCAGCTGACAGAGTGAGAGCCTGTCTCATAAAAAACAAACAAATAAAAACTAGTACTGGAGAAGTGATTTCGATTGGATGAGACTGGCAAGACAATACAGTAAGTGCTAGAGCCAGATACCTGTGTTTGAATCTGAGCTTCTGCACTTAGTGACTGTTTGACCTTGGAGAAGTGACAACACCTCTGTGCTCTTGGTTTCTCCATCTGCAAAATGGGCATGGTAACAATAGCATTTGCTGTTCGTTAATTTTACACACATTTACTGGTTGCCTTGTGTGCATCAGGTATTGTTTTAGGCACTGGGGATACAGCTGTGAACAAAATAGACACGAGGGAAAAACAGAGGCCAGGCGCGGTGTCTCACGCCTGTAATGCCAGCACTTTGGGGGGCCGATGTGGGTGGATCACCTGAGGTCTGGCATTCGAGACCAGCCTGGCCAACATGGCGAAATCCCATCTCTACTAAAAATACAAAAATTAGCCGGGCGTGTTGGAGGGCGCCTGTAATCTCAGCTACTCAGGAGGCTGAGGTGGGCGAATTGCTTGAACCAGGGAGGTGGAGGTTGCAGTGAGTTGGCGCCACCGCACTCCAGCGTGGGCGACAAAGGAAACTCCGTCTCAAAAAATAAAAAAAAAAGGTGATAATAAACAAGATAATAAATAAATGATATAATGTTAGAAGGTAGTAAGTGCCATAGAGGATCAGGGAAGGGGGTGGGGGTGGAATTGTTTGTGATATTTAATAAGGAGGTCAGAAAAGGCCTCACTGAGAAGGGGATACCTGAAGAAAAACTTCAAGGTGGGGTGAGATGGACATCTGTGGGAAAAATGATCAGTACAAAGGCCCTGAGGGAGGAATGTGCCTGGTGTGGATGGAGAAGAGTGAGGATGCCAGTGTGTCTGCAGTGAAGTGGGCTGGGGGGAGTGGGAGAGGAGATGTCACAGAGGTGATAGGGCCAGATCCTGCAGGGCTGCCTGGACTGTGATGAGTAGAACAGGGTCACGTGTGGGTTCCCAGCAGGGAAGGATGATGTGATCTGCTTCAGATTTTTTTAAGAGATGGGGATCTCCACTGGGCGTGATGGCTCATGCCTGTAATCCCAGCACTTTGGGAGGCCAAGGTGGGCGGATCACCTGAGGTTGGGAGTTCGAGACCAGCCTGACCAACATGGAGAAACCCTGTCTCTACTAAAAATAAAAAATTAGCTGGGCATGGTGGCACATGCCTGTAATCCCAGCTACTCGGGATTGCTGAGGCAGGAGAATCGCTTGAACCCAGGAGGAGGAAGTTATAGTGAGCCAAGATTGCGCCATTGCACTCCAGCCTGAGTAACAAGAACGAAACTCCATCTCGAAAAAAAAAAGAGATGAGGATCTCCCTACGCTGCCCAGGCTACTCTTGAACTCCTGGCCTCAGGTGACCCTCCTGCCTTGGCCTCGCACAGTGCGGGGATTTCAGGCATGAGCCACTTCGCTGGGCTTCAGTTGGATTTTGTAGTGGGTTGAATGGTGGCCTCAAAAAAGATGTGTCCCACGCAAGCATAATCCCCGGAACTTACGTGCATGTGACCTTATTTGGAAAAAGGATCTTTGCAATTGTAATCAGATTTAGGATCTTGAGATGAGATCATCCTGGACTAACTGGATGGGCCCTAAATCCAATCACAACTGTCCTCAGAGATAGAACAGGCAGAAGGTCATGTGAACAGGGAGGCTGACATTAGGGTGATGTGGCCATAAACCCAGCAATGCCTGGAGCCACTAGAAGCTGGGAGAGGTGAGGAATGGAATCTCCCCTCCAGCTTCTGGAGGCGCATGGCCCTGCTACACCTTGAGTTTGGACTTCGGCTCCAAAACTGAGAGAATGAATTTGTTGTCTTTTTTTTTTTTTTTTTTTTTTAAGACGGAGTCTCGCTCTGTTATCCAGGCTGGAGTGCAGTGGTGCAACTTCAAATGATCGACTGTCTCGGCCTCCCAAAGTGCTGGGATTACAGGCAGGAGCCACTGCGCCTGGCCATACATTCTGTTGTGTTAAGCCACCAACTTGGTGGCAATTTGTTACAGCAGCCCGAAGAAACAAACACAGGTGTTACAGGATCCCCTGGCGGCTGTGCGTGGGGAACAGACTGGGGCAGGGCAAGGGAGCCCAGGGAGGAGGCTGCTGGGAGCATCCAGACAGGAGCCAAGGGTGGACAGGACCAGGGTGTGGTCAGCCAAGTGTCGAAGAAAGGGCGGGGTCTGGATGCATTTTGAAGGTGGAGGGGATGGCATTTCTAGGCTGGATGTGGGTTTGAGAGCAGTAAAGGAGTGAGGGATGACTGAGTTTTGGCCGCAGCAACTGCAAGGATTGGAGGTGTCAACAGCTGATTGGGCAAGACAGGGAGACACAAGTTTGGGGAAAAGACCAGGAGTTTGGTTTTGAACATACAACATTTGAGATGTCTAAAATCTGACTGACTCCTCTGAATTAAAGGAGTCAACAGGCTGGGAAAGGTGGCTCACACCTGTAATCCCTGCACTCCGGGAGGCTAAGGTTGGGGGTGGATTGCGTGAGGCCAGGAGTTCAAGACCAGCCTACACAACACAGCAGGACTCATCTCCACAAAAAGTAAAGTTTTAAAAAAGGAATTAGCACACATATAATGTGCATAGAAGAGCCCCTGACATGCAGGAGGCTCTCAGCAAAGGTGACTGTCAAGTCTCCTAACAGCTCCCCACGCAAAGGCATCCCCCATCCCACCCCCAGAGACAAGACGGTTGCTTTTCATTGTAGGTCTTTACTTACATTGAATTTTTTTAAATGCACATATAACTTCTATGGAAACTAAATTATAAAGAGGCTCAGGCTCCTAGCTAGGGTGCCCCATCACCAGATCCTAGCCTCCAGAGGACTGTGGTCTCAGCGGGAGAAGGAAATCAGGCCCCCTCCCTGCTCAGATCCTTGTGGGAGCAGGGTAGGGTGAAACTGAAGGTGGGCACGGGCAGCCGGATGCTGGAGTTCCTCCTCAGCCCGTCTCAATGCCTGTATTCTCAGGACCCTAGAACCTCCATGGGGCTCCCAGCGCGCCCCATCCAGGTTGGTACTTATGCTCTGCCTCCTTGCTGGTATGACATGAGATGAAATCAGGTCTCGGTCGGGCGCAGTGGCTCACACCTGTAATCCAGCACTTTGGGAGGCTGAGGTGGGCAAATCACCTGAGGTCGGGAGTTCAAGACCAGCCTGACCAACATGGTGAAACCCCGTCTCTACTAAAAATACAAAATTAGCCGGGCGTGGTGGCGCATGCCTGTAATCCCAGCTACTCAGGAGGCTGAGGCAGGAGAATCGCTTGAACCTGGGAGGCGGAGGTTGCAGTGAGCCAAGATTGCGCCATTGTACTCCAGCCTGGGCAAGAAGAGCAAAACTCTGTCTCAAAACAAAAAACAAAAAACAAAAAAGAGATCAGGTCTCATCTGGGAGAGGGCACTGCCAGGAAGCGTGCTCTCTCCCAGCCCACAGAATACCCCCTAGTCCCCTTGCCTTGTGGTCCTGCCCCCCTTGGAGTATGACACCATAGCCCGCAAAAAGGAGGAAGTAAAACCCACTGGGTCACAGATCCCTGAACACCCCACCCCCAGGGGAGGGTGGCAGTGGGAGATTTGATTCCTCCTCTACAGCAGCCCTTTAAATTGGAGAGCTCATGGTTCAGATCACACCTCTGCCACTTTCTTGCTGAGTGATGCTGAGCATGGGGCTTTACTTCTGAGCCCTGCTGGCCTCATCTATAAACCAGTATTAGCCATATTGGCAGGGCGCAGTGGCTTATGCCTATAATCCCAGCACTTTGGGAGGCCAAGGCGGGAGGATGGCTTGAGCTCAGGAGTTTGAGACCAGTTGGGGCAACAAGGTGTGACCCCATCTCTACAAAAACTTAAAAAATTGGCTAGGCGGCTGGGCACGGTGGCTCATGCCTGTAATCCCAGCACTTTGGGAGGCCAAGATGGGTGGATCACCTGAGGTCAGGAGTTCGAGACCAGCCTGGCCAACATGGTGAAACCTCGTCTCTACCAAAAATACAAAAATTAGCCTGGCATGGTGGCAGGCTACTCGGGAGGCTGAGGTCCAAGAATCGCTTGAACCTGGGAGGCAGAGGTTGCAGTGAGCCGAGATTGCATCATTGCATGCCAGTCTGGGCAACAAGAGCGAAACTCCATCTCAAAAACAAACAAACAAAAAGATAATTGGCTAGGTGTGGTAGCCCATGCCTACGCCTGTGGTCCCAGCCACTTGGGAGGCTGAGGTGGGACCACTGCTTGAGTCCAGGAGGTCAAGGCTGCAGTGAGCCGTGATTGTGCCACTGCACTCCAGCCTGGGCGACAGAGCAAGACACGGTCTCAAAACAACAAATGAAATGGGTATCATCTTATATGCACTGGAGGGTGGTGGCTGGGGGATCTCTGAATGGTTAAGGGGGTGGGTCTCAGAGTCCCACAGCTCAGACTTCAGATCTCAGCTCTGTGGAACTGGGAAAAGAGGTTCCCTTCTCTAAGCCACACTTTCATTCTTTGAACAATGTGGAGATTAATAATACCAACCTCACATTTGTTGGGAAGTCAATGAGATCATCCATGGAAGGCAGGAAGCACAGTAAGCCCTTGAAACATGCTAGTTGGTGAGATCTGTGTACGCCCTCGTATCTTGTATACATTTTAATCACACATAATCAACATATGTGTCCCTTGCTATGTCCGTGTCTGATTTATTCCTCTAGCTCTAGGGCCCAGACCATTGTAATTGCTCAAAAAATACTGAAAGCAGAAGAAATGGAGCAGCAGAATAGAAAATTTTGAGAGGAGATTATTTTAGATGTCTCTCTATACCTAGTGACACTTTTATACACAATGATAACCAGCTGGTATCAGTTCTAAGCCCAGAGCATATAGGGTGGGTGCAGATAATGGCATCTCAACCTGAGATTCAGGCTGAGAGGGTGGGGAAAAAGTCAAGGCTGATTCAAGCCATCTGAGAATGCAGAGTGTGCTTCTGAAGCCTACATACAGGAAACATGAGGCAGATCACACCACAGGAGACATTTACAAATCCACAGGCTGGCCAGGAGCAGTAGCTCACATCTGTAATTCCAGCACTTTGGTAGGCTGAAGTGGGAGGATCGCTTGAGCCCAGCAGTTCGAGACTAGCCTGGGCAACAGAGCGAGACCCCTGTCTCTAATTTTAAAAATAACAAAATAAAATAAAATTCACGGGGCTTCCAAATGGTTTAAAACAGAAATGTTCTCATGTTTAATGGTGCTGATTTTCACTAGATGGTACAGACCTCTTTGGACTAAACCATCAATTGTTTCTGACCTCTTTGGACTGAACCATCAATTGTCTACAGAAAACGGAACAGAACACTGGTTTTGCAAACTGATTTTTCATTTTCAGCAGTTAGATCTTTTATTTCAACGGACCCTTTAAAATAAGTGCCCCTCCTAGGGAGAGAAGTCAGTCAGTCTGAAAAACAATTAAATAGGTCCAAAAAGCATCATGAATGATAAACACTTCTGAACTGGAACTTAAAAACCCTAAGCTGTCTCACTCCTGCTCAAAATCCTTCTGTGGCTCCCCATTGCCCCCAGGACAAAGGACAAACTTCTTACCATGTCCTACAGAGCCCTACATGGACAGGCCCCTGTGGACCTTCCCCCATCATTACAGCTTCAATTCCCTCTTTCTCAACCCAAAGCTCTGTCTTGTTTCCTCCTTTCCCCTGACTCCAGCTCTAGAGGTTCCAGGGCCCCCCAGATACCTCCTTCAAGGTGTCCCCAGACTCCCACACCTACTATGTCCCCAACTGTCCTTACCATCTTCCTGCCCCAGGTCCCCATTTCAAGAAGAGCTGTTGAACCCATCCTTCAGGTCTCAGCCTTGGTGCCTCCTCCTCCAGAAAGCTCTCCTTGACTACCCCCAGCCCTGGGCCTTGTCCTGGACCCCAACCATTTGTCGACTTGGTCCTGTGAGGGTCTCTCCAATTCGCCCTCCCCCACAAGCTCTGACTTAGTCTCTCCCACCTGGGTCCCCACTCCAGCCACCTCCCTTGGCTTCCAGACTCCACTCAATCCTTGCAATCCGACCTCCACGTGAATTTGACACATCCCTCTCCTGCTCAAAAACTCTGTGGCTCCCCGGTGTCCTCAGTACACAGTCTCAGCTCCTCACTGTGGCTGACAGGGCCTTGAATGATCTTCCCTGAATGACCTCTTTGGCCTACTCTCTCACCGTTCTTCCCACCCCAGCCATATTTATGATCTTTCAGTTCCTTGAACCAAAACCACACTTTCATCACCAGACCCTCCCACAGCTGCTTTCCCTGCCGAGCACACCTTGCTCATTTCTGTCCGCTCACATACCACCTCCTCCATGAAGCCCTCTGGGCTCACACAGTCCCCTGGGCCTCCCTTTCCCAGCCCTGATCCCTCTGCCTATGCCTCCTAGGGAGAGAAGACGGTCAGTCTGAAAAACAATTAAATAGGTCCAAGAAAGCATCATGAATGGTGAACACTTCTAAATTGGAACTAGAGAAATCTAAGCTGTCCCACTCCTGCTCAAAATCAGTGCTGTGATTAGCTGGCAGTGCTTGCTGCTGGCAGTGCCTAATGATGGGTTCGTCTCTCCTATTTGACTGGGAGACCTATGACGGCAGGTCCAGGCTATCTAACTCACTGCCATGTCCCCAGTACCATGGAGCATAGGAAAGTGCATAGCAGGTGCTCAGTGGCCAGTTAATTAATCTATTAATTCAACTAATATTTAATCAATAATGACTTGCTGACAAGCCCTGCTCCAGAAACTGAGATTGCAGGAAAAAAAAAAAAAAAAAAAAAAAAAGGAGCCGGCACGGTGGCTCACACCTGTAATCCAAGCACTGTGGGAGGCTGAGGCAGGCGGATCATCTGAGGTTGGCAGTTCGAGACCAGCCTGGCCAACATGGAGAAACCCGTCTCTACTAAAAATACAAAATCAGCCAGGCCCTGGTGGCGCGTGCCTGTAGTCCCAGCTACTTGGGAGGGTGAGGCAGGAGAATCACTTGAACCTGGGAGGCAGAGGTTGCGGTGAGCTGAGATCACGCCACTGCACTTCAGCCTGGGCAACAAGAGCGAAACTCTGTCTCAAAAAAAACAAAAAACAAAAAAAAAAGGAAAAAAAATCTTCTTAAAGATGTTATTCTACTAAGGGAGTGAGGGAGTGAAAATAAATGAGTGAAATACATGGAATGTGCCTTGGAAAAAAATAAAGCAGGGGAGGGAGACAGTGGCATCACAACTGCCAAAGGCTTATGTCCCAGTTCAAAAATAACAACAGGGTCGGGCATGGTGGCTCATGCTTGTAATCCCAGCACTTTGGGAGGCCGAGGTGGGTGTATCACTTGAGGTAAGGAGTTCGAGACCAGCCTGGCCAACATGGTGAAACCCCATCTGTACTAAAAATACAAAAATTAGCAGGGCGTGGTGGTGTGCATCTATAGTCCCAGCTACTTGAGGGGGCTGAGGCATGAGAATCGCTTGAACCTGGGAGGCGGAGGTTGCAGTGAGCTGAGATCATGCCACTGCACTGTAGCCTGGGCGACAGAGTGAGACTCAGTCTCAAAACAACAACACAAAAACAAAAATAACACAGCCGGGCACGGTGGCTCACACCTGTAATCCCAGCACTTTGGGAGGCTGAGGCAGGTGGATCACTTGAGGTCAGGAGCTCGAGACCAGCCTGGCCTACATGGCGAAACCCTGTCTCTGTTAAAAATACAAAAATTAGCAGGGCGTGGTGGTACGCACTTGTAATTCCAGGTACTTGGGAGGCTGAGGCAGGAGAACTACTGGAACCCGGGAGGCAGAGGTTGTAGTGAACTGAGCTTGCACCACTGCACACCAGCCTGGGTGACACAAGACAGTGTCTCAATGAAAAATAAAATAATAATAATAACATGGCTGGGCACAGTGGCTCACTCACACCTGTCATTCCAGCACTTTAGGAGGCCAAAGCAGGGAGATTACTTAAGCCCAGGAGTTTGAGACCTGGGCAGCCTGGGCAACAAAGTGAGATCTTGTCTCTACAGAAAAATAAAAAGCCTAGGCCAGGCGTGGTGGCTCACGCCTGTAACCCCAGCACTTTGGGAGGCCGAGGCAGTCAGATCACGAGGTCAGGAGTTTGAGACCAGCCTGACCAACATGGTGAAACCCCGTCTCTACTAAAAATACAAAAATTAGCCGGGCCTGGTGGCATGCACCTGTAATCCTAGCTACTCAGGAGGCTGAGGCAGGGGAATCGCTTGACCCCAGAAGGTGGAAGTTGCAGTGAGCCGAGATCGCGCCACTGCACTCCAGCCTGGGCAACAGAGCGAGACTCTGTCTCAAAAAAAAAAAAAAAAAAAAAAGGCTAAAAAATAGCTGGGGATGGTGGTATGCGCCTGTAGCCCTAGCTACGTGGGAGGCTGAAGCAAGAGGATGGCTTGAGCCTGGGAGCTTGGTCTGCAGTTAGCCATGACTGCACCACTGCACTCCAGCCTGGGTGAGAGAGCAAGACCCTGTCTCAAAAAAATAAAGAAAGAAAAATAATAACATGGTAGGGCCAGGTGTGGTGGCTCACGCCTGTAATCCCAGCACTTTGGGAGGCCAAGGCGGGCGGATCATGAGGTCAGGAGATTGAGACCATCCTGGTTAACACAGTGAAACCCCATCTCTACTAAAAATACAAAAAATTAGCCAGGCGTGGTGGCGGGTACCTGTAGTCCCAGCTACTCGGGAGGCTGAGGCAGGAGGATGGTGTGAACCTGGGAGGCAGAGCTTGAAGTGAGCTGAGATCACACCACTGCACTCCAGCCTGGGTGACAGAGCAAGACTCCATCTCAAATAAAAAAAAAAGAAAAGAAAAGAAAAGAAAAATAATAACATGGTAAGTTTAGGGCAAAGCAGTGTTACCATCTCTGTTTTTCAGATGAGGTGGCAGGGCTCAGGGAAATTACCTGCTTAGGTTGCACAGCATTGGTTTGTCAGTTGGAAATTTGTTTGTTTTTTGAGATGGTGTCTCACTCTGTCACCAAGACTGGAGTGCAGTGGCAGGATCTCGGCTCAAAGCAACCTCCATCTTCCAGGTTCAAGTGATTCTCATGTCTCAACCTCCTGAGTAGGTGGGATGACAGGTGCCCGCCACCACACCTGGCTAATTTTTGTATTTTTTGTAAAGACAGTGTTTCACCATATTGGCCAGGCTGGTCTCGAACTCCTGACCTCGAGTGATCTGCCCACCTCAGCCTCCCAAAGTGCTGGGATTATAGGGATCAGCTAGGAATTTGAACCCAGAGCTCAGTTGTATTCCAGGGCAGTACATGGTTGAACTAATTCATGAACAAAACAATGCAAAATCTCCCTTCATCACATCAGGCGAGGGACCCTGCAGCTTGAGGGAGGCGTGAGCCTGCAAAAGTGCAGGGTGTGGAGTGAGACAATGGGGCTTCTTGCATTCATTTTTGATTTTTTTTGAGACAGGGTCTCCTCGCTTTGTTGCCCAGGCTGGAATGCAGTGGTGGGAACACATCTCACTGCAGCCTGGAACTCCTGGGCTCAAGTGATCCTCTCGCCTCAGCCTCCTGAGTAGCTGGAACCACAGGTGTGTGCCACCATGCCCAGCTAGTTTTTTATTTTTTTGTAGAGTTGGGATCTCACCACATTGCCCAGGCTGCTATTGAACTGCTGGGCTCAAGTGATCTGCCTACCTCAACCTCTCAAAGTGCTGGGATTACAGGCATAAGCCACTGTGCCTGGCCTCAAAGCACTTAATATATTTGTTTTATTTTTTTAAATTGGACTTAATATATTTAATTTTCACAACAGTCCTCTTAAAAATCCCACTTAGGGAATTAAGGATCCAGAGAGGTGAAGTCACAGGTATAAAGAGAAATAGGATATGTGGTAAGCCTGGAACTGGACTTTGGTTAAAAAAAAAGAGAGAGGAAATGGAGCAAGGATTTGAACCCAAGCTGCCTCAAGCTTCCAGGGACAGATGCCACATGACAGCTGCCTCTCCTGTTGTTCATCATCTGTAGATCCCCTGCTGCCTGCCCCCCACCGTCTGGGACAGCAGCTGAACCCCGTGGTGGCGCCGGCCTCTCAAAAATTCCGTTAGCATTTCCCTAGCCTGCCCTCAAATTTTATGACTATTTATTTATTTATCTGAGATGGAGTCTTGCTCTGTTGCCCAGGCTGGAGTGAAGTGGTGTGATCTCGGCTCACTGCAACCTCTGCCTCCCGGGTTCAAGCGATTTTCCTGCCTCAGCCTCCTGAGTAGCTGGGATTACAGGCACAAGCCACAACGCCCAGCTAATTTTATATAATTTTGGTAGAGATGAGGTTTCACCATGTTGGTCAGGGTGGTTTCGAACTCCTGACCTCAAGTGATCCGCCCGCCTCAGCCTCCCAAAGTGCTGGGATTATAGGCGTGAACCACCACGCCCGGTCTCGATCTTTGACAGGGATATTTGAAACTTTCTCCCAACATAAAGGATATGTGAGTGCGGACTGAAGAAGATTCTGGCTCTCTTTCCAATAAGGCTGCCTCTCACTAGTCGATCCTGGGTAGAAGTTCTGGAGCTGCCACAGCTCAGGGTGATGGCTTCATGTCACACTGGACCGCATCCCTCCTCGGCTCCACATCCTCCTGTGGCACCCACCTCACTGGGAGTAAAAGCCAGCCTTCTGCATGGCTCACAAGGCCTTCCACGATGTGCCCCATCACCCCTCCAATGTCGTCTCTTGCCCCTCTCCTCTCTCACTGACCTCCTTGCTATTCCTTAAATATTCCAAGCTTGCTCCTACCGCAAGACTTTTGCTTTTGCTGTTCTCTTTGCCCAGCATGCTGTTCCCCCAGAGGGCCATGTCACTCTTTCTTTCTCTCTCTCTTTTTTTGAGACAGAATCTCGCTGTCGCCCAGGCTGGAGTGCAATGGCGCAATCTCAGTTCACTGCAACCTCCGCCTCCCTGGTTCAAGCGATTCTCCTGCCTCAGCCTCCTGAATAGCTGGGATTACAGGTGTCTGCCACTATGCCTGCCTAATTTTTTGTAATTTTAGTAGAGACGAGGTTTCACCATGTTAGTCAGGCTGGTCTCGAACTCCTGACCTCAGGTGATCTGCCAGCCTTGGCCTCCCAAAGTGCTGGGATTATAGGCATGAGCCACTACGCCTGGCCGTTTTTTTGTTTTGTTTTGTTTTTTTGTTTTGAGACAGGGTCTCCGTCTGTTGCCCAGGCTGGAGTGTATTGGCAAAATCATGGCTCACTGCAGCCTCGAACTCCCAGGCTCAAGCGATCCCCCCACCTCTCAGCCTCCCAAGTAGCTGGGACCACAGGCGCACACCACCATACCTGGCTAATTTTTGTAGAGATGGGGTTTCGCTATGTTGCCCAGGCTGATCTCAAACTCCTGAGCTCCAGCGATCCACCTTCCTCAGCCTCCCAAAGTGCTGTGATCACAGGCGTGAGCCACCGTGCCCAGCCCTACTCTCTCTTCTCCTTCAAGTATTTGTTTCAAATGTCACCTTCTCAGAAAGCTTTCCCTGACCACCCTATTTAAAACTATAACCTTGACCCCACATTCCCCATGCCCCTTCTAATACATCCAATAATCTACTTACCTATTTACCCATTGCCTCTTACCCCCACTAGAGTGTAGTACACAGTCCATAAGGCCAGATTTTTTTTTTTTTTTTGAGATGGGGTCTCACTCTGTCACCCAGGCTGGAGTGCAGTGGTGCGATCTCAACTCACTGCAGCCTCCGCCTCCTGGGTTCAAGCAATCCTCTCACCTCAGCCTCCCGAGTTGCTCAGATTTTAGGGGCGCGCCACCATGCCTGGCTAATTTTTGCATTTTTAGTAGAGATGGGGCTTCACCATGTTGTCCAGGCTGGTCTCAAACTCCTGGTCTCAGGTGATCCACCCACTTCACCTCCCAAAGTGCTTGGATTACAGGTGTGAGCCATTGCGCCAGGCCGAGATATTTTTGTCTGTATTGTTCATTGAGGTATCCCCAGTGTCTAGCAGTGTTGGGCACATATATAGTACATGCTTAAGAATTATGTGCAGAATGATTAATTTGTGTTTTCATTCCCATATTGCAGATGCAGTAACTGAGGCGCTGGGAGGTTAAGTTAGTTGCCCAAGATCATGCAGTTTTTTTTTTTTTTTTTTTTTTTGAGACGGAGTCTCGCTCTTGTTGCCCAGGCTACAGTGCAATGGCACGATCTAGGCTCACTGCAACCTCCGCCTCTCAGATTCGAACGATTCTCCTGTCTCAGCCTCCCGAGTAGCTGGGATTACAGGCATGTGCCACCATGCCTGGCTAATTTTGTATTTTTAATAGAGATGGGGTTTCTCCATGTTGGTCAGGCTGGTCTCGAACTTCCGACCTGAGGTGATCCGCCCGCCTCGGCCTCCCAAAGTGCTGGGATTACAGGCGTGAGCCACCGCGCCTGGCCTATTATTATTATTTTTTTTTGAGACGGAGTCTCGCTCTTGTTGCCCAGGCTGGAGTGCAATGGCGCGATCTCGGCTCACTGCAACCTCCACCTCCCCGGTTCAAGCCATTCTCCTGCCTCAGCCTCCCGAGTAGCTGGGATTATAGGCATGCACCACCACGCCCGGCTAATTTTGTATTTTTAGTAGAGACGGGGTTTCTCCATGTTGATCAGGCTGGTCTCGAACTCCCGACATCAGGTGATCCGCCCACCTTGGCCTCCTAAAGTGCTGGGATTACAGGCATGAGCCACCGCACCCGGCCGAGGGTGACATGGTTAATAACAATATTAGCCAAAAACACCATGTCAAGCTGAGCCTACCACAAGAATAAACTCACAGAATCGTCACACTCAGCCCTGATGTGGATGTCCCCGTGTGCATTTTGCAGATGAAGCTGGGATTGGAAAGGTGCCATAAGGCAGTCAAGGTATCCAGAGGTGTAGTGGTGGGGCTGGGATTCTGACACACCCCAGGTAATGGGCTGCAGTACCCCGTATGTTATGTGAGATGTGACACGGGGAAATGACGAAGACACGGAGGGAAGAAAAATAACTGTAAGGCTGGGTGGCTCCTTATGGGGAAAACTGGAAGCATGAGGAGTGGATGGTGACTGGTCAGAGGAACAGTGATGCCAAGGGAGGGACAAAGACACAAGGGGTAATGATGACGTAAGAGTTGCATTAGCGCGATTTAAGAAGAGCGATGGGGACAGTAGCCATGCGAAGGTGACTTGGGGGTATGATGAGGGTTTAAAGAGAAATGAGGATTTTATAAAGGAGAAATGGCAACAAAAGCAGGATGCAGGTAACATATGGCGATGACGAATTTAAAGGGAGCGATTACGACCTATGGTGGCAAAGAGGGCTTACAGGGAACGAAAGCGAGTTAAGGGCGTTGATGACAACAAGAGGAGTTGTGAGGATTTAAAGAGGGTGATGGCGACAGAAGGAGTTGTGAGGATTTAAGTGGGATGAGACAGAAGGAGAGGAATGGTGACATAAAGAGACCGAGGACGACATAAATTATAGCGTGGAAGACAACGCTATAATTATATATATTATATTCCATATATTATATTCCATATAATATATATTATATTCCATGCATTATAGCGTGGAAGACAACACGAGGAGGGTAGCCGAGGCGCCGCGCCCCCAGATCGCACAGTACCTGCACTCCACGTCTCCCACTCCGAGACCCAGCCCCACACGCACCTTCCAGGCTGTATCCCCGCCTGACGGCCCCTCCTAGCCGCGCGCAGGCGCACTACGGCTAGACTGCAGGCCGGCGGGGGCCAGGCATGCGCCTTTCTCATTGGCCGCGCCGCTTGCTAGCTTCGGGCGGAGGGGAGCGCCGGGCCGACGGTGGGCGGTCACGTGACGGTTACGACTGCACTCTCGCTGGTGTCGGTGGGCGGTCACGTGATGGTTATGGCCGCACTCTCGCTGGTGGCGGCCTGTTGGGGTAGAGCGGCCGCGGACGAGTCAGTTCAGCTTCCGGCGGTGAGAGGATGCTTCCGGGGCGGGCAGCCCGGGCCGGGGGAGGAGTGTCTGACAGTTGGCGCCGCCGGGAGGGAGGGCGGGCGGCGCGAGTGGGCGCGGGCCCGGTGGGCCAGGTGAGGCGCGGGCCGGGGGTGGTGGGACTGGGCCGGTTGCGGTAGGGACGGGTGGCGTCCGGGTGTCTGGACTCAGTTCGGGCTCCGTTGTACGGCTTCGGACTTACGATTTGTTTCTTTGAGCCTCAGTTTCCTCCCCTGTGGAATGGGGGTTAGAATCCGACTGTATCACCGGCTTTATAAATGGGAGTGAGAAGTCAGGTCGTGTACGTTGGATGCCTTAGCTCAGCGCCTCCGCATAACGCTCACTTCGTTACTATACTATTATTATTAGTATTGATGTTTGAGCGCTTAGTATGAAAAATTGTTGGGTTTGGAAGCCGTCGAATTTTGGTTCAAGTCCCGCTCCACTGTGCGGCAGTGGGGCCTGTGTCTTCGCTTCCTTGAACCCCGTTTTTTCTCATCTGTACAATGAGAGCAGATAGTCCCAATATCATAGGGTCGTCTTGAGGATTCTGATGAAATCTGTGTGTGTAAAGATTTTAAGCAGAGGGGCTGGCACAGTGAGAGCTCGTGGATTGGGACTATAATGATAATGATTCTGAGAGTCATTGGTGTAGCTGGGAATTCCAGGGAAGCTGGGGGAGAAAGCTCAGAGACAGCAATAGGAAAAACTTAGAATTGGAGCCGGGGAAATCGACATCCTGTCACTTACTATTTGACCAATTTTGCTGAGTCCTGAAGTACTAGTTTTTTTCTTTTTCTTGATAATGACTAGTGCATTTTTTTCCCCAGTAAGTTAATTTGAGAAGGCAAATTTGCATTGCTGTCTTCTTCTTTTTTTTTTCTTTGAGACGGAGTTTCGCTCTTGTTGCCCAGGCTGGAGTGCAATGGTGCAATTTCGTCTCACCGCAACCTCCGCTTCCTGGGTTCAAGGGATTCTCCTGCCTCAACCTTCCGAGTAGCTGGGATTACAGGCATGCGCCACCACGCCCGGCTAATTTTTTTTGTATTTTAGTAGAGACGGGGTTTCTGCATGTTGGTCAGGCTGGTCTCGAACTTCTGACTTCAGGTGATCTGCCCGCCTCTGCCTCCCAAAGTGCTGGGATTACAGGTGTGAGCCACCGTGCCCGGCGCATTGCTGTCTTCAATGGAAAACTAGCATTGCTGGCCATGAGAGGAAGGAAAAGTTCAGGTAAAATACAATGGAAACTGAACAGCCCATTACATTGTACACTGAAATGGAAAGATAATTGAAAAGGAATACTACGTATTCCCTTTGAATAGGGATACTGTTCAGAACCTGTACTGTGTGATTCCCTGTTGTCAGATCCCATGGACCCCCATTAAGTTGTCCTTATACTTGTTCCCAGCTCACACTTTGTATAAAACTAGCATTAAGTCAGTGACTGTCCCACTGTTTCCCTAGCTTACTGAAGATTTGTTTTATTTGATGCACACTTAACATCGCACTTAACCACCTGCCGTGCATCTTTGTTCTAAGGACTCTGTTTATTAACTCGTTTAATCCTTGTAACACCTTTAAGAATGGGTCCTTGGCTGGGCGTGGTGGCTCACGCCTGTAATCCTAGCACTTTGGGAGGCCGAGACGGGCGGATCACGAGGTCAGGAGATAGAGACCATCCTGGCTAACACGGTGAAACCCCGTCTCTACTAAAACTACAGAAAATTAGCCGGGCATGGTGGTGGGGGCCTGTAATCCCAGCTACTTGGGAGGCTGAGGCAGGATAATTGCTTGAACCTGGGAGGCAGAGGTTGCAGTGAGACGAGATCACGCCACTGCACTCCAGCCTGGGCGACAGAGTGGGACTTCATCTCAAAAAAAAAAAAGGGTCCTCTTTTTTTTTTTTTAAGATGGTGTTTTTTTATTTTTATTATTTATTTATTTATTTATTTATTTATTTATTTATTTATTTATTTGAGACAAGGTCTCGCTCTGTTGCCCAGGCTGGAGTGCAGTGGTGCGATCTTGGATCACTGCAACCTCTGCCTCCCGGGCTTAAGCAATTCTCCTGCCTCAGCCTCCTGAGTAGCTAGGATTACAGGTGCCCACCACCACGCCTGGCTAATTTTTGTATTTTTAGTAGAGAGGGGTTTCACTATGTTGGCCAGGCTGGTCTTGAATTCCTGACCTCAGGTTATCCACCTGCCTCAGCCTCCCAAGGTGCTGGCCAAGAATTGGTAATCTTACTTTTTTTTTTTTTTTTGAGATGGAGTCTCACTCTGTTGCCCAGGCTGGAGTGTAGTGGTACAGTTTCGGCTCACTGCAACCTCTGCCTCCTGGGTTCAAGTGATTCTCCTGCCTCAGCCTCCCGAGTAGCTGGGATTACAGGTGCCTGCCACCATGCCCAGCTAATTTTTTGTATTTTTAGTAGAGGCGGAGTTTCGCCATGTTGGCCAGGCTGGTCTCAAACTCCTGACCTTGTGATCCACTGCCTTGGCCTCCCAAAGCGTTGGGATTACAGGCATGAGCCACTGCGCCCAGCCACCTTTCCTTTTTTTTTTTTTTTTTTTGAGACTGAGTCTTGCTCTGTTGCCCAGGCTGGAGTGAAGTGGCGTAATCTTGGCTCACTGCAACCTCTCCCCCCCCCGCCCCGGGTTGAAGCGATTCTCCCACCTTAGCCTACTGAGTAGCTTGGATTACAGGCATACACCACCATGCCTGGCTAATTTTTGTATTTTTAGTAGAGATGGGGTTTCACCATATTGGCCAGGCTGGTCTCGAACTCCTGACCTCAGGTGATCCACCCGCCTCAGCCTCCCAAAGTGCTGTGATTACAGGCGTGAGCCACCACGCCCAGTTTTTTTTTTTTTTTTTTTTTTTTTAACAGTGACAGGGTCTCGCTATATTGCCCAGGCTGGCCTCAAAATCCTGGGCTCCAGAGATCCTCCTGCTTCGGCCTCCCAAAGTGCTGGGACTACAGGTGTGAGTTACTGTACCCGGCCTTACCATTCTTATTGTGCAGTTGAGGGAAGTGAGGTCAGAAAGGTTAAGCTACTTGTCCAGAGTCAGGATTAGGACGTGGTAAAATTGGGATTTGGATACAGGTCTTCTAAGGGCTTAGCACATGGAGTCTGGTATGTGGTAATCCCTTGAGTTTTGGGAGCTGCTGTCTTTAAAATCACTATTATAATTTTCACTATTCGGAAAGTCAGTGCTGGAGATGGGCTTTTAAGATTGTGGAGAGAGGAAATTGAATTCAGTAGGGTCTGTAGCACTTGGGGGAGAATACCAGTACTTAAAGGATTCTGGTTAGCATTAACTGAGACATTGAAAAACAGACCATAGTACCTGGCTGGTAGTAATCCCTCAATCAGCATGAACCATAGCCATTGGACTGCGTGGGGTCCAAGTCCTGCTGCTTCCTTTACTTGCTATATGATCTTGAACTCCTAGGCTCAAGGGATCCTCCTGACCCTAAAGTGCTGGGATGACAGGCCTGAGCCACTGTGCCCAGCCTTTTGCTGTGTGATCTTGGACCTGCCATTCTCATCTGTAACTTTCCGAGGGTGGTTGTGAGGAGCGACTGAGATGTGTATATGCTCAGTTCCTGGTACATAGTAAGCACTCAATGGGACCTATTCCCTGGACGTCAGAATCAGGAAGAACTTGTTTTTGAATCCCAGTAAGGTCAGTTGCTAGATGTGCCATTTGACAAACGACTGCACCTCAATGAGTCGGGGTTTTTCATCGATAAAAACAGGGCTAATAATAGTCCTCACTTGCTGAGCTGTTGGGATGCATCTGCATGATGCTTGGCGCTGGTCCTGATGCATAGTTAGTGCTTGGTTTGTGAGATGTTCTGTCTGACTTACTGAGACCTCTCCGTGCTGTTCTTTGAGAGATGCATGTTGTACTGTATTTTATTTCATTATTATTTTTTGAGACAGAGTCTTGCTCTGTCACTCAGGCTAGAGTGCAGTGGTGTGATCTCGGCCCACTGCAGCCTCTGCCTCCCGGGTTCAAGCGATTCTCCTGCCTCAGCCTGCCGAGTAGCTGGGATTACAGGCGCCCACCACCATGCCCGACTAATTTTTGTATTTTTAGTAGAGATGGGGTTTCACCATGTTGGCCAGGCTGGTCTCAAACTCCTGACCTCAGGTGATCCACCTGCCTCGACCTCCCAAAGTGCTGGGATTACAGGCACGAGCCACTGCTCCTGGCCTGTATTGTCTTTGGCCAGTGGTAAAATTCAGGAGGGAAATTGGATCTAAGAGTGTTGAGTACAGGACAGAGTGATGTCTGTGGTCATACTCATCAATAAGAGATTGAGCAGAAGGCCAGGTGCCTGTAATCCCAGCACTTTGGGAAACTGATGTGGGCAGATCACTTGAGGTCAGGAGTTCGAGACTAGCCTGGCCAACATGGTGAAACCCCATCTGTACTAAAAATACAAAAATTAGCTGGGTGTGGTGGCGAGTGCCTGTGGTCCCAGCTGCTCGGGAGGCTGAGGCAGGAGAACCGCTTGAACCCAGGAGGCGAAGGTTGCAGTGAGCCGAGATCGCGCCACTGCACTCCAGCCTGGGCGACAGAGCAAGACTTTGTCTCAAAAAAAAAAAAAAAAAATTGAGCAGAAGCCAGAGAAGGGCAAGATTAACCCTAGTGAGGATAGAGAAGAGAGTCTCATATGTGGGGACTTAGGGAAAGTGTCACAAAGTAGATGGCAGTGGAGCAGAAGGAAGGATAGGTTGCCAGGAGGAGACAGGCATTCCAGGCACAGGTGACATCCTCTAAAAACTGGGAGGCCGGCAAAGCACCTGTGTGGGGAAGGAGGCCTGGAGGATGAGACCAGGCACAACACCTCCAGGGTGCTTAGTAGGCACCAAGCACTGTCTCAAGTGCTTTTATTCATAGAAACTCATCCAGCCCTTATAGCAGTCCTCTAAGGTAAGTCATGTTTGCACCCTCCCAATTCACAAATGGTGACACCGCGGCCTGACTGTTGAAGTCACTTGCCGAGATCACACAGCTAATAAGTGGTAGAGCTGGATTTGAACTGTACAGTCTGGTTGCAGAGTTGTTACTCTTGACCACTCCATTATACCATCAAAATCTGTTAGGGGATGGGACAGGTCGTATGGGGTGGTAAACAGGAAGGTTCTGGGACAGAGGGCTTCTGCACCCCATGCGGGGGTGAGGGAGGATCAGTATTGGGGGCTGCGGTAGATAGAAGGGAACAGAGTGAGGGAAGAGGGCAGAGGAGCCGGGTCAGGGAAGAGGCAGAGGGCTAAGTAGGAAGGAAGTTTGGGCCAGGGCAGTGTGGGCCCCATGATCCTGGAGTCGCATAGCGTTGAATCAGCACATGAAAAAGTTATTTCCTTTAGTTCCCATTCAACACTGCTTTTAACGGAGACAGTCTCCATTGGTGCTAATATGTCCTTAACACCACCTTTCTACCATCTGCTAATGTAAGGGAAAATTGGTTTTCCATGTCTTCTCTGGGACGTCTCATGATCAGGTCGCCACTTCTGTGACCTGTCTCCTCCCAGTGTCCTTCCTGCTCGCTCCACTGCAGCCACACTGGCTCCTTGCTTTCCCTCCAGCATGCCAGATGAGCCACTGGCTCAGGGCGCTGGACTTGCTGTACCTTCTTCTGGAACACTTTTTCTCTGTAAAACCACATGGCTCATTGCTTCCCTCCCTTTAGGTCTCTAAATGTTGCTTTAGGTCTTCCCTGATCACTCTGCTGAAAATTACAACCCCTCCCTTCCCAGGTCCTCCATGTCTTCTCCGTGGCACTAAAGGCTTCCTAACGTACTATATTAACTGTTTGGCTTGTTTACTCTCTGTCTCCCCTGTCCCCTGTACCCAGCTAGCTGCTAAGTTCCATGGCTTTGTTCAACTTGGTATCCCTAAGTGCCTTACACATAGTAGGTTCTCAGTGAATAGGGTTTTGGGTTTGTTTGTTTGTTTGTTTGTTTGAAGACTAGTCAACTGCAGTAGTGAGAAAAGGAGAAAGAGTAGAATAAGGAGTTCCATCTGTAAAGGACTATGAACAGTCAATTGAGATAATTCACTACCTTCGGACCAGCCTTTTTTTTTGAGACAGGGTCTTGCTATGTTGTCCAGGCTGGTCTTGAACTCCTGGCTTCAAGTAATCCTCCCACCTTGGCCTCCCAAAGTCCTGGGATTACAGGCATGAGCCAGCATGCTTGGCTGGTATTTATTGTTAAAGTCTTGGCCAGAAGTGTCTTATTTCTGTTGCACTCCTTTTCCAGCCAACCTTTTGGGGTGTGTGTGAATGGAGCTGTGGACATTTGCTGTCCCTGGGCCTTGTCTCAGGCACAAGCGATGATGGTGGTGGCAGCTCTGTCCCAGGCTGACTTCCTGCCAGCTGCTCCAGGCTATTCCTGGGCGGTGAGCCCCTAGCCCAGGAACATTCCTCTGGCATGCAGACAGACAGGCACAGGAGAGGGACAAACACTCACAGCCGGCAGCAGCTCATGGGCTCTCTCCTCTCTTCTCTTTCAGGCTCCAGGGAGCAGTGTCAGGGCCAGGGAGACGATGGTCTCCGTGACTATGGGTGAGTCTGTGGCCTTCTCTCCAGGGCCCCCTCTCCCCACTGCCCTTTTTGAGGTATGGCCTTGGTGGGGGATGATGGGATGGGGGAGGGAGGACTGGGTCACTGGCAGGAACAGCTGTACTCTGAGGACCGTGGCAGGGTGGGGCTGGAACTGCTTGAGGCCTGCCCGCCTCATCACTGGATCTCTCTCCTGACTGTATAGTTTAGCTGTGAAGAACGTGGGTTATGAAGTCCAGCAGGTCTCCCACGTGGCCTCACAGAGCCTTGGTTTTCTCACCTGTGAAATGGAAATGATATTCACACATCCTGGGATTAAGGAGATTATAGCATGTAAAAGCTTGGGCATAGTTCTAAACAAACCTTAGGTGTTGTTATTATCACAAGCCTTAAGCTCTGTATTTGGGGATTGCTAAGGCACAGAGGTTAGTTGGTGGCTTTGAAAAATTTTGACATTTATTATAATATAGAAAAGTATATTATATATATTATATATGTATGTTTGTTGAGATGGAGTTTCGCTCTTGTTGCCCAGGCTGGAGTGCAATGGCACGATCTCGGCTCACTGCAGCCTCCACCTCCCGGGTTCAAGTGATTCTCCTGTCTTAGCCTCCCAAGTAGCTGGGATTACAGGCGCGTGCCACCACGCCCAGCTAATTTTTGTATTTTTAGTAGAGACAGGGTTTCACCATGTTGGCCAGGCTGGTCTCCAACTCCTGACCTCAGGTGATCTTCCCTCTTTGGCCTCCCTAAGTGCTGGGATTACAGGCATGAGCCACCGCGCCTGGCCCATAAAATATATTTGTATAGTTTTAAGAGTGATTAAAAAGCAAAATCTGAGTATATCCTTTTTTTTTTTTTTTTTTGAGACAGGCTCACACTGTTGCCCAGGCTGGAGTGCAGTGGTGCAATCTCAGCTCACTGCACCCTCTGCCTCCCAGGCTCAGGTGATCCTCCCATCTCAGCCTCCGAGTAGCTGGGACTATAGTCACACACCATCACGCCCGGCTAATTTTTGTATTTTTTGTAGAGATGGGGTTTCACCATGTTGCCTGGGCTGGTCTTGAACTCCTGTGCTCAAGAGATCCTCCTGCCTCAGCCTCCCAAAGTGCTGGGATTACACATGTGAGCCACTGCGCCTGGCCTGTATTCCTTTTTATTTGAGACAGAGTCTTGCTCTGTCGCCAGGCTGGAGTGCAGTGGCATGATCTCCGCTCACTGCAAGCTCTGCCTCCCGGGTTCACGCCATTCTCCTGCCTCAGCTTCCCACGTAGCTGGGACTACAGGCACGTGCCACCACGCCCAGCTAATTTTTGTATTTTTAGTAGAGATGGGGTTTCACCATGTTGGCCAGGATGGTCTCGATCTCTTGACCTCGTGATCCACCTGCCTCGGCCTCCCAAAGTGCTGGGATTACAGACGTGAGCCACCGCGCCTGGCTGCCTGTATTCTTTATAATTCCATTTATATAAAGCATAGAAGCAGGCAAAATCTATTTTGTTAGAAGGTGGTGGTTGCCTCTGGGAAGGAGTGAGTAGAGACTCTAAAGGTAATATAAAGGGTTCTGAGGTATTAGAAATACCTGATTTCTTGATTTGGGTGCTGATTACATAGGTGTGTCTGGTTTAGGAAGATCTATTGACTTGTGCACTTTTTTGCATGTACATTATAGTTCCATAAAAAGATTGAAAAATCCAAACCCTATTACCCATCCAGGTCAAAAAAAAGAGAATATTGTCAGCCCCCCGAGAGTCCTACCCCAATCTCACTCCCCTCTCTTCTCCATTCTCCATATGGAATAAATCATTCTGTGAACATATTTTCTTGCCTTACCTTTCTTTTTTTGTTTTTTTTTTTTTTTGTTTTGAGATGGAGTTTCGCTTTTGTTGCCTAAGCTGGAATGCAGTGGTGCGATCTCGGCTCACCGCAACCTCTGCCTCCTGGGTTCAAGCAATTCTCCTGCCTCAGCCTCCAGATTGAGTAGCTGGGATTACAGGCATGCACCACCATGCCTGGCTAATTTTGTATTTTTAGTAGAGATGGGGTTTTTCTATGTTGGTCAGGCTGGTCTTGAACTCCTGACCTCAGGTGATCCGTCCATCTCGGCCTCCCAAAGTGCTGGGATTACAGGTGTAAGCCACCGCTCCTGGCCTTCCTTGCTTTTCTTTATAGTTGTATTACCAGTGGGACATTCCTATTCTATAGACTTTGGTTTTGAATTTATATGAATGAAATCATACCTTGTGTTCTTTTGTATCTGGCTTCTTTTGCTCAACATAATGTCTAAGGGTCATCTATGTTGACTTTCTTTTCACTGCTGTATAGTATTTCACCTTGAGAGTGACCACCGTGTGTTTATCAATGCTGCTGTCAATGGATATTGCATTATTACTGGGTTGGAGCTATCACAGACAAACTGCTATGAATATTCTTGTACGTGTCTCCTGGTGTGTGCAACAAGCCACATCTCATCGATTCCAAGACTCACATCATTGCACAACTTAATATTTCTGAAGTAGGGGTATATCTTACAGCCAGTGCCTTATGACAGTTTAATTGGCTGCATATTTTCCTTCCTTAGCAATACATGAAATGATGGTGTGTGCTTAATGTGGGGACTCTTTCAATTCCTCAAACACTG
Source organism: Homo sapiens (assembly GCF_000001405.40). Classification (NCBI taxonomy): domain Eukaryota; kingdom Metazoa; phylum Chordata; class Mammalia; order Primates; family Hominidae; genus Homo; species Homo sapiens. The sequence goes on along the minus strand of NC_000019.10, from coordinate 40,339,200 downwards.
GGTTTCAGTAATCTCTTGGTTAAATTCACAGGCTTTGCCTGGTCCCTAGGAACTGATTGGTCTTTACAACTAATTGATCACAACCAGTTACAGATTTCTTTGTTCCTTCTCCCTTCCTACTGCTTCACTTGACTAGCCTTAAAGTCAATCAGTCAATTAATCAATCATAGGCTTTGGCTCAGAGAGCTACCCCCAACCTACGTGGTACTTTTTTCTCCCCTTAATAACAGCTTAGTGTAGCTATAATGCATTTATCATACATTTTACCTAGTTAAGGTGTATAATTCGATGGTTTTTATATTATCTGTTCACAGAGTTGTGCAGCCATCACCATAATCAATTTTAAAACATCTTTATCACTCTCTCTTGAAACCCCATACCTTAGCAGGGTGTTATGGTGCATGCCTGTAATCCCAGCACTTTGGGAGGCCGAGGCAGGTGGATCGCTTGAGTCCAGGAGTTTGAGACCAGCCTAGGCAACATGGCAAAACTCTGTCTCTATAAAAAATACAAAAAAATGCCGGGGGCGGTGGCTCACGCCTGTAATCTCATCACTTTGGGAGGCCAGGGCATGTGGATCACACGGTCAGGAGTTTGAGACCAGCCTGACCAACATGGTGAAACCCCGTCTCTACTAAAAATACAAAAATTAGCTGTTCATGGTGGCGCGTGGCTGTAATCCTAGCTACTCAGGAGGCTGAGGCAGGAGAATTGCTTGAACCCGGAGGTGGAGGTTGCAGTCAGCCGAGATTGCGCCACTGCACTCCAGTCTGGGTGACAGAATGAGACTCCATCTAAAAAGAAATATATATATATGTGTATATATATATATGTATTTGTGTGTGTGTGTGTATATATATATTTGTGTATATATATATTTGTGTATATATATGTGTATATATATATATTTGTGTGTGTGTGTGTGTGTGTGTGTATATATATGTATATATATACAAAAAATTAGCCTGGCCTGGTGGCATGCGCCTGTAGTTTAACTACTTGAGAAGCTGAGGTGGGAAGATCGCTTGAGCCCAGGAGGTTGAGACGGCAGTGAGCTATGATTGCGCCACTGCACTCTGGCCTAGGCGACAGAGGGAGACCCTGTCTCAAAAAAATTAAAACCCCATACCCATTAACAGTCACTTCCCCTGTCCCCCTAGCAACCACTAATCTACTTTCTCTTTAGATTTGCCTGTTCTAGACACTTCATATACATGGAATCATTATGTGGTGCTTGTTGATAGTTAGAGGTGCCTGCTTCTGGTCAGTGGGACCCAGGGCCCTATGGCTTAGCAGGTGGATGGTGCCTGCACAACATAGGGAAATGGTACCCCTTTCCTCTGGCCTGGCGGAGGAAATCCTAAGGACATGAGCTCCTCGCCAGCCTCAGTCCCCAAGGGCCAGTCAGCACCCTGGGTAACCGGCCTGTGGCTGGCTGGGCAGGGGCCTTCTTGGAGATGTGGCCCATGGAGTTTCACCTGAGCCCCGCACTGCCACTCGTGTAACACCTGTGTGTCTGTTTCCCTGCTCTGAGTCTCTATTGTCTTAAAAGAAAAATGGGTGAGGTAATAACAGATTTCTTCTAATCTAAAATAGCATGGATTATTGGATGTACTGAGAAAGAAAAACAGTTTGCTAATTAAACTATGGCACACTGTCAGTCATGAAGTAGATCCTAGTTTCAGAGATGTCAAAATGTGAAAAAAAGTTCTACTTCGAATCAGTGATCTTAGCTATCACCTGGCCTGGCAGGTTGGGGTCAGTTTGAGGGTCACACCCACCAAGAAGCCAAGAAAATTTAGAAAGAATAAAGTTTCATAGGTGGGGTCTGCCTGGTCTTGGCTGTGGCTCTATGTTTAGTGGTGATGGGAGTAATAGTAATAATAATAATAATAATAATAATAATAATAATTGCTGTCATGGTTTGAGGATGTCCTCTGGGTCAAGCATCATTTAAAGCCTTTTATATGGAGGTTCTCATTGAGTCTGCACAGTGACTCAAGGACATTGGGGCTGTTATCACTAAAATCTCAGCTCCACAAGGGCTGGGACTTCATCTTGTGCCTTGTGGTATCCCCCGTGTGTAGGACAGGACCTGTCCTTTGCCAAATGCTGGGTAAACACTTGTCAGATCTGTTATCCCAGGTTTACAGATGAGGAAACCAAGGCACCAAGAGTTAACTTACCCAAAGTCCCTCCATAGGGAAATCGCAGGGTTAGGATTCAAACCCAAGCTCCGAAGCCCATGTTAGTAACTTCCATGCCTCTCTCTGAGGGAGGTTTGCTATTGTGGCGGGTGGGGGCTTGCCAAGGCTCATGGGCTGGCTCTATGATGCTTCTTTCCAGCCACCTGAGGATCCTATCATCCTCTGGGCCTAGGCTGGCTGATGGGGACTAGGGCAGAGAACCCAGAGTCCCAGTTACCCTAAATCAGTCATGGGCCCAGCATGTGTAGTGATGCAGAGAGCAAGCACTGGGGCGGGGTGGAGCTGTAAGGAGAAAGGCTGTGGTAAAGGTTTGGGAGCTCTGCCCCTTGTTTAGCATTGTGGCTTGGGGTGGGTTGCCCAACCTTTCCCTATCTCATTTTCCTCATCGGCAACTCAGGCGAATCTTAATACTGCTTAACTCACAGGGTCAGGAAGGCTCAGTTCCATCATGTGTGTGTGGAGCACTCCATGCAGGGCCTGGCATATGATGAGCATTTAATTTGTGGGAGCTGCTGTGATTGTGGTTTTGCTAATGCTATTCTCTAAAGAGGACAGTGTGAGTAATGAGCCCTGTCCAACCCCACAGCCACTTCCGAGTGGATCCAGTTCTTTAAGGAAGCCGGCATTCCTCCAGGACCTGCCGTCAATTATGCCGTGATGTTTGTGGATAATAGGTGAGGAGGCTGAACTTGGGGATGGGGTGGTGGGGAGCTGGCTGGCCCACCCACTCTGGCCCACCTGGGGCCTCACCACTGACCTTTCCCTGCAGGATTCAGAAGAGCATGCTGCTGGATCTCAATAAGGAGATAATGAATGAGCTGGGCGTGACCGTGGTGGGTGACATCATCGCCATTCTCAAGCATGCCAAAGTGGTGCACCGTCAGGTGGGTGCTGTGCCCAGCCCCTCTGTCTCTGGGTTTGGCATGGAGGTGGAGGGTCAGTTGCAGAGCCAATGGGAGGCCTGGCAGCAGAGGCAGGCCGACCCAGGTTCCAGGGCTGGTTCAGCCATTTGCTGTGTGACGCTGGGCACATTGCCCAACCTCTCTGAGCTGTATTTTCTGCATCTGTGAAAGAGAGGCAAACCTGGCCGGGTGCGGTGGCTCACGCCTGTAATCTCAGCACTTTGGGAGGCCGAGGTGGTCGGATCACGAAGTCAGGAGATTGAGACCATCCTGGCTAACACGGTGAAACCCCGTCTGTACTAAAAATACAAAAAATTAGCCGAGCGTGGTGGCGGGCACCTGTAGTCCCAGCTACTTGGGAGGCTGAGGCAGGAGAATGACGTGAACGTGGGTGGCGGAGCTTGCAGTGAGCCGAGATCGCACCACTGCACTCCAGCCTGGGCGACAGAGCGAGACTCTCTCAAGAAAAAAAAAAAAAAAAAATCTTGAATGGTGGTTGTATATATTTTTTTGAGACGGTGTCTCGCCATGTTGCCCAAGCTGGTGTCGAACTCCTGGGCTCAGGCCATCCTCCTGCCTCGGTCTCCCAAAATACTGGGATTTCAGGCATGAGCTGCTGCTCCCAGCCCTGGTTGTGAGTATTAAGCTATGTGAAGCACTAGCACAGTGGAAACTGCCTGTATTTGGGTCCCTCTGTAATAACTATTATTGCTGCTTCACATTTTCCTTGTGATAAGTATTATCTCCAGGACAGCAGCTTCCTATGTGGGACCCAGATGGCAACCTGGCTCACAACCTGGACATTCCAGTCTTGACCCCTCCACTTATAGTGACCCACCTTCCTGGATCTCTTTGAAATGGGCTTCTCACACAGCCCTGATGCTAGTGTGGCTGTGGCCACCTACCAGATAGTATATGTGGCCTTGAGCACCAGACCTGGAGTGCTGTACTCATTAAGTGATTAATATAATAGCTAACACTTACCAAGCACTTGCTGTGGCCTGCCAGGCACTGTCTCCCTCCCTCCCTTCCTCCCTCCCTCCCTCCCTCCCTCCTTCCCTCCTTCCCTTCCTCCTTCCCTCCCTCCCTCCTTCCCTTTCTCCCTTCCTTCCTTCCTCCCTCCCTCCCTCCCTACCCCCCTTCCTTCCTTCCTTTCTTCACTTGTTTATTATTTATTTTTGAGACAGGGTCTCACTCCATCGCCCAGGCTGGAGTGCAGTAGCACTATCTCGGCTCACTGCAACCTCTGCCTCCCAGGTGCAAGTGATTCTCCTACCTCAGCCTCCTGAGTAGCTGGGATTACAGGCATGTGCCCCTGTGCCTGGCCTCTTTATTTTATTTAATTGAGACAGAATCCTGCCCTGTTGCCAGGCTGGAGTGTAGTGGTGCTGTCTTGGCTCACTGCAGTCTCCACCTCCCAAGTTCAAGAGATTCTCGTACCTCAGCCACCCGAGTGATTGGGATTACAGGCGTGCGCCACCATGCCCAGCTAGTTTTTATAATTTTAGTAGAGATGGGGTTTTGCCATGTTGCCCAGGGTGGTCTTGAACTCCTGGCCTCAGGTGATCCACCTGCCCCGGCCTCTCAAAGGGCTGGGATTACAGGTGTGAGCCACCGTACCTGGCCATCTTTCACCTATTTTGGAGACAGGGTCTCACTCTGTTGCCCAGGCTAGAATGCAGTGGTACAATCACAGCTTACTGCAGCCTCAAACTCCTGGGCTCAAGCAATCCTACCACCTCAGCCCCTGAATAATTGGGACTACAGGTGTGTGACACCATGCTTGGCTAGTTTTTTAATTTTTTCTAGAGATAAGCGTCCCACTGTGTTGGCCAGGCTGGTCTCAAACTCCTGACCTCAGGTGATCCACCCGCTTCGGCCTCCCGAAGTGCTGGGATTACAGGCGTGAACCACCGCACCTGGCCTATTTTTTCAATAGGTGAGGAGGCTGAACTTCAGATATATATATCTGAATATACTGGTCAGATATTTTATAGAGTGTCCCTCAGTTTGGAGGTATCTGATGCTTTCTTATGGTTAGGAGTGAAATGTGTTAGAATCTTCTCTAGCAGTCAGGTGTTGATCCTTGTGGTGTTGCTTAGATCTCTAGGTTGATGCATGATTCTTCTGTGGTGACCCAGGTGCCTGTTCTTTTTTCACAGGACATGTGCAAAGCTGCCACTGAGTCAGTACCCTGCAGCCCTAGCCCCCTTGCAGGCGAAATTCGCCGTGGCACCAGTGGTGAGTCCTAACTATTCAGGCCTCTTTTCCTTGATTTTTATACCCTGTCAGTGAAGGGGACACGTCTGGCCATCCCATCCCCGCCTGTAATTTTCAAAGGTAGAAACAAAGCCATTGGAGGAATTCTTACTCTTCTTTTAGGGGAAAAAATAAACTGGGTAGTGAATGGCTGTACACACAGTCAATTGTCATCTGTGGTCATTAAGTTCTGTAAAGTTAATATGTACACTTAGTGAATTCTTAGCTCCTAGAAGAAATACAGAGCAATGGAGAATCCGTTGCTCCTATGGGAAATACTAGGTTAGGTTCCTGCAAGCCTGTCGTCAAATATATAGCTTTATTTTATGTGTGTCTCCTTTTAAAGGCACTGTAGTTAATACATAATGTTGATTTCATTAACCGGGAACTCATAGCCAACAACACTGTAACTCATTCCTGCACAATGCTTATCTCACACACACATTTTTTTGATCAGGTACATCATACCCTTCTTACATTTAGGAAGCCAGACAGCACTTCAACACTGTGCTTTGAGGGCCATTTTATTTATTTATTTATTTATTTATTTATTTATTTTCTTATTTATTTATTTATTTTGAGATGGAGTCTCTGTTGCCCAGGCTGGAGTACAGTGGCACGATCTCAGCTCACTGCAACCTCCACCTCCCGGGTTCAAGCGATCCTCCTGCCTCAGCCTCCTAAGTAGCTGGGATTACAGGCACCTGTCACCACACCCGGCTAATTTTTGTATTTTTAGTAGAGACGGGGTTTCACCATCTTGGCCAGGCTGGTCTCGAACTCCTGACTTCAAGTGATCTGCCTGCTTCGGCCTCCCAAAGTGCTGGGATTATAGGCGTGAGCCACTGCTCCCGTCCAGGGGGCTATTTTAAACAGCAAAATCACCAACAAAAATGTGAAAAATGTTCACATTCATGACATCAAGTAGACTGGGCAAAGGATGCTTGTTTACAGAGCGGGACCTGAAATAAGAGGGTGAGAATGCCTTCTTTGTCCTCATTTGGGAACGTGTCTGGAGCAACTCAAAATGTTCTCTGTGTGTGTCTGTGAATGACAGTGAAAGCACTGCTGTATTGATTTTGGGGTTACAAATACATTTGAATGAGTAGGCAAGTTTGCAAATATGGAATCTATGAATGATGAGTATTGACTGTATTTATATTTTTTCTTTTTCTTTTTTTTTTTTGAGATGGAGTCTCCCTCTGTTGCCCAGGCTGGAGTACAGTGGCGCGACCTTGGCTCAGTGCAACCTCCGCCTCCCGGGTTCAAGCAGTTCTCCTGCCTCAGCCTCCCGAGTAGCTGGGATTACAGGTGCCTGCCACCACGCCTGGCTAATTTTTGTATTTTTAGTAGACAGAATTTCACCCTGTTGGCCAGGCTGGTTTTGAACACCTCAGGTGATCCACCCGCCTCAGCCTCCCAAAGTGCTGGGGTTATAGGCGTGAGCCACCACTGCACCTGACCTTTTTTTTTTTCCCTTGAGATAGTCTCGCTGTGTTGCCTACGTTGGAGTGCGATGGCACGCTTAGCTAACTGCAAACTCTGCCTCCCAGGTTAAGTGATTCTTGTGCCTCAGTCACCCAAGTATCTGGGATTACATGTGTGTGCCACCATGCCCAGCCAATTTTTGTATTTTTAGTAGAGACAGAGTTTTGCCACATTTGCCAGGCTAGTCTTGAACTCTTGACTTCAAACGATCCACCTGCCTCAGCCTCCCAAAGTGCAGGCATGAGCCACTGCACCTGGCTATTTTTGGTTTTTAAAAGCAGTATGATACCATTTTTTTTTTTTTTTGAGATGGAGTTTCGCTTTTGTGGCTCAGGCTGGAGTGCAATGGCATGATCTTGGCTCACTGCAACCTCCACCTCCTGGGTTCAAGCGATTCTCCTGCCTCAGCCTCCTGAGTTGCTGGCATTACAGGTGCCTGCCACCATGCCCAGCCAATTTTTGTTATTTTTAGTAGAGATGAGGTTTTACCATGTTGGCCAGGCTGGTCTCGAGCTCCTGACTGTAGGTGATCCACCCACCTTGGCCCCCCAAAGTGTTGGGATTACAGCCATTAGCCACCGCACCCGACAGATACCTTTTTTAAAAATAAACTTTAAAATTTTAATATACACATTAGCTTCCCTTTGCTGATAACTAAGCCGCCCAAAACTGTGCTTTAAAACACAGACATGTATTTTTATTTTTTGAGATGGGAGTCTCACTCTGTTGCCCAGGCTGGAGTGTAGTGGTGCAGTCATAGCTCACTGTAGCCTCAAAGTCCTGGGCTCAAGTGATCCTCCTGCCTCAGCCTCCTGAATAGCTGGGATTACAAGCACAAGCCACCATGTCTTGCTAAAACATGGGTGTTTATTTCTCATGATTTTGTGGGTTGGCTGGTCAGTTCTGCTCTAGGCCAGCTCAGCTGATTTTAGTGGTCACCTGGCAGCTAGGTTGAAGCCGGGTTGACGGCCGCATTCACATATCTGATGGTTGTCCTGATGTTATCTGGGCCCACAGGGTGACTTGGCTACGTGTCCATAATTATCTAGCTGGCTAGCCTGGGCTTGTTCACAGTGGTGGTTGCAGGGTTCCTAAAAGCAGCAGAAGAGGGCTGGCCCCAGTGTGCAAAGCACCTCTTAAGCCACTGCTTGCACAACATTTGCTCTTGTCCTGTTGGCCAAAGCAAGTTACATGGCTAAGTCCACAGTCATTGTGGGTAGGGCCTACCCAAAGATGTGGATGCAAAGAAGCTGAGCAAATTAGGGTTCGTTTCTGCAACACTCCTCCATAACATACATTCAGAAAAGCATTCACCCATAATATTACAGTGGGGTGCCATTCACAGATGGGACACCCATGTAGCCAGCACCCAAATCCAGTAATGGAAACATGACCAGCCTGCCAGAATCCCCCTGTGCCCCCTCCCAGCCACCACATTGTCTCCAGGGTACCCACTACCCTGATTGCTAACAGCACACATTAGTTTTACCAGTCTTTCAAATCTTTATAAATGAAATGTTCAGCTGGGTATGGTGGCCCATGCCTTTAATCCCAGCACTTTGGGAGGCCCAGGTGGGAAGATCACTTGATGCTAGGCATTTGAGACCAGCCTGGGCAACATAGTGAGACCCTGTCTCTACAAAAATTAGTAAATTAGCTGTGGGAGGCTTGGGAGGCTGAGGTGGGAGGATTGCTTGAGCCCAGGACTTTGAGGCTGCAGTGAGTTATGATGGCACCACTGTACTCCATCATCGTGGGCAACAGAGTGGGACCCTGTCTCAAAAAAAAAAAAAAAAAAAAAAAAGAGGGCCGGGTATGGTGGCTCACGCCTGTAATCCCAGCATTTTGGGAGGCCAAGGTGGGCAGATCATGAGGTCAGACCTCGAGAGATCGAGACCATCCTGGCTAACATGGTGAAACCCCATCTCTACTAAAAATACACAAAAAAATTAGCCGGGCATGGTGATGGGCGCCTGTAGTCCCAGCTACTCGGGAGGCTGAGGCACGAGAATGGTGTGAACCTGGGAGGCAGAGCTTGCAGTGAGTCAAGATCGCGCCACTGCACTCCAGCCTGGGCGACAGAGCGAGACTCTGTCTCAAAAAAAAAAGAAAAAAAAGAAAGGGAAAGTAAATGAAAATAAATAAATAAAAAGAGAAGGGGAAACAGGCAAAGAAAGAAAGGGGTGGGAAGAATGCTCTAAAAACATTCCTGAGATGATCACTTTTACACACTTTAGAACATTGAATGATGTGTCTGTCAGGAGTGGGAAAGAGAACAGTTCTTTGTATTCTGATATCCTGACTGCAACGCAAATGCAAGACAGAGTAAAGACAGAGTTGGTTGCTTAACCGCCACCCAAATGGGGCTTGCCTGTCATGACAATAAAGCATCACATTCCTGACATCTTTTCAGCTGCAGATTTCCCTCTGGGTACAGCAGGACAGGTAGGGCCCTCTTAACAGCTTGCCTTTTATAGCAGAAAATCCTGATCCTATTGCACTCAGCTAGGTAAAGAGTATTGTGAATGGAGGCTCTCACAGGACAGATTCTGCATAGCCAGAGAGTTTGCAGCCATTAGACATAAAGCCACCCATCCAACCTGAAAAATGTCTGAAGAAGTGCTGGGGTATATTATTAACAGAGGAGAGAGAGCAGGCCTGAAAACCAAGAATTTCTTCCTGCAGAGAGGGAGGAGGTCTGATAGGGAAGGATCTGTCCTGGGACTTCTGGGTACCAATAATGTCATGATGCCTGGGTGCTGGGTGCTTGGGGGTCACGTTTTATTAAATGTTCTGTGATGGTTTAATGTAGTTTTCTTTCTTTTTCCCCCCTGTTTTTGAGACTGGGTTTCACTCTGTTGCCCAGGCTGGAGTGCAGTAGTGCGATCACAGCTCACTGCAGCCTTGACCTCCTGGGCTCAAGTGATTCTCTTGCCTCAGCCTCCTGAGTATCTGGGACTACAGGCACATGCCACCATGCCTGGCTGATTTTTTGTATTTTTGGTAGAGATGGGATTTTGCCATGTTGCCCAGGCTGGTCTTGAACTGGGTTCAAGTGATCCATCCCCCTAGGCCTCCCAAAGTGCAGGGATTACAGGCATGCGCCCTTGTGCCTGTCCTCAGAAACCACTTTAGGCACTGGGATACAGCAGTAAACAGACACAGCCTCCTCGTGGAGCTTATGTTCTTGTGAGTGAGTTTACCAGTAAACAAATAGAGTTTAATGTCAAGCAGTTGTAAGGGCTGTGAAGAAAATGAAAGTGGGTAAGGGTGATAGAGGTTGAGGAGGTGCTGTTTTTGATGGGGTGGTCAGGGAAGTTTTCTCTGAGGAGTTGCCATCAGAGAGGAGGCCTGAATGATGAGACGCAGCAATTCCGCTGTGCTTGGGGAACTGCATGCCAGGCAGAAGGAACAGCAGGGACCCTGAGGAAGCGCCTACTTGCTAGGTGAGGAAGATCCTGGAGACCAGCATGGCTGAAGCAGCTCCGGGAGGGGCGAAGCGAACTCAGCACGAGGCTGGGTGACTGATGGGTGAGGTGTGATCAGAACTAGTGTGGTCTAGAGCCTCAGGAAAGGCTCCCAGGATAGGGAGGGATGGGCTAGTTCCTGGGGAGATGCAGCCCACCCTGCCCCCAAGCATCCCCATCACGAGTACCATGCAGTTACAGGGTGATACCCGCTGACCTTCTCATTCAGTCTCAAGCCTCACCTTCTCCATCCTGACCCTGAGACTGCTGGATTGAGGCCTGTCTTCCAGGACCCCACCCGACCGGACTCTCCTTTTCTCCCCACAGCTGCCTCCCGAATGATCACCAACAGCCTGAACCATGACTCTCCACCCAGCACACCCCCCAGGCGCCCGGACACCAGCACCTCCAAGATCTCGGTCACTGTGTCCAACAAGATGGCAGCAAAGAGTGCCAAGGCCACTGGTGAGGGAACATGGGCAGGTGGTAGGAGGAGCTGGAGGGGAACGTGGGTTGGTAGGAGGTGTTGGGGGTCATGCTTCCAATATTGTAAGGTGCTTTGAAGGCCACAAGGTATACAAAACATTTGAACCTGAATCACCTCTGTAAACTTGGTCAAGGTGCCATACGTCTGTGGGCCTCACTTTCTTCATCTGTAGCATGGGGGGTGGCGATACCCCACCCAGGAGGATGGACAGAAGCACCTGAGTTGGTGTGTTGAGGCATGTGTGCATTGCCTTCTCACTCAGGGGTTCACGCTTTGTGAACAGGTCTTCACCGAGCCCCCTACTTGTGCACAGCTCTGTGCTTGATGCCTGGGGTCATAGGTTAAGAACCTCTTGCCTCCTCTTAGCAGCCAAGGGATCCATCCTTGAAAACCTTCAGTCTGATCCTGTAACCCCCTGGGCTGTAACTCTCCGGGGCTCCCCATTATTCCAGTAATAAAGGCCATCTTCCCCACATGGTCTGTAGGGCCCTGCATCATGTAGATTCATCTCTTGCATCGCCCCACTTTGCATGCTCGCTTGCTCCCCTCCAGCCTCCTTCCCATCATGGGGCCTTTGCTCCTGGTGACCCCTTGGCCTGAGCACTCTTCCTTCCCAGACTGCTCCATGTTGGCCTCTGTCCTCCTCCAGGTCTCAGCTTGAGAGCTGGGAATGGGCCTGCAGTCACTGGGCTCCCAGGCCTTCCCGTCCACCATGCTCTTAAGCCTTTGCTGGACCCATCCCCACAGCAATGACCTCATGGTGTCATAAGGCAAATGTGGAAACTGAGGCCCAGGGCGCTTCATGTTTCTGACACCCACTCCTATCACGCCCCGTCCACCTCCATCACAAAGTCTCCCCTTTGTCCTGCAGGTTTGGAAGTGCCTCACCCTCTTCTGGCCTTTGATTTGTGTGCCACAAGCAAAAAAGTTAAAATCAGGCTGGGCATGGTGGCTCACGCCTATAATCCCAGCACTTTGGGAGGCTGAGGCAGGAGGATCACTTGAGCCCAGGAGCTCAAGACCAACCTGCACAAGATGATGAAACCCTGTCTCTACATTTAAAAAAAAAAAAAAAAAGGCTGGGCGGGGTGGCTCACACCTGTAATCCCAGAACTTTGGGAGGCCGAGGTGGGCGGATCACCTGAGGTCAGGAGTTCAAGAGCAGCCTGACCAACATGGTGAAACCCCATGTCTACCAAAAATACAAAAATTAGCTGGGCGTGGTGGCGCATGCCTGTAATCCCAGCTACTTGGGAGGCTGAGGCAGGAGAATCGATTGAACCTAGGAGGCAGAGGTTGTAGTGAGCTGAGATCGTGCCATTGCACTCCAGACTGGGCAACAAGAACAAAAACTCAGTCTCAAAAAAAAAAAAAAAAAAAAAAGTTAAAATCAGTGTAACAAAGTATTGCGAAGATGGCGAGCCTGGGAGCAACTGGCTCTTTTAACCCTTAACACGTTTGAGGGGATTCATTTTTTAAATTGAGGTGTAACTTATGCACAATCCACCACTCATAAGTGTACACAGCTCAAGTGCTTGTTGACAAGTGAGTGCAGCCATAAAGCACTGCCTGCTTGGAGCTCTAGAACCTTTCCACCACCCAGCAGGTTCCCCATCCGAGGGGATGTGGGCTGGGCTGGGCCAGAAGCCTGCTTGGAATAGGGACAGAGCCACAGAAAGCCTGGGAGGCCTGCCACAGCCTGGGGATTCTGAGCACCTTCTGTGACCTCGTGTAACAGAGACCTGAGTTTCTCTGTGGTTCGGTCAGTGGTGATGTGGGTGGTTGGGAAGGTAAGGGATTCCAGTCATGAATGTGTGGAGATAAAGGACACCTAGTGTCCAGCTTCCATCCTGGGAGAACGTTCTGTCTCAGAGAGTGCTGATACCCCTGCTTTCTTCCCCCAGCAGCCCTGGCCCGCCGGGAGGAGGAGAGCCTGGCTGTTCCTGCCAAGCGGCGCCGGGTCACTGCTGAGATGGAGGGGAAGTACGTCATCAACATGCCCAAAGGCACCACACCCCGCACCCGCAAGATCCTGGAGCAGCAGCAGGCTGCAAAAGGTACTGGCCCATCAGGGGCATGCTTCCCTGCGGGGTCCATGTCCCTCCCTCTGCATCACACAGGGCCCGTCATATCCTACAGACGGTGGCTGAGAAGCAGGTTCTAACGGGGATGCAGGAGCCGTAGGCCAAGGGGACAGTGATGGTGGCTGCAGAGGAGGGAAATACATCACCTCTGCCCTCTGATCCTGCAGTTAGTGTAGCTGGGCCCCTTGGCACCTCTTCCCCAAGGGGCAGGAGCAACGATAGAGTGATGGCCTGCTGTAAAATGAGTGGCTGTGCTTGGCCAAGGGCAAATACCCCAAAGTGGCACCGTTAATATGAACCAGAGGAGACGAGTGGAGATATAGTCCAAAGCTAGGCCTTCTGACTTGGAGTACAGAGATGATCTCTTGGTCGGGTGTGGTGACGCACACCTGTAATTCCAGCACTTTGGGAGTCTGAGGTGGGAAGATTGCTTGAGCCTAGGAGTTCAAGCGTGCAACATAGTGAGCCCCTATCTCTATTAAAAAGGCTGGGCGCGGTGGCCCATGCCTGTAACTCCAGCACTTTCAGATGATACAGAAACATATTCAGTAAAAACAAACTCTTTTCCCTCACTCCCATATCCCCGTCTCTTGTTAACCTTTCCAGACCAGCATCTAGGTACATACATAACACATATATAGGCAGTTTTTTGTTTTTTAGTTTTAATTTTTATTTTTTTGTGATAGGGTCTCACTTCATCACCCAGGCTGGGGTTCAGTGGCACCTTGTCAACTCACTGCAGTCTCCTCGACCTCCCAGGTTCAAGCAGTCCTGCCTCAGCCTCCCGAGTAGCTGGGACTACAGGCTCATGCCACCATGCCCACCTAATTTTTGTATTTTTTGTAGAGAGGGGGTTTTGCCATGTTGCCCAGGCTGGTCTCAAACTCCTGAGCTCAAGTGATCTGCCTGCTTCACCTTTCCAAATTGCTAGGATTACAGGTATGAGCCACCACACTCAGCCTAGTTTTTCTTTTTTAAACACAAATAGTATTTGTGTTTAAAATGTAAGTATTGTTCTATAACTTTTTTTTTTTTTTGAAACGGAGTCTTGCTCTGTTACGCAGGCTGGAGTGCAGTGGCACAATCTTGGCTCACTGCAACTTCCGCTTCCTGAGTTCAAGTGATTCTCCTGCCTCAGTCTCCCAAGCATCTGGGATTACAGGTGCACGCCACCGTGCCCAGCTAATTTTTATATTTTTAGTAGAGACGGGGTTTCATCATGTTGGCCAGGCTGGTCTCAAACTCCTGACCTCGGGTGATCCACCTGCCTTGGCCTCTCAAAGTGCTGGGATTACAGGCGTGAGCCACCATGCCTGGACCTAACTTTTCTTTTCTTTTTTTTTTTTTGAGACAGAGTCTTGCTCTGTTGCCTGGGCTGGAGTGCTGTGGTACGAACACGGCTCACTGCAGCCTCGACCTCCTGGGTTCCTACCTTACCTCCCCAGTAGCAGGGACTATAGATGTGGGCCACCACGCCCAGCTAATTTTTAAATTCTGGTTTCTAACTCTTAGGCTCATGCGATCTGCCCACCACCACCTCCCACCATGTTGGGATTACAGACATGAGTCACCACTCTTGGCATGTTCTATAACTTTTTTGTTCATATATATATATTTAGACATGGGGTCTCACTATATTACCCAGGTTGTTCCCAAACTCCTGGGCTCAGGTGATCCACCTGCCTCAGCCTCCCAAAGGGATTACAGGTACACCCTGCCATGCCTGGCCCATGTTCCATAAATTTTTTGTTGAGATCTTCTCATATTAATGCAGGTAGATCTTCTTCATTCTTTTTTCAATGGTTGTTTATTATTTCCAGAGTATTCATATACCATAATTTAGTAACCATTCTATTGATGGCTATTAGGTTATAATTTAGGGGAGGATGCACTACCACTCATCAGATTCTCTCAGAGGTCCCTGACCCCAAGAAGTGAAAGGAACATGCAGGCACTAAGAACTCTTCCCGTGCACACAGTTCATGAGCTAGTGCTGAGGTGTAGGGAATCTGCCACTTGTAGCTGGTCTTTCCCACATTTGGCTCTAGCCAGATAGGGGTGGGTTAGGGTCAGTGTGAGCCAACAGTGTAGACATAACACCCAACTCAGCACAGTCTGGCCCTGCCTGTCCCAGAGCTACTGGTGTCTGGGCTGCCTTGGTGTCTGTACAGAGCTCAGCCTAGGCCTGGCCCACCGGGGCCTCTCCCTGATGGCTTCACTTCCCTCCCAGGTCTCCATAGGACGTCTGTGTTTGACCGCCTCGGCGCCGAGACCAAGGCAGACACCACGACAGGGAGTAAAGTGAGTGGGGATGGGGGAGCGATTCTGGGCGTGCGAGCTGTTGTCTTCCCTGAGCGGTGCTCCTGACTCTTTAACACATCTCAACCTCACTCGGCCCAGGGCCGTCTAACCTGCCTTTCCAGCCTCAGTTCCTGGCTTTGCACTGGCGGCTTTCCCATCTGTCTTCTGCCCTGGCTTCTCTCCCAGTTTCCAGCCCTGGGGGTCCAGTACTCCTGGATGCCTCCCACCCACCATGTCCCCAACTGGTCTTAGTGTCTTTCCCCAAGTCAGCCCTCTCCTGGGCCCCCATCTGAGGGCTGCCTGCCCTCCCCATTGCAGTCTGTCAGTGGGTCTGATGACTCTACTGTCTCTCCCTCCTCTGCCACCTCTCCCTGTCAGGATAGGATGATAGCCTCCTGAATGGTCTCGCACAGTTACCATGGACCCCAGCCCCTATCCCCACAGCAGCAGTGTGTGCGGCCCACAGGACAGGGCCCGTCCCCTCACTGGAAGCCCTGCAGAGGCTCTTCACTGTGCCCATGATGCAGCCTGTACTTCCTGCCGCGGCCCGCAGTCCCACAGGCCCCAGGCCTGGTGTGTAGCTCAGAGTACACCCTGAAGCCCACAGGGGCCTGACTGCGTGGCTTTGGCCATGTCACTTAAGTCCTTTGTACTTCAGCCTCCTCATCTGTATAGACCCACCTCCAAGGATGGCTGTAGAGTTAAGATCATCCCCGCATGGTGCTGGGGTGTGCGGCGCCTGTTGGTGAACTATTGCAGAGCCTCCCAGCTGCGTTTCCTGCCTGCCAGTGTCCTGCTCTGCAGGGTGCAGCAACTCGGGCTTGCTCACTTCCAAGAATCTTACCATGAGGAGGATGGGAACACTCGGGATCATGTGGCTGGAAGTTCCAGCCCTATGAAGAGCTGGGCGCATAGCGAGTGCTCAATACATAGGATTATACTTCCTGCCTTCAGGGCATAGCACATACTCTTTTCTTTGCTAATTCATCTTGGAGGGCCTGGCTTCAAAGTTGGTGCCTCAGGGAAAGTTCCTCTGGACTGATGAGGAGCCACCCCTGTCTTCTGCCCTCCAGCTGTCCTTCTCCGTCTAGAATGCGTTACTGTCATTCTTGCAGAATTATTTGTGTCATTTCTGATGCCAAGCCTGTCTTCCCCACTGGACTGTGAGCCCCATGCGGGCAGCGCTGAGGCTGTCTTGGTCATCACTGTGTCCCTAGCACTGCCGGCCTAGGACCAGGTACAATATAGAATTGGGACTCAAAATATTCGTGGAGTGAATGACCAGATTAATCTCTCCACTCCACTCATGCCCACCTATTGACCTTGCAAATGACATTCCCTTTGTGCGGCACTCCCGTCCTCTTCCCTCTTTCTTAGACCTACTTCCAGCTCAGATGTCCCCCCTCTCAGGGCGCCCTCCCTGAACTTCTAGGAAGGTCAGGTACTTCCTCTGGGCTCCTCCAGTCCCCTGGACTCCCCCATCATGGCTCTCGCCACTATCTGGGGTGTCAGTGATGGGTGTTTCTCCCAACTGTGAGTCCCAGGAGGCCAGGCACAGAGGAAGCAGCTCTCCATGAATGTGTGTTGAGTGACTCAGTGACTCATTCATCCTGTCTCTGACCTCCACAGCCCACAGGAGTCTTCAGCCGCCTGGGGGCCACCCCAGAAACGGACGAGGATCTGGCTTGGGACAGCGACAATGACAGCAGCAGCTCTGTCTTGCAGTATGCCGGGGTCCTGAAGAAGCTAGGACGGGGCCCAGCCAAGGCCAGTCCCCAGCCAGCACTGACTGTCAAAGCCAAGGCCACAAGCTCAGCGACAACGGCTGCTGCCCCGACACTGCGGCGCCTGGCGCTTTCCTCACGGTCTGGGCTTGAGAGGAAGCCGGAGTCCTTGTCTAAAGTCAGCATCATCAAGAGACTGGGCGCAGCTGCCCTTGTGCCCGAGGCCCAGGACAGCCAGGTCACCAGCACCAAGAGTAAGTCCTCAGCCGAGGTCAAGGTCACCATTAAGAGGACTCTGGTGGGGCCCCGGGGGAGCAGCTCCAGCGAGGGCCTTGGTGCCCAGATGGACCACGCGGGCACTGTGAGCGTGTTCAAAAGACTGGGCCGCAGGACCTTCTAGCCCACCTGTGGGCGGGGTGCAGGCAGCAGAGCCTGCGGGCATCTGCCCTGGCCGCCCCAGGCTCCTGGCTTCATCACGCCTCCCACCAGCTCCTGGATGACACAGCTTGTCTCCCTCGGGCTCTAGAGCTAGGCCCGAGCATTCGGGGGATCACCCCATTTCTCCTAGCCTGGGATGGTCGTCGCAGCTGGCCTGGCCTGCTCCAGGACTCCCCTTCTCTCATGTCCTCTGTGCTTTCTTCTCTGGCTGTGGCCTTGGCAGAACCCACTTTTCTACCTCTCCCAAGTGCCAGGGGGCTTCTTCCTCTCCTACATTCCCCTTCTTCCCCTGAGCAGGGTCTGCTGCCTCAGACCCCAGCTCATCAGCCTCCCTGTCCCCCTCAACTAAGTGGGTGTCACCTGGTGGGCCTCCCTTCCCCCACTCCCCACTGACCTCCCTCACTCCTCTGCGCCTCCCCCCACTGCTGTGACTTCTCTCTCTCCCTGTCTTCACTTTGTTCATTTCTCTTCTGTTTTCTGTCCCCGTGGCAAGGCCCGACTGTCCGCTGCGTCCTGCCCGACCCTCCTGTACCTCCGGCCTCCCAGCGGCCCCCTCGTCGGCGGTGGCGTCGAGCCTGTTGAGACTGTTAGCCGCCCTCTACTCCCAGGCTGGAGGGACCTCTCCAGACCCTGGGCTGCGGCTGAGGCGCATCCGTTTTCCTGCCCTGGGCATCTGTCTCTGAAAGTGTATGGCGGGTGGTGGGCAAGGGGCACTGGGAAGGGAGGCCAGTGCCTAGAGTGAAGACAGCTGCTGTTTTAATATATTTTTGTGACTTTCAAATCATTTCCCCCACTCCTTCAGGGTGAGTTGCAGGACTGTTTCACACTATGCGCAGCTGGGCTGGGGATGGTGGCAGAGGATTGGGCTGTGTCTCTAAAGGTCAGGCTTCCTGCACACACATGGTCCATGTCCCTGCTGCAAGCCCTGAGTCAGGGGGAGTAATGGCCACAGTCACCATTCAGTTAGGCCGCCCCCTGCCCCCAATAAGCCGTAGTGGTTTTGTCACTCTATCCCCTCCCCCCATGGATTTCACCTGCCTGCTGGCACCTTTCCAAATGATGGGCTCCGTTTGTGAGACCATGAGTTTCCACTGGTTTGGTCGCCCACCCCTCCCTGCTGCACAGCGCCCCTGAGCCAGGCCTGTCCTAGGAGCTGGTAGCAGGTAGTGAGCAGGGCCTCTCCAGGGATGGGGTGTAGGTAAAGCGGTGGTGCTGGCCAAGGAATCTGAGGAGTGGGAGAAAGTGGCCAGGGCCGCTTCAGTGGTTGTGGATAGGAAGGCCTTGCAGAAGGGGTGACATGGAGGCCAAGTTGGGAATGTGGCTTCATGAAGTTCAGGAGGAGAGCTTTCAGACAGAGGGACAGCCAGGGGCAGAGGTGCTGAGGTGGGACAAGGAACAGGAAGAAGGCTGGTGGCTGTGGGTGAGGGTGGGCCCTGCCTCCAGCATGAGGCAGAGGTGGGTGGGCAGGGGCTAGGTGGCTGGGGGTGTTGTGATCAAGGAGGAGGAATGTGCACAGTGACCCGGGAGTGCTGGATCGGGAGGATTTGGAGCTGGGATGTGCTGAGCTGAGTTTCATTTAGGATCATCGCTCTGGCTTCTGTGAGGAGAAGGAATGGCTGGGAGGGCTGGGGTGGATGCCACTGCAGCAGTCCAGGCAGGAAGCCAGGATGGCTGCGAGGGCATGGCAGTGGGGAGCAGGGAAGAGGGCCGCTTGGGCTGCTTAGGGTGTGCTTTGGAGGAAGAGCTGTGGGATGTGCTGATGGGTTGGAAGTTGGGGCTAGAGAAGATGAGAATCATAGGGCCCGCCTAGATGTTAGACCGGAGCATCTGGGGGAACGGCTGTTAACAGAGAAGGGGAGACGGGAGGAAGGTCAAGGAAGAGGGAGCTGTGTTCTGACTGCATTGCGCCTGTTAGGGTCCCCGCTGGGGCTCAGGCGGACACCTGGGCTGGGGGTTCATGGCTGCTGACAGTGCGCAGGGTACAGCTGGAATCAAAGCCAAGGGCCTTGGCTGGGCGTGGTGGCTTACGCTTGTAATCCCAGCAGTTTGGGAGGCCAAGGCGGGTGGATCACAAGGTCAGGAGTTCGAGACCAGCCTGGCCAAGATGGTGAAACCCCGTCTCTACTAAAAATACAAAAATTAGCCGGGTGTGGTGACAGGTGCCTGTAATCCCGGCTACTTAGGAGGCTGAGGCAGGAGGATCGCTTGAACCCGGGAGGTGGAGGTTGCAGTGAGCTGAGATCGTGCCACTGCACTCCAGCCTAGGCAACAAGAGCGAGACTCCATCTCAAAAAAAAAAAAAAAAAAAGCCAAGGGCCTGGTAATACCAGCTGGAAAGGGATCATAGAGATTGGAGGGAATCTGGGGCCCTTTCCCTGTTTAGAGAACAGGAACTGACAAAAAGAGACAGCCTAGGAGAGGTCAGGGGGTTGGAGGAGAATTAATGAGAGAGCAGGTAAAGATGAGACTAGATCTCATCCGTTTATTTATTTATTTTCATTGTGTGAAAATATACCTCGTGAAATTTACAATTTTAACCATTTTATTTTATTTTTATTGTTTATTTTTTTTTTGAGTTAGAGTTTTGCTCTTGTTGCCCAGGCTGGAGGACAATGTCATGATCTTGGCTCACTGAAACCTCCACCTCCAGGGTTCCAGCTATTCTCCTGCCTCAGCCTCCCTGGTAGCTGGGATTACAGGCACCTGCCACCACTCCCAGCTAATTTTCATATTTTTAGTAGATGGGGTTTCACCACGTTGGCCAGGCTGGTCTCGAACTCCTGACCTTAGGTGATCCGCCCGCCTCAGCCTCCCAAAGTGCTGGGATTACAGGTGTGAGCCACTGCGCCTGGACCATTTTAACTATTTTAAACTGTACCATTCAGTGGCATTAAGTACTTTCACACTGTTGTGTACCCTTCGCCATCATCCATCTCCAGAACTTCTTTCATCTTCCTAAATCCATTATTTTCAGTTTTTCAGTTACGTCATATTGGGGGCTGACTGTGTGTCATGCAGTGTCCCAGGCACTGGGGATGGGGTGTGAAGGGCCGGACTTCAGGATGAGGGACAACTGTAGAGAGCAGTAATAGATGCCTTTCTCTGTGGGGGCCCAGGCTAGACCCTCCTGAGACTGGCTGAGGCCTGACCTCAAAGGACAGCAAATGCTGGCCCTCAGATTCCAGGGGCCGCCCCTTCAGGTCATTGCCACCAGGAAGAGCTCACACATGCGCACTTTCCCTGCTGAGCTTCAGCCTTCTTTGTTTCCTAATAATTTCCTCTGATTCTACTTCATAGGTAATTTTAACAACTGCTGGGGTGAACTGGAAGAGTTCCAGTTGCTAAATTTAAGAGCCATGGTAATTTCTCAATGTGTAATAGGAACTGCAATGATATAAAAACATATATAGGTAATTTACCACACAGGGTTTAGCTGTGCCAGGGAGATTCTCTTATTGTTGCGCTTTACAGAGGCACAGAGAGGGGAGTTAACTGCTGAAGGCCTCACCCAGCTGGCGGGTGGCAGGACTGAGTTTGACCCCAGGGAGCAGACTTCAGAATCCTTGCCCGTTAATCCCTACCCTGTGGTGCCTTTTAAAAATTTTTATTTTATTTTATATTTTATGGAGACGAGGTCTCACTATGTACCCTATGCTGGGCTCGAACTCTTGGGATCAAGTGATCCTCTCTCACCGGCCTCCCAAAGTGCTGGGATTACAGACATGAGCCACTGCACCCAGCCACCTGGGCTGCCTTGATAGCAGATTTGAAACATAGCCCTTTTGGAGAAGGGTCAAGGCGGAGGTCTTAAGACAGTGATTTTGGACCTGGCATGGTGGCTTACGCCTGTAATCCCAGCACTTTGGGAGGCTGAGGCAGGTGGATCACTTGGAAGTCAGGAGTTCAGGACCAGCCTGGCCAACATGGCAAAACCCCATCTCTACTAAAAATACAAAAATTGGCCGGTGTGTTGGTGCACGCCTGTAATCACAGCTACTTGGGAGGCTGAGACACGAGAATCACTTGAACCCAGGAGGCGGAGGTTGCCGTGAGCAGAGATCATACCACTACACTCCAGCCTGGGCGACAGAGTGAGACTGTCTCAAAAAAAAAAACAAAAAAAAAACAGTGGATTTGGACTCTCTAGAGTTGTCCATGTGTAGATGTCCGCACCAACCTTATTGGCTTGTCCTAGGAAGCATTTGCAGCTAGGATGCTGCTCGCCTTGAGAGCCACATCCTTGTGACCTGAGCCGATGCCGCCTCCACCTCCCAGCTGCTCCAGAGTCACAGTGGCCCACCCGTTATACATTTGACTTGGCAGTTCTCCCGAGCCCGCCCCAACAGCCATGACCCACAGGGGTAGATTTTTTTTTTTCACTGATTCTATTAAGCACTTTTTACTTTTAGTTTTTTAGAGACAGGGTCTTTCTATGTTGCCCAGGCTGGTCTCAAACTACTAGTCTCAAGCAATCCTCCCATCTCAGCTTTCCAAAGTGTTGGGATTACAGGCATGAGCCACCATGCCCTGTCTGTTAGGCATTTTTGAGCATAAATAATACATTCACAGCCACGTTTGGTGGATCATGCCTGTATTCCCAGCTACTTGTAAGGCTGAGGTGGGAGGATCCCTTGAGCCCAGGAGGTTGAAGCTGCAGTGAGCTGTGATCGCACCACTGCAACTCCACTTGGGCAACAGAGCAAGACTCTTGTCTCGAAAAAAAAAAATTAAGAATACATTCACATGGTTCAAAATGCAAAAGATACAAAAGTCTCTACAGTGAAAAGTATCTTCCCATGTCTCCTAGCCCCCTAGTCCCTTCCTCAGAGACTACAAATGTTAACCAATTTCTTGTGTAATCTTTCCAGTGAGATGTACACACACACACACACACACAGCAGAGGAGCATATAGGATCCATGTACAAGCATACACGTGTCTTAGTAGTCTAATTTATTTAACCAGTTCCTTTTTGAAGGAAATTCAGGTTGTTTCCTACCTCGTGCTATTACAAGTAGTCCTAGAATGAACAATTTTCCTTACACATGGGATCAATTCAGGGGTGACTTCGAAGAACACATTATTACATTACATTATTTAAGTGCAAATACTGGTGATGAGTCCGTTGCAGATCTGAACTAGCCTCTCCTCCAAGATGATTGGCATCCTTCAGGTGATTTATTTACACAGTGACCACCCCATTTCATAAAGGAATGAAGAGCAGTTGGACTCTTCCAGCTGGAGACCGCTGGAGGAGTTGGGTCAGGGGATGCTGAGAGCTAACGTTGACTACCACCTGTGTGCCAGGAAGTACTAAATCAACGCTTGGCTAAGTTGTTGGACTTGTCGAATCCTGAGGGCAACATCATAAAAGGCAGGGTCTTCCTATTCTCATCCCATAAACGGATGAGGAGATGGTGGTGCAGCGAGCCCAGGGCTCATGCTGAATGGCAGAACCAGACCTGCAGCAGCCCAGCAGAGTGATTCTGTGTGGATGGTCGCCCTGAGACAAGGCCACCTCTGGACACATCCCTTCCTCTGGTAGCCCACATCAGTGGATACTAAAGCCAGATGCAAACTAGCAGTATCTGTGGCAAGTGGCCAAGGCCTGGGCCAGCCTCAGCCCCCCTTTCTCCAGTGCCCAAGCCCCCTGCTGCTGAGATGAGCCAAGAGTTGAGCTGCAGCCACCTCCACCCCTCCTTTGGGCATCTGACCTGAGTTAGTTTGGCAAGTGCTGCAACTATAGACCCAACTTTGAAGGCCTGTCGGGGTCCTGCAGCAGAGGAGACATTTCCCTTTGCAAAATCAGGGCTAAATCTCTCTCTCTCTCTCTCTTTTTTTTTTTGTAATAGACTTTATTTTTAGAACAGCTTTATTTATTCATTTATAGATAGGGGCTTGCTCTGTCACCCAGACTGGAGTGCAGTGGTATGATCCCAGCTCACTGTAGCCTCCACCTACCAGGCTCAAGTGATCCTATTGCCTCAGCCTCCTGAGTACCTGGGGCTACGGGCACCTGCCACCATGCTCAGCTAATTTTTTAATTTAAATTTTTTTTTTTTTTTGAGATGGAGTGTCACTCTCTCGCCCAGGCTGGAGTGCAGTGGGGTGATCTCGGCTCACTGTAGCCTGCGTCTGCCGGGTTCAAGCAATTCTCCTGCCTCAGCCTCCTGAGTGGCTGGGATTACAGGCATGCGCCACCATGCCTGGCTAATTTTTTATTTTTAGTAGATATGGGGTTTCACCGTGTTAACCAGGCTGGTCTCGAATTCCTGACCTCAGGCGATTTGCTCACTTCGGCCTCCCAAAGTGCTGGGATTACAGGCGTGAGCCACCATGCCCGGCCAGTTGTTTTTTTTCTTGTAGAGACGAGGTCTCACTATATTGCCCTAGCTGGTCTCAGATTCCTGAGCTCAAGCGATGTACTCACCTCAGCCTCCCAAAATGTTGGGATTACAGGCATGAGCCACCACACCTGGCCTTAGAATAGTTTTAGAGTTGCAGAAAAAATTGAGAAGATAGTGCAGAGAGCTGCTGTATACCCCACGCTCAGTTACTCCTAATATTAATGACATCTGACATTGGGGTGGTACGTTTGTCACAATTAATGAAATAATATCGATCCATTAGTATTAACTAAAGTCTATAGTTTATTCAGATTGCCTTAGTTTTGCCTAATGTATTTTACTGTTCCAGGATCTCATATGACATTATGTTATCAAATTTGATAACATTCTGGCTCCAGACATTTATATTGACAAGTAAGGAGTTGTCGTGTCTCCTTAGGTTCCTCTTGGCTAGGGCAGTTGCTCAGACTTTCTTTGGTTTTGATGCCTACTTTGATAGTTTCGAAGAGTTCTGGTCAGACATATTATGGGATGCCCCTCAGCTGGGATTTGTCTGATATTTTTCTCATGATTACACTGGAGTTACGTGTTTTTTGGAGGAAGACCTCAAAGGGGAAGTGTCATTTCATCACATATCAAGGGGACACACTGACCACATGATTCACCACTGTTTTTGTTCATCCTGATCACCTGTTTGTCAAGTTTCTCCACTTTGTAAAGCTACTCTTCTTTCTCCCTTTACACCTTGTCCTCTTTGGAAGGAATTCACTGCACAGCCTGCATGTAAGGAGTTGGGGGGTTTATGCTCCATCTCCTTGGGGGCAAGGGATTTACATAAATTATTTGGAATTCTTCTGCAAAGGAAATGTGTCTCTTCTCCTCATTTAGTAACTTAGTCATTTATTTTTATGAGTTTGGACTCAGGGATATTTACTTTGTATTTGAGGTTATCATCCAACGTTACTTTCTTTATTTTGTCACTCACATTAGTCTGACTTTGGCCATGGGGAGCTCTTTCAGTTGGTTCCAGAGTCCCTTTGACTTGTTATACTCCCATTGTTTTTGTTTTTGAGACGGAGTTTCGTTCTTGTTGCCCAGGCTGGAGTGCAATGGTGCAATCTCAGCTCACCACAACCTCCGCCTCCTGAGTTCAAGTGATCTCCTGCCTTAGCCTCCTGAGTAGCTGGGATTACAGGCACATGCCACGATGCCTGGCTAATTTTTGTATTTTTAATAGAGATGGGGTTTCATCATATTGTTCAGGCTGGTCTTGAACTTCTGACCTCAGTTGATCTGCCCGCCTCAGCCTCCCAAAGTGCTGGGATTATAGGCGTGAACCACCGCACCCAGCCTTGTTTTTGTTTTTACTGTGTCCTTACTTTCAGGCTCTAGAGATGCTGCAGGCTCATCTTGAATATTTCCTGCCCCAGTCCTGGAGCCAACCATTTTTCCAAGGAGCCTGGTCCTTTTAATTGCAGAACAGTGGTGGAAACCAAGATCTAGGCATGAGATGTGCTTGGCTGCTACTGGAGCCTCCCTTCTTTTTTTCTATACCTTTTTTTTTTTTGAGACAGAGTCTCCCTCTGTTGCCCAGGCCAGAGTGCAGTGGTGTAATCTCACTGCAGCCTCTGCCTCCCGAGTAGCTGGGATTATGGAGACAGGATCTTGCTCTGTCACCCAGGCCAGATTGCAGAGGCACAATCGTAGCTTACTGCAGCCTTGAACTCCTGGACTCAGATGATCCTCCTGCCTCTTGCCTGTAATTGTAGGAATTACAGGCATGAGCCATCATACCCAGTGACAACTCCCTTTTAGAAAATGAAGCCTTAATATGGAACCCCAATGTGTAAATCATTCTTAAAAAGGAAAAGCGGGCTGGGCATGGTGGCTCATGCCTGTAATCCCAACACTTGGGGAGGCCAAGGCAGGCAGATCTCTTCAGCCCAGGAGTTCCAGACCAGACTGGGCAACATGGTGAAACTCCATCTCTACAAAAAATTTAAAAATTAGCTCGGCGTGGTGGCGCATGGCTGTAGTCCCAGCTGCTTGGGTGGCTGAGGCAGGAGGATCACTTGAGCGCAACAGGTAGAAGCTGCAGTGAGCTGTGATCACGACACTGCACTCTAGCCTGGGCAACAGAGTGAGCCCCTGTCTCGAAAAAATAAAAAATTTAAAAAAGCAACATTACTATAGGTTTAAGCACTTATTTTGGATTAATTCATGGGAACAGTACAAAATTCCAGTCCTTAAAAGGATATGAAATAAGACCATTGTGCACCCAGTAGACTGGCAAAAACCTTAAGTCTCAAGTGTTAGGGAAGATTTGGAGTAATGGGAGGATATACTTTGCTGATGGAATGTAAGCTGGTACCAACCATCTTGGAAAATAGTTTGGTAGGTTGTGGTAAAGTTGAAGGTGACACACTTTCCAACCCAGCAGTTACTCTCCTAGCAAATATATACCCTGGAGAAACTTCCACGTACATGCAAAAGACATGTATGAGAATGTTCACAGCAGTGCTGTTTGTAATAGCATAAATGTGGAAACAAATATCCAGCAACTGGAGAATGGACAGATTGTGGCATAGTTGTTCCAGTTACCTAATGCATCACTAATCACCCCAAAACTTAGTGGCTTAAATTAACAATCATTTTATTATCTCTTATAGTCCCAGGGGTTGACTGGACTTAATTAGGCTGTTATCACTTGGGGGCGCTCATGTGATTTTAGTAAGATGTTGGCTGAGGTTGGTGTCGTCTTAAAACTTCCTCAGATACCTGGTGGTTAACCAGTACTGGCACTTATCTGGGGCCCAGCTTGGGCTGCCAGCCAGAATGCCTACACATGACTTCTTCCTGTGGCCTGTGCTTCCTTACAGCATGGCAGCTGGGTTTCAAGAAGGAGCTTCTTGAGAGCCAGAGGAAACTGTATGGCCTTTTCTTTTTTTTTTTTGAGATGGAGTCTCGCTCTGTCGCCCAGGCTGGAGTGCAGTGGTGCGATCTCAGCTCACTGCAAGCTCCGCCTCCTGGGTTCACGCCATTCTCCTGCCTCAGCCTCCCAAGTAGCTGGGACTACAGGCGCCCGCCACCATGCCTGGCTAATTTTTTGTATTTTTAGTAGAGATGGGGTTTCACCATATTGGCCAGGATAGTCTCGATCTCGACCTCGTGATCCGACCGCCTCGGCCTCCCAAAGTGCTGGGATTACAGGCGTGAGCCACCATGCCCAGCCCTGTATGGCCTTTTCTAACCTAGCATTGGAAGCCACAGGGCTTCACTTCTGCCACAGTCACTGGCCCATCAGATTCAGGAGGAGGCATGATAGATCCCACTTCTCAGTAAGAGGAAGTCAACATCTCCTTGTAAGAAGAGCATGTGGGATGAGAACTCGCATTGTGGTCATGTTGGAAAATAAGACACCAGTGTTGGATGCATTATGTTTTACATATTGGATGTGGGATAGTGTACATCAATGAAAATGAACTAATGTTGCACATATCAATATGAATAAACTAAAACACTGAGTGAAAAAAGCAAATTGGGCCGGGCATGGTGGCTCACACCTGTAATCCCTGCACTTTGGGAGGCCAAAGCAGGTGGATCACTTGAGGTCAGGAGTTCCAGACCAGCCTGGCCAACATGGTGAAACCCTGTCTCTACTAAAAATACAAAAATGTAGCCAGGCGTGATGGTATAGGCCTGTAGTCCCAGCTGCTCAGGAGGCTGAGGCAGGAGAGTCGCTTGAACCCAGGAGGCAGACATTGCAGTGAGCCGAGATTGTGCCACTGCATTCTAGCCTGGGCGACCCAGCAAGACTCCACATCTCCCTTCACTGCATCATGTGAGGGACTCCGCCACCTGAAGGAAGTGTGAGCCTGTGAAAGCGCAAGGTGTGGGGTAAGACAGTGGGGCTCCTTGTGTTTATTTTTTATTTTTATTTATTATTATTATTTTTTGAGACAGGGTCTTGCTCTGTCGCCCAGGCTAGACTGCAGTGGTGCGATCTCAACTCACTGCACTCTCCGCCTCTCAGGGTCAAGTGATCCTCCCACCTCAGCCTCCTGAGTATCTGGGACTACAGGTGCGTGCCACCACGTTTGGCTAATTTTTTTTTTTTTGAGACCGAGTTTTGCTCTTGTTGCCCAGGCTGGAGTGCAATGGCGTGATTTTGGCTCACCGCAACCTGTGCCTCCCGGGTTCAAGCGATTCTCCTGCCTCAGCCTCCCAAGTAGCTGAGATTACAGGCATGCGCCACCATGCCTGGCTAATTTTTTTGTATTTTTAGTAGAGACGGGGTTTCTCCGTGTTGGTCAGGCTGGTCTCAAACTCCCAACCTCAGGTGATCCGCCCGCCTCGGCCTCCCAAAGTGCTGGGATTGCAGTCGTGAGCCACTGCACCCGGCCCAATTTTTGCAGGTTTTTTTGTAGAGAAGGGGGCTTGCTATGTTGCCCACGTTGGTCTTGAAGTCCTGGACTCAAGCAATCCGCTCACCTCGGCCTTCCAAAGTGCTGGGATTATAGGTGTGAGCCACTGCGCCTGGTGTAATGGTTTTTAAAACTGGGCGGTAGGCACATGGTATTCATTGTGTTAATTTTTATGTATTTTTGGGCATCTCTTATTTTAAAAATAACAATTCTGCTTCTACTCTGGATCCGTCAGTCATCCAGTTCCCCTCTCCAGAGGCAGTCAGTGTTACTGGAGTTTTATGAGTTCCCCCAGAAATATCTGTATATTTACAAACATAATTATATTTTCTTACTCAGATGGTTACATATCTAATAGTTTTACACTTTGCTTTTTTCACTTAATATACCTTGGAGATTGTTTTATATTAGTACATAAAGAGCTTTTAGAAAAACAGCTCTACTGAGATATAATTCATGTATCAGACAATTCACTCATTTAAAGTGAACAATTCGGCTGGGTGCGGTGGCTCACATGTTTAATCCCAGCACTTTTGGAAGGCGGAGGTGGGCGGATCACCTCAGGTCAGGAGTTCGAGACTACCCTGGCCAACATGGTGAAACTCCATCTCTACTAAAGATACAAAAATTAGCGGGGTGTGGTGGCACACGCCTGTGATCCCAGGTACTTGGGAGGCTGAGGCACGAGAATCGCTTGAACCTGAGATCATGCCACTGCACTCCAGCCCAGGCTGGTCTTGAACTCCTGTGCTCAAGTGATCCTCCAGCCTCAGCCTCTGAAAGCACTGGGATTATACATGTGAGCCACCGTGGCTGGCCTGTATTCCTTTTTTTTTTTGAGATGGAGTCTCACTCTGTCACCAGGCATGTATCAGAGTTTCATTCCTTTATCGGCTAAATAATATTCCATTGTATGGATGTATTACATTTGTTTATCTATGAGTTGATGGACATTTGGGTTGTTTATACTTTTGGGCTATTGTGAATAATGCTGCTATCAATATTCAGGTACAAGTATTCTGTGTAGACATATGTTTTCAATTCTCTTGGGTATATACCCTAGCAGTAGAATTGTTGGGTCATATGATAATTCTATTTTTAACCATCTGAAGAACTGCCAGACTGTTTTCCATCAGCTGTATGATCTTACATTTCCACCAGCAGTATATGAGGGTCCCATTTTCTCCACATCCTCACCAACACTTACTAGTATCTGACTTTTTGATTATAGTTGTCCTAGTGGGTGTTAAATGGCATCTTACTGTGGTGTTGATTTGCATTTCCTGATAGCTAATGATGTTAAGCATATTTTATTTAGTGTCCTTATTGGAAAAAGCTCCTTTTAAAGTAACTGCATATTTTGTTGCATATTCTTTTTTTTTTTTTTGAGATAAGGTCGCTCTGCCACCCAGGAGCAAGTACTCTGTAAAATGTTCGTGGGGAGGAAAGGCAACTTCAAGGGACAACTTTCCTATGATGAATTTAGGTTTAAGTGCTCTGAGCCCCTGCCTCAATTTGACACTCAAATGATGCAAAAATCAGTCCTGAATTATGCAAGGTTTAACCAAAATAAAAGAGAGAAATAGGCGAGGCACGGTGGCTCCCGCCTGTAATCCCAGCACTTTGGGAGGCTGAGGCCGGCAGATCACCTGAGGTCAGAAGTTCGAAACCAGCCTGACCAACATGGAGAAACCCCGTCCCTACTAAAAATACAAAAATTAGCCAGGAGTGGTGGCGCATGCCTGTAATCCCAGCTACTCAGGCTGAAGCAGGAGAATCGCTTGAACCTGGGAGTTGGAGGTTGTAGTGAGCTGAGACCGAGCCACTGTACACCAGCCTGGGTGACAGAGTGAGACTGTGTCTCAAAAAAAAAAAAAAAAGAGAGAGAGAAATAAAGTGGCTGCTGATTATGTAGCTGAACCTACTAGCCATTATCACTGGAGGAGAAATCAGAATTTTCTTCAAACAAACCTGATCATTTTCAATATCCACTTTTATTTATTTGTTTATTTGAAACGTGGTCTCACTGTGCTGCCTAGGCTGGAGTGCAGTGGCATGATCACAGCTTACTGCAGCCTTGACCTCCTGGGCTCAGGTAATCCTCTTGCTTCAACCTCCCAAGTAGCTGGGACTATAGGCACATGCCCGGCTAATTTTTTAATTTTTTGTAGAGACAGGGTCTGGCCATGTTGCCCAGGCTAGTCTCAAACTCTTGGGCCCAAGCGATCTGCCTGCTTTGGCCTCCCAAAGTGCTGGGATTACAGGCTTGAGCCACTGTGCTTTTGTTGTGTATTCTTATAAAATGTTCTATTCTGGGCGTGGTGGCTCACGCCTGTAATCCCAACACTTTGGGAGGCTGAGGCGGGCGGATCACTTGAGGTGAGGAGTTTGAGACCAGCCTGGCCAACATGGCGAAAACTTGTCTTTACTAAAAACACAAAAATTTGTCAGGTGTAGTGGCATACGCCTGTAATCCCAGCTATTTGGGAGGCTGAGGCATGAGAATTGCTTGAACCTGGGAGGTGGAGGTTGCAGTGAGCCAAGATTGCGCCACTGCACTGCAGCCTGGGTGACAGAGCAAGACTCTGTCTCAAAAAAAAAAAAAAAAGTTGACTTTCTGGCTGGGCGTGGTGGCTCACACCTGTAATCCCAGCGCTTTGGGAGGCTGAGGCGGGCAGATCACCAGGTCAGGAGAGCGAGACCATCCTGGCTAACATGGTGAAACCCCATCTCTACTAAAAATACAGAAAATTAGCCGGGTGTGGTGACACGCGCCTGTAATCCCAGCTACTCTGGAGGCTGAGGCAGGACAATTGCTTGAACCTGGGAGGCAGAGGTTGCTGTGAGCCGAGATTGTGTCACTGCACTCCAGCCTGGCGACAGAGTGAGACTTCGTTTCTAAATAAATAAATAAATAAATAAAGTTGCCTTTCCTCCCTCCAGACATTTTACAGAGTACTTGGTCCTGAATTATCAGTAGAGCATATCCTGGCCATCCTTAAACCTTCTTGATTGTGTGTTATTATGAAGAGCTTGATCCTACAGCTGTGTGATCCACAAGTTACTCAACCTCTCTTCAGTTTCCTCTTCACTAAGATGAGAGTAATAATTAGCCGGGCGTGGTGGCGGGTGACTGTAATCCCAGCTACTTGGGAGGCTGAGGCAGGAGAATTGCTTGAACCCGGGAGGTGGAGTTGCAGTGAGCCAAAATTGCATCACTGCACTCCAGCCTGGGTGATAGAGCAAGACACTGTCTCAAAAAAAAAAAGCCACAAAACCAAAAAAACCAAGATGAGAGTAATAATAGCACCTATCCCATGGAATGGTTTTGGGGATTAAATGAGTCGATTAGTGTGAAAGGCTTAAAACAGTACCTGGCATACAGTGTTGATACCTAATTTTATCTCTGAAATTTCCTGTAATCCCAGTACTGTGGGAGACAGAGGCAGGTGGATTGCTTGAGCTCAGGAGTTCAATACCAGCCTGGGCAACAAGGCAAAACCCTGTCTCTACAAAAAATACAAAAATTAGCCAGGTATGGCGGCTACTAGGGAGGCTAAGGCAAGAGGATCCCTTGAGCCCAGGAGGCAGAGGTTGCAGTGAGCCGAGCTCATGCCACTGCATTCCAGTCTGGGTGACAGAACGAGACCCTGTCTCCAAACAACAAACAAACACACCTGCTCGGGTATGGTGGCTCATGCCTGTAATCCCAGCACTTTGGGAGGCAGAGGTGGGTGGATCACTTCAAAACAAGAGTTCGAGACCAGTCTGGCCAACATGGTGAAACACAGAGTCTACTTAAATACAAAAGTTAGCTGGGCATGGTGGCATGCGCCTGTAATCCCAGCTACTCAGGAGGCTGAGGCACAAGAATCACTTGAACCGGGGAGGCAGAGGTTGCAGTGAGCCAGGATTGCACCACTGCGCTGTAGCCTGTGACAGAGCAGGACTTCGTCTCAAAAAAAAAAAAAAAAAAAAAAAAAAGGGCCGGGCGCGGTGGCTCACGCCTGTAATCCCAACACTTTGGGAGGCCCAGGCGGGCGGATCACGAGGTCAGGAGATCAAGACCATCCTGGCTAACATGGTGAAACCCCGTCTCTACTAAAAATACAAAAAATTAGCCGGGCTAGGTGGCGGGCGCCTGTAGTCCCAGCTACTCAGGAGGCTGAGGCAGGAGAATGGCGTGAACCCCGGGGGGCGGAGCCTGCAGTGAGCCGAGATCGCACCACTGCACTCCAGCCTGGGCAACAGCAAGACTCTGTCTCAAAAAAAAAAAAAAAAATTTTAATGACATTCTTACAGGCTATAAAATAACTTTTTTGGTAATGCTTTATTTTAGTATAATTGTAAACTTTTAGAAAAGTAACAAGAAGCCTGATGCAGTGGCTCACACCTGTAATCCCAGCACTTTGGGAGGCTGAGGCTGGCAGATCACCTGAGGTCAGGAGTTCAAGACCAGCCTGACCAACATGGTGAAATCCCGTCTCTATTAAAAATACAAAAATCAGCTGGGCGTGATGGTGGGTGCCTGTAGTCCCAGCTACTCAGGAGGCTGAGGCAGGAGAATCGCCTGAACCCGGGAGGCGGAGGTTGCAGTAAGCCGAGATCTCGCCACTGCGCTCCAGCCTGGGCAGCAGAGTGAGACTTGGTCTCAGAAAAAAAAAAAAAGTAACAA
The DNA here is from genome assembly GCF_000001405.40 of Homo sapiens. Taxonomy (NCBI): domain Eukaryota; kingdom Metazoa; phylum Chordata; class Mammalia; order Primates; family Hominidae; genus Homo; species Homo sapiens. The sequence goes on along the minus strand of NC_000019.10, from coordinate 40,306,398 downwards.
GAGTACAAAGGATTTCTGTATACTCTTTACCCAGATTTGCCAATTGTTTACAATTTGTTCCATTTGTCTTACTGTTCCCTCTTCTCCCCTCCATAAGGATACATGCATCATCTATATCTATTGTGTTATGAGCCATTTGAGAATTAGGTTGGAGAACATCATGTGTCTTTCTTTACCTCAGGACACTTGTGTGTAGTTCCTAAGATCAAGAACATTCTCTTTCCTTTTTTTTTTTTTTTTTTTTTTTGAGACAGAGTTTTGCTCTTGTCGTCCAGGCTGGAGTGCAATGGTGCGATCTTGGCTCACTGCAACCTCCTTCATCTGGGTTCAAGCGATTCTCCTGCCTCAGCTTCCCCAGTAGCTGGGATTACAGGCGCCCACCACCACGTCCGGCTAATTTTTGTATTCTTTAGTAGAGATGGGGTTTCACCATGGTGGGCTGGCTGGTCTTTGAACTCCTGACCTCAGGTGATCCACCTGCCTCAGCCTCCCAAAGTGCTGGGATTCCAGGCGTGGGTCACCATGTCTGGCCGAACATTCTCTTTCATAAGCACAGTACAACTATCAAAACAAGAAATTTAACATGGACATGATACTTTTATCTAATGCAAAATTCATGTTCCAATTTCATCAATTGTCCCAATAACGTTCCTTATTGCTGTTTTTTCTCCTGGCTTGGAATCCAATTCAGGATCACATGTTACATTTATTTATTTATCTTTTCCGAGACACCCTGGTGACTTAACATGTTGCATTTAGGTGTCGTGTAAGAGCTTCCTTTTAGACAGTGAATGTTCAAATATAATGGTCCCGCAAATTGCTCTAGGAAGACTTGATGCCTGCAAGACATAGCTGGGTTTCTGCAGGGATGACCAGCTCATGTGGCGCCATCTTGTGGCAAGTGAATAGAGTTTATAAATCCACTGGGCAGCTGTGAAATTTTTCTCTTCTTGAAAAAGATCAGGTGGTGTTTATATTATTTCAGTTTTTCTTAGTAATGTGGGAGGCTGTGTTGTAAGGATTTTTCTATTTCAAATCTACCTTTTTTTTTTTTTTGAGACAGAGTCTGACTGTGTCGCCCAGGCTGGAGTACAGTGGCACGATCTTAGCTCACTGAAACCTCTGCCTCCCAGGTTCAAGCGATTCTCCTCCCTCAGCCTCCTGATTAGCTGGGATTACAGGTGCCCACCACAACGCCTGGCTAATTTTTGTATTTTTGGTAGAAATGGGATTTCGCTATGTTGGCCAGGCTGGTGTCGAACTCCTGATCTCAGGTGATCCGCTCTCCTTTGCCTCCCAAAGTGCTGGGATTACAGGCATGAGCCACCGCGCCTGGCCTAATTTTTTGTATTTTTAGTAGCAGGCTGGTCTCAAACTCCTGGCCTCAAGTGATCCGCCCACCTCAGCTTTCCAAAGTGCTGGGATGACAGGCATGAGCCACCGTGCCTGGCCAACTCGGTAAACAGACAAGTTCAGACCTGGAATAAAAATCAGCCTAGTACAGAGCTTTAACCTTCCTAATCAAAACTGCATTTGGTAAACAAATATTTTTTGATCCCCAAGTCCCAACTATGTGCCTGGTGTAGGGGAGCAAAAAATGGCTTCCCTGTACCCTTCTAGGTTCTTTGACTGGGCTACATATTAAATTGACATAAGGCAGATTAACAGTAGAAAAAAACTCATTTTAATTAAGTAAGTATGCACAGGAGCCCCACAATATATGAGATTCAAAGAAGGGCCAGATGATTGAAGCTTATATAGCATCCTGAGCTACAGAAAAAAGAGGGGCTTGCGGCTTCTAGGAGGTGGTGGTGACCTAAATTATGGGAGGGTGCAGGGAGGAAGTGTATGGTGAATAAAAGTTGTCTTGTTATGCAGATTATAAGTCTCTTAGTTAAGAAAAGTTGTCCCAGAAGAATAGATCTGGGCGTGGTGCCAACCTCCAGTCTCATCTCCTGTGATCTGAGCTCATCTTTCCTGATTGAGAAGATTCCTGGGGAGGGGATTCGTGACACTGAAGTTCCTTTTGGAGGATCCGTGTTTAGGTAGATAAGGGAAGGTCAAAGAAAGTCCTCCCTGCCCTTGCTGTTCCCCAGGTTCCCTCCATTTGAAGTAATCAGTCTATCAAAGGGATGTATTTTGGGATGGCATTTCTCGAACTTCTTCATTTCTCCTATCTGAAACTTCTCTAGAAGTTCCACATGCTAAAAGTTGATTTGGTGGTGGATGACAGAAAAATCAGATTAGTGTTTGAATAGTATGAGACCTGGGACTAGGTCAGTCCAATTAATCAGTTCTGTCTCATTCCAGGAGGTGGTGTGGCAGGTGGGCTGCCATCACAGTCAGGCCTCTGTATGGCACAAGCAAACAGGTATTTAATAAGAGGAAACAAAAGAATAAGGTTAATGTTTGCAGCAATCTGTAAACTAGTTTCTGAGCCTGGAGGGCAGCCAATTGACATGATTTCTAGATGCTGGATCAAAGCATTTTCAGTTGGAGTAGGGGCAGGCAGTGATAATTTGACACAGATTTTCCTGGTTGCAATTTGCATTAGGGGTTCCAGTGAACTTTTTTTTTTTTTTTTTTTTTTTTTTTCAGACAAAGTCTCGTTCTGTCGCCCAGGCTGAAGTGCAGTGATGCGATCTCGGCTCATTGCAACCTCTGTCTGCCAGGTTCAAGCGATTCTCCTGCCTCAGCCTCCTGAGTAGCTGGGACTACAGGCGCATGCCACCACGCCCGGCTAATTTTTTGTATTTTTAGTAGAGACGGGGTTTTACCGTGTTAGCCAGGATGGTCTCGATGACCTTGTGATCCACCTGCCTCGGCCTCCCAAAGTGCTGGGATTACAGGCATGAGCCACTGTGCCGGCCTTTTTTTTTTTGAGAGTCTCGCTCTGTTGCCCAGGCTGGAGTCAGTGGTATGATCTCCGCTCACTGCAAGCTCCGCCTCCTGGGTTCACGCCATTCTCCTGCCTCAGCCTCCCAAGTAGCTGGGACTACAGGTGCCCACCACCATGCCCAACTAATTTTTTGTATTTTTAGTAGAGATGGGGTTTCACCGTGTTAGCCAGGATGGTCTCGATCTTCTGACCTCGTGATCCCCCCACCTCGGCCTCCCAAAGTGCTGGGATTACAGGTGTGAGCTACTGCGCCTGGCCTGTTTTTTTTTTTTAGATGGAGTTTTGTTCTTGTTGCCCAGGCTGGAGTGCAATGGCACAATCTTGGCTCACTGCAGCCTCCGCCTCCCAGGTTCAAGCGATTCTCCTGCCTCAGACTCCCAAGTAGCTGGGATTACAGGCACCCGCCACCCCGCCCGGCTAATTTTTGTATGGGGTTTCACCACGTTGCCCAGGCTGGCCTTGAACTCCTGACCTCAGGTGGTCTTCCCACCCCGGCCTTCCAAAATGCTGGGATTATAGGTGTGATCCCAGTGAACTTTCTGATTAGTTTGTATATTGGTAGGCATGAAGGTGGTGTATACCTAAGTGTTTGTGGTGATTTATCTGAAGTCTCTATCAAGTCTTCTAGTTTTAGCTTGCAGGGCTTCAGGAAAGGAAGTCTTACTTTCAGTAACTCCAAGTCAGAAGGGAGAAAGACTGGAAATGTTAGTTTGGAGAGTCATAGCCAGACATTTGAGGAAACTGGAAGAATTCAGGATCCACTCAAGTTTCCAGGTAAATAACAAACCCTCCACAACAATGAACTAGAATCTAATAATGGATACACTATAGTTTTCTTCTGAAACATGATTTTTCTTTGTACAGTCACCCCCATTTCTGCCAGACACAATCACAATGAGATCAATTTGTTGCCAGGAGTGGTGGCTCATGCCTGTAATCCCAGCACTTTGGGAGTCGAGGCAGAAGCAGATTGCTTTAGTCTAGGAGACCAGCCTGGGCAACATGGCAAAACCCCATCTCTATAAAAAATACAAAAAAATCAGACGTGGTGGCACACGAAATACAAAAAAATTAGACATGTTCGTGCATGCCTGTAGTCCCAACTACTCAGGAGGCTGACCTCAGAAGGATCATCTGAGCCTGGGGGGTGGAGGCTGCAGTGAGCCGTGATCCTACCACTGTACTCCAGCCTGGGTAATAGAGCAAGACCCTGTTTCAAGGAAAAAAATATCAATTTGTTGCAAAATAAGGTTGGTCTCTTATTAAACTTGGCCTGATTATTTATGTAAGAGCAGTAAGAATAATGATTGATTGTAAAGATTCTTTTTTTTGCTTTTTGGAGATGGAGTCTTGTTCTGTCGCCTAGGCTGGAGTGCAGTGGCACGTTCTTGGCTCACTGCAACCTCTGCCTCCCGGGTTCAAGCGATTCTCCTGCCTTAGCCTCCTGAGTAGCTGGGATTACAGGTGCCCACCACCATGCCCGGCTAATGTTTTGTATTTTTAGTAGAGATGGGGTTTCTCCATGTTGACCAGGCTGTTTTCCAACTCCTGACCTCAAGTGATCCACCTGCCTCGGCCTTCCAAAGTGCTCGGATTACAGGCATGAGCCACTGTGCCTGGCCCAGATTGGACCTTTTTTTTTAAGATTTTTTTCCTAGACAGAGTCTTGCTCTGTCACCCAGGCTGGAGTGCAGTGGAGTGATCTTGGCTCACTGCAACCTCCACCTCCCAGGTTGGAGTGATTCTCCTGCCTCAGCCTCCCAAGTAGCTGGGACTGCAGGCGTGGGCCACCATGCCCAGCAAATTTTTGTATTTTCAGTAGAGATGGGTTTCTCTATGTTGGCCAGGCAAAGCTTCTCAGGCCAGGCGCGGTGGCTCGCACCTGCAATCCCAGCACTTTGGGAGGCTGAGGCAGGTGGATCACGAGGTCAGGAGTTTGAGACCAGCCTGACCAACATGGCGAAACCTCGTCTCTACCAAAAATACAAAAATTAGCTGGGCATGGTGGTGGGTTCCTGTAATCCCAGCTACTCGGGAGGCTGAGGCAGGAAGAATCTCTTGAACCTGGGAGGCGGAGGTTGCAGTGAGCCAAGATCATGCCACTGCACTCCAGCCTGGGCGACAGAGCGAGACTCTGTCTCAAGAATAAATAAATAAATAAATAAATAAATAAATAAATAAATAAAAGCCTCTCAAGGTTATGAAGCCAGGGACTTGCCATCAAACTATGCCTATGGCACTATAATACTGTAGGTATTAAAAAAAAATTATAATCTGTCAGCTCAGTCCCATGTAATTCTTATTCTTCCTGATGTTGTTAGCAGGGTTTCTTTTTCTTTTTATTTTCTGAGACAGAGTCTCGCTCTGTTACCCAGGCTGGAGTGCCTCGGTTCAGTGTAACCTCCACCTCCCGGGCTCAAGCGATTCTCGTGCCTCAGCCTCTGGAGTAGCTGGGATTACAGGTGTGCACCACCACACTCAACTAATTTTTTTGTTTTGTTTGTATTTTTAGTAGAGATCGGGATTCTCTATGTTGGCCAGGCTGGTCTCGAGCTTCTGGCCTTAAATGAACCGCCTGCCTGGGCCTCTCAAAGTGCTAGTATTACAGGCATGAGCCACCACACCTAGTCGAGTCAGCAGTTTTCTGAGTCCAGTTTTTCCACTAGAGTTTTGGAAATTCTTACCCAGTCCAATGTTATAATCATAAGTTTATTAGGACCTTCTATTCCAGACTACTTGTCAGAGTCATTTCCATGAATCTTGAAGAAGCAATTTGGGGCAATAGCTGATTGCAAATGCTTTTAGAGAAGAACCAAAACACTATTGATGAGCAAGACAGAATGGCCATGGTTAAAAAATCTGATGAGAGTTCATTATAACCAGCAATTGACAAGGAAACCTGGTTATTTCTGTGGCATATATCATGTTAACATAGTAACAAAATTATGACTTATAACATTAGATTTCTAGGAATCTCATAATTTTTAGAACATTCATATCAGTAACATATCCAGAAATATAACTTTTTTTTTTTTGAGATGGTGTCTAGCTGTGTCGCCCAGGCTGGAATGCAGTGGTGCGATCTTGGCTCACTGCAACCTCCGCCTCCTGGGTTCAAGCAATTCTCCTGCCTCACCCTCCCAAGTAGCTGGGATTACAGGTGCCTGCCACCACACCCAGCTAATTTTTGTATTTTTAGTAGAGACGGGGTTTCATTGTGTTGGCTAGGCTGGTCTTGAACTCCTGACCTCGTGATCCACCTGCCCTGGCCTCCCAAAGTGCTGGGATTACAAGCACGAGCCATTGCACCCGGCCATATAACTTATTTAAAAAAATGTTTTTTATCACCCTCATCACCTCCTACCCTGGGTTCATAAATATAAACGTTTAGCATCATTTATTATTTGACAATGTTTCCCATTTAATTTAACATTTCAAATAAGCCTAATTAGTCTAATATCTCTCTTTTTTCAGATGGAGTTTCGCTCTGTTACCCAGGCTGGAGTGCAATGGTGCGATCTCGGCTCTCTGCAACCTCCGCCCCCTGGGTTCAAGCGATTCTCCTGCCTCAGCCTCCCGAGTAGCTGGGATTATAGGTGCCCGTCACCACGCCTGACTAATTTTTTTTGTATTTTTAGTAGAGACAGGGTTTCGCCATGTCGGCCAGGCTGGTCTTAAACTCCTGACTTCAGGTGATCCACCTGCCTCGGCCTCCCAAAGTACTGGGATTACAGACGTGAGCCACCGTGCCTGGCTAATGTCTCTCTTTTTCGAGGTGAGAAACACATCTTTTGAGCTTTCCCAGGGGCTCAACTGGCAAATTCCAAAGTTAATTCAAGGTCAAAAGACTGAATTTAGAATTTGATTTTAGGAAGTTTGTCAAAAATGTAAAAAAAGATTTAAAACACTTGATGAGTGCTTGCTTTGGCAGCACATATACTAAAGTTGGAATGATGCAGAGAAGATTAGCATGGCCCCTGTGCAAGGATAACTCACAAATTCATGAGGCCTTCCATATTTTTTGAAATTAAGAAAAGAAAAAAGGAAAAATTTGATTAATAGGATCTCAGGTAACTATTAATTTAGGTCACTAATAATTAGTCTGGTTACCAGAGTGATTATTGAATTATATAGTGATCTGGGATCCTATTTAATCAACTGTTCATTTTATAATCATTTAATATTTTATGATTTAAGTATTTAATGAGCATTTAATATTTATTAATATTCATTTCATAATCACCAGGGTAATTATTAAAAGGCTTTGAAGGCAAATAAAGTTATATAGTTGTAAAAATATATATATTAGCTCTCTTAATAGGATTTTATTTTCTTGGAAAGTAATTGAAGGCCTGATAAAAGATAACATGAAAGAGAAAATTATTTTGATAAGACATAATTTTTTAAGGCAGATTACTTAAAAGGTGAAAAAGAAAATCTTTCACTCTTTTTTATCAATACTACAAGAAAATCTTGCATTTTAAAAGATAATGCCAAATTCTAGTTTTGCATCAATGTACCCTTGATATTAGGGCTCATTTTTAAGACATAATAAATTCACTCTCATTTTTAAGACATAATAAATTCACTCAATTTTGGTCAGTTTGACCACAAAAGATTCTCTCTTTCCAACTTTTATATGCATTCAGTTTTACCTGTATCTTTTCTTCCTTCCTTTATTCTGCAACAACTTATAAACTAGACTAAGTTATTTTTCCTCAACAAAACCCCCCCACATCTTCATACCTCACTAACATCTTACTTTCCTTGTACACTTTGCATACAGAGTCACTTATAGTAGTTATATAATTATATATGAGAATTTTAAGTCTTAGCAACTCTACAGCGAAACCTAGGAAGTAAGCGATTTTGAACTGTCATGAGCTAACATTTTGTGAAGACACATAATTTCTAGAAACGTGTTTTCTCGCAGAATAGTTTTTCAGTATGAAACAGGACATGTTTACCTATGGACCCAAATATATTATTTCTTTCTATAAATTTTAAGAAGCCAAAGGTAAATAAACTTGTGTCTGTGTTCAGCAATGAATGCTTTAGTATTTTGTTTTATTTGGAAATGACCTGGATATTTAATTAATATCTGCCATCCAAGGGTGTTGTTATCAGTGAGGTTGGGAAACCGTTTTAAAGAGCTATTTATAAACCACAATTATTTTTTCTTTTTTTTTTTTTTTTTTGAGACAATGTTTCACTCTTATAGCCCAGGCTGGAGAGCAATGGCATGATCTCAGCTCACTGCAACCTCCGCCTCCTGGGTTAAAGCATAAAGCACGATTGTTGTTGAAAAGTTCATTTATCAACTTTGATCCTACTTACATTTATTTATTTCACATGTTCTTAACAATTATGCTTAGATTAGTCATGGAAGTTTCATGAGACATTAGACAAAGTCAGCTCTCCCAAGTCATTTCCCTAGTCACCATTCTTTTTTTTTTTTTTGAGACAGAGTGTCACTCTGTCACCCAAGCTGGAGTGTAGTGACTCTATCTCGGCTCACTGCAGCCTCTGCCTCTGGGTTCAAGCCATTCTTTCTCCTGCCTCAGCCTCCCGAGTAGCTGGGATTACAGGTGTGCACCACCAAACCCGGCTATTTTTTTTTTTTTTTTGAGACGGAGTCACCTCTGTCGCTCGGCCTGGAATGCAGTGGCACGATCTCAGCTCACTGCAACCTCCGCCTCTCAGGTTCAAGCGATTCTCCTGCCTCAGCCTTCTGAGTAGCTGGGAGTACAGGTGCCCGCCACCACGCCCAGCTAATTTTTTTTTTTTTTTTTTTTTTTCCGAGACGGAGTCTCGCTCTGTTGCCCAGGCTGGAGTGCAGTGGTGCAATCTCGCCTCACTACAACCTCCGCTTCCTGGGTTCAAGCAATTCTCTGCCTCAGCCTCCAGAGTAGCTGGGATTACAGATGCCCGCCACCATGCCCAGCTAATTTTTGTATTTTTAGTAAAGACAGGTTTTCACCATCTTGGCCAGGCTGATCTTGAACTCCTGACCTTGTGATCCACTCACCTCGGCCTCCCAAGGTGTTGGGATTACAGGCGTGAGCCACCACGCCCGGCTAACTTTTTTGTATTTTTAGTAGAGACTGGGTTTCACTATGTTGGCCAGGCTGGTCCTGTACTCCTGACTTCAACTAATCTGCCCACCTTGGCCTCCCAAAGTGCTGGGATTACAGGCATGAGCCACTGTGCCTGTCCCCACTATTCACCATTTTTACATCAAATGCATGTCAGGCAGCCATCATCTAAGCAAGGACCATAAGTGAAATCCATGTATAAGGTTTTTGGGTTTTGTTTTTGTTTTAATTTTTTTTGTAAGTCAGAAGACAGAGCTGATTTTCATTAAACCAACAATATTAAACTAGTTTTATTTACCAAAGATGTACCCAAGTCATGTGAACTTGAAAAGCATTTGGATTACTTCCTATATTTCTAGCAGTTTTAGGCATACAGTCATCTCCTGCATAATGATGTTTAATGAGCAATGCACCACATAGATAATGGTGGTCTCATAAGGTTATAATGGAGATGCCCTCTACAAGTGCACCACTTTTATCTTTTTTTTTTTGAGACAGGGTCTTGCTCTGTTGCCCAGGCTGGAGTACAATGGTGCGATCTCAGCTCACTGCAACCTCTGCCTCCTGGGTTCAAGCAATTCTCTTGCCTTAGCCTCCCAAGTAGCTGGGATTACAGATGCCCGCCACCACGCCCAGCTAATTTTTGTATTTTTAGTAGAGATGGGGTTTCACCATGTTGGCCAGGCTGGTCTTGAACTCCTGACCTCAGGTGATTCACCTGTCTCAGCCTCCCGAAGTGCTGGGATTACAGGTGTGAGCCACTGCGCCTGGCCCACTTTTATCTTTTATTGTACCTTTTCTATGTTTAGATATACGAACACTTGGCCAGGCACAATGGCTCATGCCTGTGATCCTAGCATTTTGGGAGGCCGAGGCAGGCAGATTGCTTGAGGTCAGGAGTTCGAGACCAGCCTGGTCAATGTGGCGAAACCCCATCTCTACTAAAAATACAAAAAATTAGCCAGGCATGGTGGTGTGCACCTGTAATCCCAGCTACTCGGGATGCTGAGGCAGGATAATTGCTTGAATCCAGGAGGCAGAGGTCGCAGTGAGCCAAGATGGTGCCACTCACTCCAGCCTGGGCGACAGAGCAAAACTTGGTCTCAAAAAAATAAAAACAAACAAACAAACAGCATTGTGTTACAATTGCCTTCAGTATTCAGTACAATAACATGCAGTACAAGTTTATAGCAATAGACTATAACTTATAGCCTAGGTATATAGTAGGCTATATGATCTAGCTTTGCGTAAATACACTTTCTGATGTTCACACAATGACAAAATTGCCTAATGAAGGAATTTCTCAGAACATATTCTCATCATTAAGTGACACGTGACTGTATTTAATTTACATGAGTGGGCCAGGCATGTTGGTTCATGCCTGTAATCCCAGCACTTTGGGAGGCCAGGGCAGGAGGATCACTTGAGACCAGGAGTTTAAGAGCAGCCTGGGCAACATGGCAAGACCCTGTCTCTACAAAACTAAAAATATTAGCCAGGAGTGGTGGCACATGCCTGTAGTCCCACCTACTCGGGAGGTTGAGGTGGGAGGATCACTTGAGTCCAGGAGGCAGAGGCTGCAGTGAGTGGTGATTGCGACGCTGCGCTCCAGCCTGGGTGACAGAGCGAGACCCTGTCTCAATAAATAAATACGTAAATAAATAATCTAGGCCAGGCACGGTGGCTCATGCATGTAATCCCAGCACTTTGGGAGGCTGAGGCGGGCGGATCACCTGAGGTCAGGAGTTTGAGACCAGCCTGACCAACATGGTGAAACCTCATCTCTACTAAAAATACAAAAATTATCCGGGTATGGTGGTGGGCGCCTGTAATGTCAGCTACTCAGGAGGCTGAGGCAGGGAGAATCGCTTGAACCTGGGAGGTGGAGGTTGCAGTGAGCTGAGACCACGTTATTGCACTCCAGCCTGGGCGACAGAGTGAGACTCAGTCTCAAACAAACAAAAAAAGTAATCTGATTTCTGCTTTTTAATCTTGTTAGAGGAGTCTCTAAGACTAGCTGTTATATCCCTTTCTGTCCTCTTTTCTTCTTGATCTTTCCATAGGTACCAATAAGACAGCTGTTTAGGCCGGGCACGGTGGCTCACGCCTGTCATCCCAGCACTTTGGGAGGCTGAGGCAGGCGGATCACGAGGTGAGGAGTTCAAGACCAGCCTGGCCAACATGGTAAAACCCTGTCTCTACTAAAAATACAAAAATTAGCTGGGCGTGGTAGCAGGCACCTGTAATCCCAGCTACTTGGGAGGCTGAGGCAGGAGAATCATTTGAACCCAGGAGGCGGAGGTTGCAGTGAGGCGAGATTAAGCCACTGCACTCCAGCCTGGGCGACAGGGCGAGACTCCGTCTCAAAAAAGAAAAAAAGAAAGCAAAGACCTTTGTTGCCACAGGCATTAAGGATAGTGTTTGTGTAAATGGTGTCTCATGACACTCACTGACCCGCTAATCTGTGACACCGGGCAAGCACTACTGGGATTGGACTTTCCTAGCATTGTCCAATTGAAGGTTGAGACAACAAAGCCCTACGGACTGGGACAGTTATTGGGACCAAACTCTCCTGAGAGCTGGCACGAGTGGACAAAGAGAATGCCGCTTGTCACTGCATCGTGGGCTTCCAGCCTATTTGACTGGCTGGCTGACACAGGCTGACACTTGCACCCTCAGCTGGCAGAGGCCAGAGTGTTCTCACTGATGGAAAAGCCAAGCTCTGAGGACATAAAACAAGACCCAAGGAGCACCTCATCTGGTTTTTGTCTTGGGGACCCACAGCAAAATTAGTCTGAACAGACATTGGTTTGCAGAGAACTGTGAACTCACCAGTCTTTGAGGCCTGTGTTCTTGCCCTATGATTCTCTTCTGTATGACACAACACAAAAGACACAGACATGGGAAAATAATGACCATCTCTGGGAGGGGAGGAATCAGAAAACAATAATACCTCCCCTCACCACCAAAAAAAAAAATAACCAAACAAAAAAACCAGAGTTATTATACAAGAACTAGTTCGCACACATTTTCTCCTGCTAATCCAAACTTAGAAAAGGGAAAAAGACAAAGAGACCCTTACCTATCTTGCTTCCGCTGGACTCTACAGGCAGAGATCTGGGGGGCTAATGTGGTAGGAAATCTTATCTGTGGCCAGTGTTTGGTCAGGCATGTCAGGAGCCTGCTGCTGAAGCAGTCCTAGAGTAAAAAGTGAAAGATGCCCCACGTTGGGCACCAGAAACTCGAAGGGAGTGAAAAATGGCTTCCCGCTACCCGTTTTTTTTGGAGACGGATTATTGCTCTGTCGCCCAGGCTGGAGTGCAGTGGCGCCATCTCAGTACACTGCAACCTCCGCCTCACAGGTTCAAGCGATTCTCCTGCCTCAGCCTCTTAAGTAGCTGGAATTACAGGCATGTGCCACCATGCTTTGCTAATTTTTGTATTTTTAATAGAGACGGGGTTTTACCATGTTAATCAGGCTGGTCTACTAACTCCTGACCTCGTGATCTGCCCGCCTTGGCCTCCCAAAATGCTAGGATTATAGGCATGAGCCGCTGCGCCCGGCCCCTCCTGCTATGCTTCTAAGTTCTTTGGCTGGCTTACACATTAAACCAATATAAGGCAGATTAACAGTAGCAAAAGGCCGAGCATGGTGACTCACACCTGTAATCCCAGCACTTTGGGAGGCCGAGGCAGGCAGATCATGAGGTCAGGAGCTTGAGACCAGCCTCATCAACATGGTGAAACCCCGTCTCTACTAAAAATAGAAAAATTAGCCTGGTGTGGTGGCACTTGCCTGTAATCCCAGCTACTCAGGAGGCTGAGGCAGGAGAATCGCTTGAACCCGGGAAGCGGAGGTTGCAGTGAGCCAAGATCGCATCATTGCACTCCAGCCTGGGCAACAGAGCAAGACTCTGTCTCAGAAACAAAACAAAAACAAACAAAAAGTAGCAAAAAATTGCTGGGCACGGTGGCTCATGCCTGTAATCCCAGCACTTTGGGAGGCTGAGGCGGGCGGATCACTTGAGGTCAGGAGTTTGAGACTAGCCTGGGCAAAATAGTGAAACCCCATCTCTACTAAAAATATAAAAATTGGCCAGGCGTGGTGGCATGGTGGGCACCTGTAATCCCAGCTACTTGGAAGGCTGAGGCAGGAGAATTGCTTGAACCTGGGAGGCAGAGGTTGCAGTGAGCCGAGATCGCACCACTGCACTCCAGCCTGGGCAACAGAGTGAGACTCCATCTCGAGAAAAAAAAAAAAAATTACATACTTAGACGTGAGAGTCCCACAAAATATGAGATTTAAAGAAGTGTCAGAGGATTGAAGCTTATCATATAGCATCCTGACCTGCAGAAAAGAAGAGGGGCTTGGGGCTTTTGGGAGGTGGTGGTGACATAAGTTATGGGAGGGTGCAGGGAGGAGGTGTATGGTGAATAAAAGTTGTTATGCAGATTGTCTATTAGTTAAGAAAAGTTTTCCCGGAAGAATAGGTGACAGTCTGGGCATCACGTCAACCTCCGGTCTCCTCTCCTGTGATCTGAGCTCATCTTCTCTGATTGAGAAGATTCCTGGGGAGGGGATTCATGACAATGGAGTTCCTTTTGGAGGATCCGTGTGCAGACAGGTAAGGGAAGGTCAGAGAAAGTCCCTGCACTTACTGTTCCCCTGAGTTCCCTCTGTTTGAAGTAATCAGCATATCAAATGGGCATATATTGGGGTGGTGTGTCCTGAACTCTTTCACAGGCATTCTTCCATGGGCTGGGAATACAGCGGTACCCAGTAGTCCTTGTCCTCATGAGCAAATGTATATTCTGGCTTGGGGGAGGACACAAAATAAACAACAAAAATATTTTAGTGTTAAGTCCTAGGTAGAGGATTCAAATATGCTTACAAACATAGTGACAGCATGGCCCTTTTAGACTCGGAGTGCACAAGGAGGTGAGATTTGGGTTTTTTGTTTGTTTCTTTCTTTTTTGAGACGGAGTCTTGCTCTGTTGCCCAGGCTGGAATGCAGTGGCACCATTTCAGCTCAGTGCAACCTCTGCCTCCCGGGTTGAAGCGATTCTCCCACTTCAGCCTCCCAAGTAGCTGGGATTACAGGCAGCCACCATTATGCCTAGCTAATTTTTGTATTTTTTTTTGTAGAGACAGGATTTCACCATGTTGGCCGGGCTGGTCTGGAACTCCTGACCTCAGGTGACCCAGCTGCCTCGGCCTCCCAAAGTGCTGGGATTATGGGCATGAGCCACTGCACCCGGAGGTGAGATTTGAACAGAGTTGTGAAAGAAAAGAAAGAAGGAGCCAGTCATGCCAAGATCAGGATCAAGGACATGAAGAGTCCAGCCAGAGGAGACAGCAAGTTCCCAAATGCTTGTCTTTTTGTAGGGGCAGAGAGGAGGTATGTGTGTCTGGAACATGGGCCAGGGACAAGAGTAGTTTGTGATGAAGTTAGAGAAACAGGCAGGGACAGATCATATACAGCCATGAAGGCCACGGTGAGGCCTTTGGTTTATATTCCACATGGGATTGGAAGCCATCTATGTGTTGGAAGCAGATTGATAAAGGTGTTTGATCTTATTGAGAGGAGAAAAGTCTGGGTGTGGTGGCTCATGCCTGTAATTCCAGCACTTTGGGAGGCTGAGGCAGGAGGACTGCTTGAGGCCAGGAGTTCAAGACCAGCCTGGGCAACATGGTGAGACCCCCCCCATCTCTAAAAAATTTAAAAATTAGCTGGGCAGGCCGGGTGCAGTGGCCCACGCCTGTAATCCCAGGACTTTGGGAAGCCGAGGCGGGTGGATCACCTGAGTTCAGGAGTTCAAGACCAGCCTGACCAACATGGAGAAACCCCATCTCCACTAAAAATACAAAATTAGCCGGGCATGGTGGCACATGCCTGTAATCCCAGCTACTCGGGAGGCTGAGGCAAGAGAATCGCTTGAACTCAGGTGGTGGAGGTGGAGGATGCAGTGAGCCGAGATCACACCATTGCACTCCAGCCTGGGCAACAAAAGCGAAACTCCATCTCAAAAAAAAAAAAAAAAAAATTAGCTGGGCGTAGTGGTGTGCGCTTGTGGTCCCAACTACTCTGGAGTCTGAGGTGGGAGGATTGCTTGAGCCCAGGAGGTCAAGGCTGCAGTGAGTGTGTTCACACCACTGCATTCCAGCCTGGAAGACAGAGTGAGACTCTGTCTCAAAATAGTAGTAAAATAATAAATAAAAAAGAGGCTGGGCTTGGTGGCTCATGTCTGTAATCCTAGTACTTTGGGAGGCCGAAGCGGGTGGATCACCTGAGACCAGGAGTTCAAAACCAGCCTGGACAACATGGCAAAACCCCACCTCTACTAAAAATACAAAAATTAGCTTGGGGTGGTGGTGGGCGCCTGCAATCCCAGCCACTTGGGAGGCTGAGGAAGGAGAATCACTTGAACCCTGGAGGTGGAGGTTGCAGTGAGCTGAGATCGCACCACCGCAGTCCAGCCT
Organism: Homo sapiens; assembly: GCF_000001405.40. Taxonomy (NCBI): domain Eukaryota; kingdom Metazoa; phylum Chordata; class Mammalia; order Primates; family Hominidae; genus Homo; species Homo sapiens. The sequence goes on along the minus strand of NC_000019.10, from coordinate 40,290,923 downwards.
GCGCGACGGGAGTGAGACTCCATCTCAAAAAAAAAAAAAAAAAAAGTAAAAGAAAAAGAAAAGAAAGAAAGAAAAAAGAGCAGAGAAAGCTTCATCCCAAGGTCTACACAAAGTATACTAGCCTAGCATGACCACTTAAATATTTGTTGTTTTGTTTGAGTAGTTGGGACCATGGGTGTGTGCGACTGCACCCGACTAATTTTTTTTTTTTTTTTGTATTTTTTGGTAGAGAAGGGGTTTTGTCATGTTATCCAGGCTGGTCTTGAAGTTTTAAGTTTGAGTGATCTCCTTGTCTTGGCCTCCCAAAGTGCTGGGATTACAGGCTTGAGATGCTGCACCTGGACTTAAACGTTTCGAGAATCTCCGATATATTAGAAAATTGAATGTGCACTGTGTCTTCCATTACAATTTTTGAAAAAGAAACAAATTTTAAAAAAGGAAATTGGAACCAACATTTGCGGAATCCCTGATGCTTATATGTACTTCTGCCAAATATATTAATAACATTACTCTGAAAGGATCTTCCCAACACGGTAGTATCTGGGGGAGGCAGTGGGGAGTGGGCTTTGTAGATTCTGGCTCGGGAATCAAATACATGATTTTGGCATTTCTTTATAATGTGGGAAACTCTTTTAAATATTTTATTTATTTATTTATTTATTTATTTATTTATTTTTTGAGCTAGAGTCTCGCTCTGTCACCCAGGCTGGAGTGCAGTGGCACAGTCTCGGCTCACTGCAACCTCTGCCTCCTGGGTTCAAGTGATTCTCATGCCTCCGCCTCCCAGTAGCTGGGATTACAGGTGCCTGCCACCTCCCGGGCTAATTTTTGTATTTTTAGTAGAGACGGGGTTTCGCCATGTTGGCCAGGCTGGTCTCTAACTCCTGGCCTCAAGTGATCCTCCTGCCTCGGCCTCCCAAAGTGCTGGGATTACAGGTGTGAGACACTGTGTCCAGCCTAATATTTTAAATAAAAAATAAAAATGGGGCCGGGTACGGTGGCTCACGCCTATAATCCCAGCACTTTGGGAGGCTGAGGTGGGCGGATCACGAGGTCAGGAGATTGAGACCATCCTGGCTAACATGGTGAAACCTTGTCTCTACTAAAAATACAAAAATCAGCCGGGCATGGTTGTGGGTGCCAGTAATCCCAGCTACTCGGGAGGCTGAGGCAGAAGAATCACTTGAACCCAGGAGGTGGAGGTTGCAGTGAGCCGAGATCGCACCACTGCACTCCAGCCTGGTGACTGAGAGAGACTCCATCTCAAAAAAAAAAATTATTTTGTGACTAGTCCCCACAGCTTGTCCAGTTGCCATCGATAAGGAGACTCCTCTGTGAGAAGCCTTGGAATGGACTCCTGGGCCTGATTTCTACTCCCTGGGCACAGAAGGGGGCTTTGAGGAGATGTCCTCTCCAACCCTTGGGGCAAGATCCCTCATCGTTTTCTTTTTTCTGAATCAAGAGACCTTTGAACAGCTTTCAATAAGTTACCGGCCCCCTCTACCCAGCAAAGTGCATGTGCAGTCCATACTTATAGTTATGGGGAGAGAGTTTATAGACTAGATTAAGATGGAAGAAAATGGGGTGAGGTTGTAGGGAATTTTCTTCTGGTTCACACTTTTTTTCTTTCTTTTTTTTTTTTTTTTGAGATAGAGTTTTGCTCTTGTTGACAAGGCTGGAGTGCAATGGTGCCACCTCCGCTCACTGCAACCTCCACCTCCCGGGTTCAAGGAATTCTCCTGCCTCAGTCTCCCAAGTGGCTGGGATTATAGGCGCCTGCCACCACGCCCGGCTAAATTTTTGTATTTTTAGTAGAAATGGGGTCTCACCATGTTGGCCAGGCTGTTCTCGAACTCCTGACCTCAGGTGATCCACCTGCCTCTGCCTCCCAAAGTGCTGGGATTACAGGTGTGAGCCACCATGCCCAGTCGCCTCGATCGATCACCCTTGATGCTGAAATGGAAAGGGTCTCGCTGTGTTGCCCTGCCACAAGATTCAAAGTGGCCCTCAAGTTTCACCCTTGATGCTGAAAATAGAGAAAGAGTCTCGCTATGTTGCCCAGGATGGCCTTTGAGGCCCCCCAAAGATAACTAAGCCATTTGCAGAAGTAACATAGGGCACAAAAGTAGGGCCAATACTTTTCCATTTTCTAGCATGAGTTGAGTTAAGAGCACAGGCTCTGGTATCAAACTGTCTGGGTTCAAATACTGTCTTTGTCCTTAACTTGTCCTGGGAACTCAAGCAAGGCCCTTAATGTGCTGTTACATTTAACCTCCAGGGTTACTGTGTAGATAGCAACAGGATAGCATCAGTGGGAGTGTGTTTACACAGAACTTGGCCTGTAACAATTGCTAAATAAATTATATTATTACTGTCTTAATAGAATAAAGAAAGGCAAGCTCAGAGAAGTGAAGTGACTTTGACAAGGACACAGAAAAGATACGATTAGAACCTGGGCCTACTCATCATCAATGCTAAAAAGTGTTGTTTACCTCCTAGACTAATGTTTTACAAACTACAAGGCACAACCAGAAAATCAGTTCAGCAGGGTTGCGGAATTGAAATAAATAGTATATTAAGGGCTGGGCGTGGTGGCTCATGTCTGTAATCCCAGCACTTTGAGAGGCCAAGGTGGGCAGATCACCTGAGGTCAGGAGTTCGAGACCAGCCTGACCAACATGGAGAAACACCATCTCTACTAAAAATACAAAATTAGCCAGGCGTGGTGGTGCATGCCTGTAATACCAGCTACTTGGGAGGCTGAGGCAGGAGAATCGCTTGAACCCAGGAGGCGGAGGTTGTGGTGAGCCGAGATCGTGCTATTGTACTCCAGCCTGGGCAACAAGAACAAAACTCAGACTCAAAAATAAATAAATAAATAAAAATACAAAAATTAGCCAGGTGTGGTGGTGCACGCCTGTAATCCCTCTACTCAGGAGGCTGAGGCAGGAGAATCACTTGAACCTAGGAGGCGGAGGTTTCAGTGAGCCGAGATGGCGGATGGCACCACTGCACTCCAGCCTGGGAGACAGAGTGAGACTGTGTCAAAAAAAAAAAAAAAAAAAAAGAATATTAGGCCAAGTGCGGTGGCTCACATCTCTAATCCCAGTTCTTTGGGAGGCTAAGGTGGGTGGATCGCCTCAGCTCAGGAGTCTGAGACCAGTCTGGGCAACATGGCGAAACTCCGTCTCTACCAAAAATACAAAAAAATTAGCTGGGCATAGTGGCGCACATCTGTGGTCCCAGTACTTGGGAGGCCGAAGTGGGAGGATCGCTTGAGCATGGGAGGTGTCGGTTGCAGTGAACTGAGATTGTGCCACTGCATTTCAACCTCGGTGACGGAGGGGGTGAAACCCTGTCTCAAAAAAACAATAAAAAACCAAAACCAGAAAGAGCCGGGTGCAGTGGCTCACACCTGTTATCCCGGCACTTTGGGAGGCCAAGGCAGGTGGATCACGAGGTCAAGAGATGGAGACTATCCTGGCCAACATGGTGAAACCCCCTCTCTACTAAAAATACAAAAAAATTAGCTGGGCGTGTTGGCGCGTGCCTGTAATCCCAGCTACTCAGGAGGCCGAGGCAGGAGAATCGCTTGAACCTGGGAGGCAGAGGGCAGAGGTTGCAGTGAGCCAAGATCTCGCCACTGCACTCCAGCCTGGCGATGCAGTGAGTCTCAAAAAAAAAAAAAAAAAAAAAGAGAAAGCCACTGCCCTTGACTACCAGTGCTGCAAGGAGTTTATACACAAGCACATGGGTGGTTTCAGTGAGATCTCAGTGTGTCATAATTAAGTGCCCTAGGAGGGGCTAGGATTCAAGTTGGCCCAGGGGAGACTTAGACGTAGGGGAATGGCCTGTGAGCTGTTCAGTGTGGACAGGAGTGAAGAGGGTTGGTCACAGTAACCTTGAGTCTAGATTAGGGCAGAAGGGCTAATGCTTGAAACAAACATTCTGCAAGAGCCCACTCTGGGCAATGTTGGATACACACTGATCTCTGAGACAGTCTTGGTCTCTTCCTTTACTGTGTTTCCTGTGCAGTGGGGGAAACAGACCTGTCACCAGACAGTAATAGATGAAAATGGTTAGGGCTGTGAAGGGGGAGGCATTGGTCAGAGTTATTAACACCGACTGATGGGGAAGACCGGGAATTAGGAATACCAAGCAGCAAGTTCCAAGCTAGAAACCAAATAAGAAAGGGCTAGTTCCAGCATTAGGTTTACGTCTCAGAAAACGAAAGCCGAACCCTCAGCAGGATTTGCCTGAAACACTCTCACAGACTGAGGTGGACCCAGGATTCAACTCTCAGTCAGGCATTTTTCTCACTTACCAATGCATACAATTGCCAAGTTATATGGCATACTGGAACCCAAATTCAGGAGGCAGCACAATCCCCTATGAGAGAGGAGGGGCTGGGAGCCAGATGTCTCACAGCTGTCCAGTATACTAGCTAATATACGGATTAGGATCTGTGCAAAGCTCTTTTCTTGCAGGGTCATTTTTTTTCTTTTTTCTTTCTTTTCTTTTTTTTTTTTTTTTTTGAGACGGAGACTTGCACTGTCGCCCGGGCCGGAGTGCAATGGCATGATCTCGGCTCACTGAAACCTCTGCCTCCCGGGTTCACGCGATTCTCCTGCCTCAAGCCTCCCAAGTAGTTGGGATTACAGGCACACACCGACATGCCCGGCTTTTTTTTTTTTTTTTGTATTTTGAGTAGAGACGGGGTTTCACTATGTTGGCCAGGCTGTCTCGAACTCCTGACCTCATGATCCGTCTGCCTTGGCCTCCCCAAGTGCTAGGATTACAGGAGTGAGCCACCGCGCCCGGCCGCAGGGTGATTTTAAGGCCTTTATGGGCCCAAGTTGCATTATAAAATGTTATATCCCAGATTCACTGGAATATGTACGATGAGAGCAGGTGGCATTAATATCTTGCAGTAATGAACTAATTGGTAAAAACCGTTTTGTTTACATTAAAATGGTTCAAAAGCCAGCGACACAGCGATGATTGTTTCCATTTAGCAGATGTGGATACTGAGGCACAGAAAACGGTCAAGCCTTCTGCCCACAGTCACCAGAAAGGAGGAAATTCAAGTCTGGGGTTGTGTGGCTTCAGAGCCTGAGCTCAACCATGACGAGCACACTGAAAAGGAAACCCCTCCTAACTAACTCCCGCTCCGGGGTCCTTTAAGAGCGTCAGAACCCAGAACTGAGTAAAACAAGATCAAAGCGTATGTAAATACGGACTAGGGGCTGCCGGGAAATAATCACTACGGCTAGGCCCTAGGGAAAGCAGACGTCGGAGTCCTAGTGCGCCTGCGTAGCCCCATCTCGCCTTTCCGCCCCACGGCCTAGCGAGGCCCATCTCTAACCCACACAGGCCCAAAGTTGTCTAATGTGCGCAGGCGCCCTGCTGTGAGCCCGCCTCCTTCTCTGCCCTGCTCTTGCGCTCTCGCTCTCTCAGAGTTCGTCTCTGGCTCTTTGTACGTCACTTCCTGTTTGTGGCGCGAGAGGGCGGTATTTCCGTCCAGAGGGTGGGAGGGGGCGGTAAGCGGGGGCTGGGGGGAGGGGGCGGGGGGGGCCGCGCCGTGCTAGCCGTTGGGCCTGCCTCGGAGGAGGCGTCGCCGCCGCCGCTGCCGCTGCCGGCGCCGTTGCCGCTGCCGGGAAACACAAGGAAAGGGAACCAGCGCAGCGTGGCGATGGGCGGGGGTAGAGCCCCGCCGGAGAGGCTGGGCGGCTGCCGGTGACAGGTGAGTGCGCCAGCGCGTGTCCCCGAACGCCCCCCCCACGATGGTCGCGTCCGGGCCCCCCGCGGTGCCGCGATGGGCTGTACCACCCGTGCCCGGCGGGGGGACCGCGGCCCTCGAGCCCCTCCTTCAGGAGCTGAGTGGGGGTGGCCGAGCGGGGGCGGTGGGACCAGCCTCGGGGGGCCGGGGCGGTGGCGGCGGGCCATACCACTGAGGCGGTGGGGGGAGCGCTGCAAGTTTGCGGGACGGGGAGCGCAGGCCGCAGCGTGCGCGGGCCGGGGGCTGGACCTTTCGGGCGCGGCGGGCAGATCGAGCCTGGCGTGCGCGGGCTAAGCTATCGAGGGGGCGCGCCGCATCAAGTGTAGAGGGCTGTACCTTTTTGGCGCTGTGGAAGCCGTTGCTGTGCTGTATTTACAGGGGTGGGGGCTTCTGGGGAGGATGCTTCCCCAACTGTGGCTGGGTTATATCACCACGGCGTTGGGGGAGCCCTGCTTAGAACGTAGGGGAACCCAAATCAGAGGACTGTGATGTTTGTGATCTTTAAGGGACTGGGACGGGGCGGGACAGGCCCTAGTGGGTTTTAGGGGCGTATTTTGGGAGGACTGTGATGCCGATTGGTGAGGAGGGGTTTCTGTTTCCTGTATTTGACGTGTGTGGCGTTGGGGGTTTACACTGATCTCAGCCTTTATTGAACTTCTTAACGACTCTGGAGGGAACGTCATGGTTACTGGGGTGCTTTGGACCATGGAGGTGCTGCTCTGGATTCCATTACCCTCTCAGATTATTTACCAGGCAGTAACAGTTCTTTCCTTCCATAGGGGAGGGAGGAAAGCTGTGTTAGAAGTCACTGAAGTTGTCTGAGCCTTAACATTCTGAAGAGGAAGAGGGATTGGGCTTGGATTTGAGGAGCCGTGCCCCTGCACCCGCTTGTTAAAACTTGGGAGGAAGGAGTGTTTGGGGGAACACCTCTTCCCCCCAGGGAAGCTCTCTGGGGGCATCTTGATCTTGGGATTGTGAGGACCTCTTCCTCTCATTTGGAGACCTCTTGGGGCTCAGCAAGACGCCTGGGCTGGAGTAACTAGAGCCTCCAATGGGCTGCTTTTCAACTTCATCCACTCCTACCTTCCCAGAGAAGCAGCAGGAGTTCACTCGTGGGCTGAACTTGGTTGGCAGTGGATGTGAAGGGTCCAGGAACCAACGCAGACCACTACATGCTCCTCTGTCGCTGGCCACGAAGCTGTTTGTGTCTCCCAGTTACCAGCTCGGTCACACATCATGTTTACACTCCCCACCAAGGCAGTAACAGTTGGCCTTGCAGTGAGGCCGGGAGCTGTTTTCCCAGCTGTTCCTCTTTGCATAGGCCAAGGGGACTTGGAGTGGGGGTGCCCCTGGCCCAGCCTGGCCCAGGGAGGAAGGCTGCTCTGAAGGGCTTGGGACAGTCAGATCCCCCATGGATCTGGTGTCTTATTGTGGTCTGTGGGCTGGTGCTGGGAGCAGCCAGCCCCAGAGGTCTGTGGCCAGTGTCCCTGCTCCCTAGGCCAGATCATGACCTTGGCTTGCCCTGTAGCCTTTGCTCTGGGTCTGGAGTTCCCAGAGGACTGGCTGCAGTCCCTGATTGACCCAGCAGACCTGGGCTGGTGATGTGGTCAGAGGGGGCAGATGGTTGCCCCTAGTCCGCAGCAGTGACTTCCAAGCTGACTGGCTTCCGTGGCTCGTGGTTCCTGGAGAGAAAGGTCCCACAGTCTGTGAGGCAGCGGCGACTCTGTAGAATCTTTCTCCACTAGGGGTTTGTTCCTCTGGTCCTCTCCTGCCAGCTTTTAGAGGGTTTGCCTGATGGGGCTAACAGTGGCAGTGAAAACAGTAATCATGAAATTGATGGCTGACAGTAACTGAGTGCATTCTGTGGGCCACACACTGTTTGGAATGCTTCATATAGATAAACTTGCTGAATACTTGAATTCTAGAGCGGTAGGCGCTGTTGTTATGCTCTCCCTTTTAGATGAGAAAACAGCATCTCAGAGAGGCAGATCATTTCCAGAGCTAGTGGATGCCCAGTGTTTATAGCATTCACCCCATGCCAGGCGTGTGACAGGGCTTTTGTACATGTGATCTCACTTAAGTCTCAAAACATACCTGTGGTTAGGCCTATTTTATGGAGAGCTACGAGCTAGTTAGAAGTGTGATACCATTTTACAGATGAGGAATCATTTCACTCACTGTGAAGTGCAAAGATTTCCCAGAGGTCTCATAGCTGAAGTGGGAGAGGTGTGATGTGAGCCCTTGGCCAACCTTGGCCTCAGATCGTCTTGTCAAGGAGAAACTGGAGGAGTGGCTTTTGTCTGTGAGCATATACTCTGCCCAGCCCTGTGCTTTGGGCTTTATATGGTATTTGTGTCCTTTTTTGCAGAGTCCGAAATTGAAGTTCAGAGGAAGAATTGCCTTCCACCGCATCTTATCAGACCCTATGGGTGCCAGGGTAGGATTTGAACCCAGGTCACTGAGCCCCTAGTGCCATGCATTCCTTGCTCACCAGGTTCCAGGCTGGGTGAAAGGAAGGAAAGACATAGGATAGAGTCACCTCTGTCCTCTGTCCTCTACCTATAGAGGTGACTGTCCTATGTCTTTCCTTCCTCTTACCCCTGAGCCTCAGGCTGCCCTGAGCATCTCTGCCTACAGCCAGTCCAGCATTTCTTGGTCCCTCCTCAGAGTGGAGGCAAGGCATCCTTTAACCCTGGGCAGGTGTGTGCTGGGAGAAGAAGACAGCAAGAGAGCCATGCAGGGGGTGACACAGCTACCAGGGACCTGCGTTAGCTAGCAGCAGGACGGTGAAGTCGGTTCTAGCTCTGCGACCTTGGACCACACTGTTCACTCCCATACAGTGGTCTCAGAAGGACGTCCACCTTGGGCTGTTGTGAGGATTAAATGAATTAATCCACGAGAAGCTCCTAGAATGGTGCCTGGTACTGTGTAAGTCTTGGTTGGCAGTCATGATTATGTTATGGAACGGAGGCATCCAGCCTCCCCCACCCCCTACTTTTGGTCCCCTCGAGCATTCCGGGATCCAGCTCCCCAGCCTGGCCCAGCTAGGATCCAGAACTTCAATGTTCTGGTTTCCAGCCTCTGTAAAGAGGTGTATGGAAGCGAGTGAGAGCACAGGGTTCAAATCCAGCCGTGCCACTCCATGGCTGTGTGACCTTGAGCAGGCTCCCCAACCCTTGTGAGCTCATTTCATCATCGGTGCCATGGGGATGATGATAATTCCCACCTGATAGGATTATTGTGAAGGCTGAGTGGATTAATTTGTGGGAAGCATTCATAACTGTTCTGGCATACAATAAGCCTACCGGAAATGTCTCCTCACTAAGAACAGTGCCCGACACATGGTGAGCTGTTGGTCTGTCTTAGCAATTGTAATTCTTAGTATTTCTGCCGGGACTTTGAAGGCCTTTGCCAGTTCACAGAACCGTGTCAGAGAGCACTAGGAGGAGATCAGGGCTGAAATTAGCATCTCAGTTTTACAGATGCAGAAACAGAGGTCGGGGGAGACATGCAATCAAGTCAGAACTGACAAGGGCAGCTCCCGGGCCCACTCCTCTTCCACGCAGTGGCTTTGCAGCCCTGAGCGCCTCCAAGGTAGACACACTGGAGTCTTTTCAGAGGTCAGGCTCTGTGCTTGTTTTTTTTTTTCTTTTGAGACAGGGCCTCCCTCTGTCACCCAGGCTGGAGTGCAGTGGTGTGATCACAGCTCACTGCAGGCTTGACCTCCTAGGCTTTAGTGATCCTTCCACCTCATCCTCTTGAGTAGCTGGGACTACAGGTGCATGCCACCATGCCTAGCTAATTTTTAAATTTTTTGTGGAAACGGGAGTCTCGCTATGTTGCTCAGGCTAGTCTTGAACTCCTGGGCTCAAGTGATCCTCCTGCCTCAGTCTCCTGAGTAGCTGGGACCGTAGGTGCATGCCACTGCCCCTGGTTCCCAGCCCACCACAGCTCACAGCTCTGGGAGTGGCAGGAAGGCTGGGCCTGGGCAGGGGGAGCAGCAGAAGTGCCTGCAGGGGTTGGCAGGGGCTGTGCTGCACTGGCCTGTGGGCCTGGGTGAGAGGTGAGGATGGATCCTAAGGGTATTGTGGAGCCGAGGAAAAGGTTTCACTCATCCGCCACCATTTACTGAACACCTCGTATGTGCCAGCGTTGCATCAGTACTGGGAATACAGCAGTGTACTTGCCAAAGTCCCTATCCTTGTGGGGCTAAGCAAGACCAACCCGAAACAGGTTAATAAGCAAGGAGCCGGTTAGAGGGGGAGGAGCTAGGCAGCGAATTCAAATCAGGTGACAGACTGGGCACTTCTTTAGATGCATGCGGCTGTGGGGAGGGCCTCTGAGCTGATCCCAGTTTGGCAAGGTGAGGCAGTCATGTGGGATGGGAGGAGAAGGAACAGCCCTCCAGGTGGAGGGAACCACAGTGCAAAGGTCTGAAGGGAGGACAGAGCTTGGTGAGGTGCAGGGACAAGCCTCACGGAGGCCTGTGTGGCTTGGCAGAGCGAGGGAGCAGGGAGGAGATGAGTCCTGGGGCTGCGGGGCAGGCAGGGCCCTTTCACTGGGAGCCTTGTGGACTGTCTGTGAAGGAGTTTGGAATTTCAGCAGGAACAGCCTGGTCAGATTCAGGGTGTTAGCAGGTGACCCAGGAGCCGGTCACAGGCTCCTGCCTGGGGGCGTGGGTAGATTTGACTGAGCGGAGCAGGGCGTTTCACAGGCCTCCCACTTCCCCTCCAGTAGCATCACTGCCTTACAGCCAGCAAAGGCCTGAGGGTTGCCTCCCTCCTGTGGTTTTCACACCGTGTTCTCCAGAGCCCGTGGCTGTTACTTTTAGGGAAAGAGGAGGGGAGGCTCATTGGGCTGATTTCTCTGCCCATTCCTCCCCAACCCAACCAGCCGGACTAATACTGAATAGCAACGCAGGGCAGCAGTCACACCTGATACAGACAGCACCCGCTGACCCTGCGTCCACGCTGCCGTGGGCCTGTAGGCCTGCGCCATTCCCAGTGCTCCTCTGGAATTGGAAAGACCAGGGCTTGTGACTGGCGCCCAGCACCCAGGTCTCTGGTTGGGCTCAGGTGTGGTTGATATTACGAAGGCAAAATAAATGAGGGCCAGGTTGAGAGTGTGGGCATGTTTCTCCACTATAGCTGGGTGATCAGGGAGGACCTCCCTGAGGAGGTGACGTGTGGGTAGGGACTGGAGTGCTGTGAGGGAGCCATGGGAGGATCTGGGTGAAGACCCATTAGACCCAGGAGGAATCTTCTCTGATTCCCGCTTTACAAGTGGTGAGAACTGAAGCCTGGAGAGCCTCTGTAGCTTGTGCTGAGTCCCCCAACCAGGAAGTGTTGGGGACAGGCTATGAATCTGGGCTTCCAGAGATTCCCCCACCACAGCTCAGTAGCCCCTGGTGAGTGTGACTTCTGATCCCACCCATGGGCTCACCCCTAAGGCTTGGTGCGGGAGCAGGCGCTCTGGCTTTTTTTTTTTTTTTTGAGGTGTGTTCCAGGGTATCTTCCTAGAAGGAGCAGAACCCCTCAGAACAAACCACTAGGGTCTCCAGAAGGCCCCCGGGATGGGTTGGGATGGAAAGGAGTGTCTTTCAGACTTGAGCTCCAAGCCCCTGGAGGACCCAGGGTCACCCCTCCCCGGGCCTCTCTTCAGCTTCCCAGAGCTCTCAGCGGAAGGCCCTCAACCACAGGCCTCCGGGCCGCACGGTGGGGTGGTTCCATGGCAGGCTCTTCTGGACAGCCAGCCAAGCAGCGAGAGGCCCAGCTGGGGGAGACAGCCTGGGAGCAGGACCAGGAGGGAGGGAGTGAGTGTGGGAGGGGCGCTGGGTGGGAGCTCAGCCTGGCCCCCTTGGGGCAGGACCCACTGCCAACTCGGCACCCACAGCAGGGCCCAGGTGCTCTGACTGTGCCGAGCGAGGGACAGCAAGCCGGGTCGGCCAAGAGGAGACTGCATGTCAGAGGTCCCAGCAGGAGTTTCTTCAGCCCAGCCGTCCTGCTGGAGAAGCTCGTTCGCAGATGTTGTTTCTAAGGGTGAGGCCAGAAACCCAAGTCTTCCTCGGTTTGCCACTTTGTGGGCCCTTTCCGAATGGGCTGGGGCAGTTGCCGCTCCCCGGTTCTCTTCTCCAGCCTGGCTTCAAGTTCTTCATGGTCTGGTGGGTTTTTGGTGTACACTTACCCAGCTGGGGCTGCTGAGTGACCTGGTCCCGGGGGTAGCTGACGTGGGTGAGAACCCTGCTCTTGGCACCCCTCTCGGTGGCTGTGGAGCTCTGGGGCCTTATTTCTTCTCCCTAAGGTGCATTTTGCTCAGCTGTAAACGGGAACCTTCCTGCTGAGTGGGGCGGTGGGGAGGATGCACGGAGCTGCTGCGTTGGAAAGCACAGGCCTCCTGAGGAGGCGGCGGGATGAATTTGGGCTGATGCTACTCCTGGTGATTGCCAGACAGGACTGAGGGCACCTGAGAGCACAGAAGGGGCTCTGCAGGGCAGTGGGCACAGGCTCGTTGTTGGTCCTTGGGAGAGAGTGGTAGGGCCTGTTAGCTGATGGGAGGGCTCCAGACAGGAATGTGAATCACTCCCACCACTGTACTCCTGCCCAACCAGACGCTGCATATTAGCTCTACAAACCTGCACAGCAGCCTGGGAGGTGGGCAGTGTTAGCACTCCCATCTCGTAGATAGGAAACTGAGGCCCAGGAAGCCACATAGAATATTGGGGTCATTCTCGTGAGTAGTTCGCCTCTCAGTGCTGGGCACTGCTGCAGAGCTTAAGGTGTCTGCTCTCACTCATCCTCACCACAGCCTGGCAGCTCGCTGTCCCGATCGTCCCCGTTGTACAGGGGAGGAAACGGGCATAGAGAGGTTATTGGATTTGCTGGAAGTCAGTAATAGGCATGATGGTTGAACCCTGCTCTGTCGGCGAAGCTGCCTTTTGAAGACAGCCTCATCTTCTTGCCCTGCCTGCTATGACTGGAGTTGTCACTGTTGTCATCATGATTTCTTTTCTGCTTTCTCTTCTCCTAGACAGAGCTGGCACAAAGTAGGCCTCAGTAATCCAGAAATGACTCCATTCCATGCCTGCTTGGGATGTGGGGTGTGGCTGCTTCTCTCCACCCCCAATACCATGACCTTGGCCCCTCCCAAGGGGGGCCCAGGGGGAAGAGATGAGGATGGGAGGCACCCCCTCCCCACTGCCCTAGGGGCCTGATTGCTGAACAGCCTCAGGAGCCAGCCTTTGGCTGTTCTTGGTCATTTGTGTGTTCCATCTGTCTCCAAATATTGATTGAATCACTTCTATGTGCCACGTGTAGTTCTGGATGCGATCGGAGGTGGCAGAGAGGTTGCATTGGCCTGTGAGTGCTTGGTGTGGCTGAAGGAGGGAACAGAGATCTAGCTGGACTGGGTGGGAGAGGGGCTTGGGAAGGCTGCTGAGGAGCCCCTGTGATGTGAGAGCCCGAGGAAGTGGGCTGGACGGGGTGCAGCCAGGTAAAGGCCGCAAGGAAGGCGATATCTGGATGTGCTGGTGGAACAGCAGGCCCATGTAGCTGGAGCCGGGGGAGTGGGTGAGGGGGAGAGAGCAGGGTGGCAGGGCTCAGGGCCTGGGCTATGATGGGGATCCAGGGCTTTATCCCCAAAGAGAAGGGACACAGGTGGGTGGGGAGGGACCTGTGTGGGAGAGAGCTGGCTGGATTCAGGTGGCAGCCAGGGATGGAGAAAGCAGACCATATTCTGCTTTGGAGACAGGGCGCCCTAGAGCCCAGCTTCTCAAACTGGTGTCCGAAGGCCTTGGCGGGTGGGAGGAGGTGTCTGCAGGGCATTGACTCTTTTTAGCTGTGTGTTTTCATTTAGATGATATTTTCAAAAAGTTAGTAGGGGCATGTTGGAAATTATTGGGATGATTCCTTTAGAACCAAGTAGTGACAGCAGTAACATTAGCTGCCACTGCATGGCTCTGACAGGCTCAGGACGGCCCCTGATGTCAGAGTCCTTTATGTAATTGCCACCTATTTTTCAAGCACTGGCCCTGTCCCCAGCTGTGTGTGAAGCCATCTCATTGGGTCCCCAGGACAACCCATGGTTATCAGAAAAATCATCTTTTTAAATTTTTCATTATTTTTTTGAGACAGGGTCTGGCTCTGTCACCCAGGCTGGAATGCAGTGGCACCATCATGGCTGATTGCAGCCTTGACCTCACTGGCTCAAGTGGTCCTCCCACCTCAGCCTTCTGAGTAGCTGGGACTACAGGCATGCACCATCATACCTGGCTAATTTTTTTAAAACAATTTTCAGTAGAGATGGGAGTCTCCCTATTTTGCTCAGGCTGATCTTGAACTTTTGGGCTCCAGTGATCCACATCCCTCAGCCTCCCAAAGTGCTGGGATTACAGGCGTGAATCACTGCACCTGGCCTGCAAAAATTATCTTTTGAGATAACATAAACATGTGCTTGGGCAGATTGGTGTTAAGATTCCATTCTACAGGCTGGGCACGGTGGTTCACACCTGTAATCCCAGCACTTTGGGAGGCCGAGGAGGGTGGATCACGAGGTCAGGAGTTCAGTACCAGCCTGGCCAAGATGGTGAAACCCTGTCTGTACTAAAAATACAAAAATTAGCCAGGTGTGGTGGTGGGTGCCTATAATCCTAGCTATTCGGGAGGTTGAGACAGGAGAATTGCTTGAACCTGGGAAGCAGAGGTTGCAGTGAGCCAAGATCGCACTACTGCACTCCAGCCTGGCGACAGAGTGAGACTCTGTCTCAAAAAAAAAAAAAAAAAAAAAAAAAAAAAAAAAAAAAAAGATTCCATTTTACAGATGCGGAAGCTGAGGTTCAGAGAAGTGACCTGTGTAGCCTGGAAGTGGTAGAGTCAGGATTTGAGTTGACTAGAGGTGTGAGTTTGGGCCTGAGTCCTGCTCCAATTCCCCAGGTAAGCTGCGTTGGGGTGCGGGAGAGATGGGGTATAGCATGGGAGCTTCCAGCCGCACTGGGATGATCTGGCTCCTCTTGGGCCTGTGAGAGTCACATCCCTGCCTCCTGCCTTTAAGCTCCCGGTGCTTAATTAGCAGGAATTCTATAGAATTGCACTCCAGAATGGTAGCTACTAGCCATGTATGGACTTTTTTTTTTTTTTTTGAGACGGAGTCTTGCTCTGTCACCCAGGCTGGAGTGCAGTGGTGTGATCTTGTCTCACTACAACCGCCGCCTCCCGGGTTCAAGCGATTCTCTGCCTCAGCCTCCCGAGTAGCTGGGATTACAGGCGCCTACCACCACGCCTGGCTAATTTTTGTATTTTTAGTAGAGACAGGGTTTCACCATCTTGGCCAGGCTGGTCTTGAACTCCTGACCTTGTGATCGCCCCCCGCCCACCCCCCCCCCCCCCAGCCTCCCAAAGTGCTGGGATTACAGGCGTGAGTCATCGTGCCCGGACTCACATATGGCTTTTTAAGTTTTAATTAATTACAATTAAAGAAAAGTAAAAAGTCAGTTCTTTAGTTGCACTAGCCATCATTCAAACATTTAGTAACCACATTTCTGTCGTTATGGAAAGGTCTGTGGGCTAGTTCTGCTCTGGTTGCGGTCCCTCTCCTGCACCTACTCGCTGTGACTGTGTGCATGTGGCTCTCTCCCTGGGCCTCAGTTTTCCCATGTGAGGAACGGGGATAGTAACACAGGCTGGCTGTGAAGATGAACATTAATCCATGCCTGGTGCTTTGTGAGTGCTCACTGAGTATTAGCCTTGATGCAGACCCACTGGTTTCTCCTTTTGCCACTGGGCCCTGCCCTGGAGCTCCCAGGGAGGTGGTGGCGATGCAGAGCGACGTGGGTCAGGGATTCCCCATGCAGTCCAACTGGAGGGCTCCCGTGCATGCGTGCACATCAGGGGCGGTAAGGAAGGGCTGGCCGGGGTGTGGGAGGAGGCGACACAAGATGGGAGGTGGCCCTGTCTCTTGGGAGCAAAGGCAGAAGGAGGTGGAGGCAGCTCAGGGCTCGGAGGAGAGGGGTCCGGGCTCCTTGGCTGTGTCCCTGCTGTCTCTCGCTGTGGGTATTCACCGAATCTCTCCCATCCTCGGTTTTCACATCTGCTGCATGCAGGTCCTCATGGTTCTCAAGTGAGGCAGGTGGTGAGCCCATCAGGCCAGTGCCCAGGGCTTATTCTGGGGACAGCTCCTGGAGAGGAAGGGCTGCCTCCCTAAGGACTCCTGCCCTGCCCTGGGTGCAAGGGGTTCCACCTGCTGCCCCTCCCCCACTCCCCAGCTCGCCTCAGGCGGATAGTTCCCCTCTCACTCCAAATAAGAGCCACAATGCTGACAGTGGCCCCCAAGGCCCTGCCCAGCGGTCCCCAGCTTCCTCTAGCTACATCTCCCGGCCCTCCCCTTCACCCACTCCTGTAGGCGCCTCGAACGCGCCTCAGCCCTGCTCCTCCCCTGCCTGCAGCGTTCCTCCCCAGGTCTCCCCCGGCTCTCTCACCTGCTTCCGGTTTTGCTCAGACTGCGCTGCCTCAGTGCGCCCTTCTGTCACCATCCTGTGTATAGTCGGAAACCCCTGCTCCCTTTCCCTGCACTGAATCTTCCGTGTGCTCCTTTTCTCCATGGCATTTGTTAGCTTTGGCTATCCTGTCTAATTTGCGTATGTATTTATTTTTTATTTTGCTGCCTGTTCCCTCATTCCCCCAACTCCCCAATGGCAGGGAGTTCTGTTTTGGTCACTGCTGAATCCCTGGTGACCCGAGCAGTGATGATGCAGAGTTGTTGTGATATTTGTGGAATGAATGAATGCAGGATTTTTTGTTTTACCTTCACTTGGCACAAATGCTGTGGTTCTGTTCACCACTCCCCCCTGAAGTAATGAAAGTTATGGGCCCATCCCTGTGCTGAGTGGAGCTGGGGACACAGTGGGGGCTAGGACAGACTGTATCCCTGCCTTGTGGAACCCACAGTCCAGTGGGAGAGGCGACATTACCCACATAGTCATGCAGGTGACAGAGGCAAGTGCTGTGAGGGGAAGGGAAGGCTGAGCTCTGAGAGTCCGCTGCTCGTGGGAGAGGGGTGGTCAGGGAAGGCCTCCGTGAAGAAGATGGGTGAACAGAGTGCCAGGCAAGGGGTACAGCATGTGCAAAGGTCTTGGGGTGTGAGAGCAGGGAGTCTTCATGGGGCCAGGAGAAGGGGAGATTGTGTGTTGGAGCGAGCAGACCAGTGAGGCTGGAGAGCAGGCGGGGCCAAGGCAGATGGCCCCTGGCAGCCTCCATAGGGGCCTTGGACGTGATCCATGGGCACTAGGGAGAGGTCCTGAGCAGGGGAGGGACAGGGTCAGAACTGCGTGGAGGATCCCGCTGGTTGCAGCATGGAGCCCTCAGAGTGTATGGAGCCCGTGGCCAAGCAGACTAGAATATTTGACATGATTTCTGTGGGTGCTGTAAGGCCCTGGGTGGCGTGAGGGGGAAGGTGTGTGTGTGGGGTGGCAGGGAGGAGAAGGAATCTGCTCTGTGCTTATTCTTGTCCCCGTTTCTTTTGCAGCCTGCCCACGGCTTCAACCTGCCTCCAGCCCCACCTGCTCCAAGCAGACAGATGGGGCGAGTGTAGGGAGTGTGTTTAAAAGAAAAAAGAAACAAAAAGTCTCTCTCTTTTTTTTTTTTGAAGTACCCAGACCTTTTCAGGAAAAAAAAAAAAAAGTTTCTTCAGTGCCACCTTCTCACCAAGGAGGTAGAATAGGTAAAAATTCACCTGTTCAGAAACATACAGTATAGAAAGTGAAGTTTCCCATGTCTCCACCCATCAGAGGAAATAATAATTTTTTTTTTTTTTTTGAGATGGAGTCTTGCTCTGTCCCTCAGGCTGGAGTGCAGTGGTGCAATCTCTGCTTACTCCAACCTCTGCCTCCCGGGTCCAAGCAATTCTCCTGCCTCAGCCTCCTGAGTAGCTGGAATTACAGGTGCCTGCCACCAGCCCGGCTAATTTTTGAATTTTTAGTAGAGACAGAGTTTCACCATATTGGCCAGGCTGGTCTCGACCTCCTGACCTTGTGATTTGCCCGCCTCGGCCTCCCAAAGTGCTGGGATTACAGTCATGAGCCACCGCGCCTGGCCAGTGATGATAATATTTGATACGTGTTGAGCAGTTGCTCTTACAGGCTCTTTTGGGAGGACTTCATGTGGATTAACTCACTGAACCCTCCAATAGCCTTAGAGATAGGTATATGCAGTTATTATCTCTAATATACAGATGAGGAAACAGAGGTGAAGAAAGGGAACATGACTTGGTGACTTGCCCAAGGTCTCACAGCAGGTGACACAGCCAGGGCTGAAAAGCTGGCATTTGGTTCCTGAGGCTGCCTTGCCTCCCGCACCCACTCTCCTGCCTCTTAGTGTGGCGTATTTCCTTCGGATTTCTTTTTTCTGTGCGTGTGACATTTAAACACATACCTCCCCGTGCCCTGAAGTCTAAGACAGTATGCCCTATAAGGTCCATCATTGATCATATAACTGCTTTTCTGAAAAGAATGCGATAGGTGAGTTTTGTCCATGGATTGCAAGGTACATGCCAATCTCAATGACATCAGCATGTGAAACAATACGCATATTGTAGAATTGAGGTGACAGGGCGTGTGTGTGTGCGTTTCAGAAAAGGCATCCCGCCTGCATTCTGTCGTGCCGCGAGCCTTCGTTAGCGAATGCTGATGGTCCCAGTGTCAGCACAGCAGGGCTGGTTTCTGTGTTTCTGTGCTCAGGATGGCTTGTTGTGTTGTGTGGCCAGACCGTCTCCACGTGCTGGGTGCTGTGCTGAGCCCTTCCCTGCATTAGCCTGTGATGAAAGCGCTGCTGTCTGTCCTTGCAAGGACAGGAGGAAACGGAGGCTTGGGAGTCTAGAAAGTGGGCAAACAAGGACCCCAGTCCAGATCTGCCTAACTCTCAAGGCTGTGTGGCATGGTGTTGTGGGGGAGCCAGGCCGCCTGTACTTCCTGAGATGAAGTCATAGGGCAAGTCATTTCACTTCTGTGCCTCAGTTTCCTCATTGTCATAGAAACAGTAGGAGTGTCTGCCTCAAAGTGTTGCTGTGAGGGTTATATTGGTATGTGCGAAGCACTCAAATGGGCCTGGCACGTGGTATGGGCTATGTGAGCCTTGCTCTTTTTAGTAGAGTCATGATATTAACCAATATATAGCACCAGACCCCTGTTGTGAGCTTTTAGATTGTTGCCAGGTTTCCCTATTTCAGCAGTACATACTTAGGACAGCGGTTGTCAGCTGGTGGTGGTTTTGTACCCCAGGAGACATTTGGTGATGACTGAAGACATGTTTGATTGTCGTAACCAGGGGAAGGTGTTCTGTTGGCTTTAGTGAGTAGAGACCCAGGATGCTGCCAGACCTCTTCAGGGTGCAGAAGAGTCCCCACATCAGGGATTCTCTATCCCCAAATGTCACTAGTGTTGAGGCTGAGAATTCCCAGCTTAGAACTTCTGTGCCCTGGCACTAGCATTTTCTGCAGGAGAAATTCCTCCAAGCACATGTACATTTTCCACTTTATGAGTTTTACCAGAATGTTCTCACAAGACGCTGGGACCAGTTTATAGAGTGGTGAATGGCTGGTGGCAGATGAGGGAGTTGGTTCCCTCACGTCTTGCCCCAGGTGCCTTTCTCCTGAGTTCCCATGAGCAGATGCTGCCTGTTACACCACTAGTTCCTGTTGTCTTTGGGTTTTTTGGTTTTTTTTTTTTTTTTTTTGAGACAGGGTCTGGCTTTGTCACCCAGGCTGGAGTGCAGTGGCACAATCTCAGCTCACTGCAACCTCTACCTCCCAGGCTCAGGTCAACCTCCCACCTCAGCCTCCCAGGTACCTGAAACTACAGGTGCACACCACCACACCTGACTACTATATATATATATATGTATATATACGTGTATATATACATATATATGTGTGTATATATATATATATGTATGTATGTATGTACGTATGTTTTTTTTTTTTTT